>NC_000002.12:191125981-191429011 GCF_000001405.40 Homo sapiens
TTGGACCCATTAAAGGAAGCTGTTCAATGCCTACAAATTAAATTTAGAGATCTACTAAGTTTAGATATCTGCTTGACCGTTGCTCCCTTCAGTCACAATTTTAAAGCTAAACATAAATTAATTTTGAACTGATTTGGATTATACTGACAAACTTGTTTTCAAGCAGATCTATTTATTTTTGCTCCCATTTTTATGCTTTTGCTTATTAAACCTACTTTAACAAAATTTATATTAAAATATGTTAGAGGCCTATTTAAGGTAAAAAGTCTTGTGAGCTGTCTCGGTTTTGATTAAGTATCTCTTTGAAAGTTTCCAAATCACAATGGGTTTAGAACAGTGTAGATGGCTTTCTTATAGGTCTTCATCTCCATGAAATGGGGACAAATAAACATTTTCTAAAAACTTAGTTGAAAGACACAATTATCCTACTTTTTATGTGATTATCTGCCCAAATTTTGCTTAACAACCACCATGATGCTCCTAGCCAATGAAGCAATAGATAGTGAAAATCAACAGCTGACTGTGAACACCTTCATGTCGTCTTTCTCTACCAGCATCTGTATCTCCCCACCCACTTCCTCAGTGGTACGGTTAGTTGTCACACTAGAGGCTGTAGAAATCTCATTTTTTTTTCCTGGCCACAGACTGCCCTCTGGGTTGGCAGCTTCTCTGCAAGCTTCTGTTACAGCTGTCAGGCCAGCAGATTCACATGCTGGGGTTTCCATGTCAGCTCCTGGACAGATTGGGTGGGTTTCTTCTGTAAGTACCCAGGATGACATGGGTCTTGGACTTGACTTTTCATCACATGAAATAGTTTCCCCTCACCTTGGTATATTACAGCTAATCTTGTTTGTTTGTTTGACATTCTGGCTCTGTCATCCAGGCTGGAGTACAGTGGCATGATCACGGGTCACTGCAGCCTCTGCCTTCTGGGTTCAAGTCAGCCTCCCACCTCACCCTCCCACGTAGCTGAGTCTACAGGCACACACCACCATGCCCAGCTAATTTTTTAATCTTTTTTGTAGAGATGGGGTCTCCTTATGTTGACCAGGCTGGAGGCTAACTTTTGTGTTATGGAAAATAAAATCCATCCAGTCTCTGGATGATTTGATGAGAGGGAGAACAGAGGTTAGAATGAGAAAAAAAAAACCAAAAAAACTCAGTGTCAGAATTCTCCAATATTCTTTTGCCTACAGCAGACAAGGGGTGGGTCTTCCTAGAGAGAAAATCAGCTCTGGATATTTTTCAATAAAAACATATTGAAACCTTTGATGGTTCCCTATTAAGTCCAAACTGCTTAGCATGGCATTCAAGATCTTCGCTTAAAGTGCCTCGCTTGTTTGTGAGATAGGAAATCTCATGTTGTCATGTTCTTGCTCTTGCTGTACCAGATACTCTTTTTCTTCTACTCCTCTTCAGAGAGTCCTGAACTATGCTTTTATAACCAACCCATGTGTTTCTAACTGTGAATTATGATTGCATATGCCTCTACCACGGTGCTTACCACACTACATCATAAATATTCATTTTCACTTTGTCTCCATTCTAGGTAGCAAACTCTTTCAACATAAGAATTTTATCTAAGCACTCTTCACTTTATGCCTTTGCCAGTCAACACTATCCTGATGTTAACATCCATATGATGTAATCAATATTCAGTCAACAAATATCTGGAGTAGATAGCCATTGTACCCCAAAGTAAATCATATGAGCCCTACTTTTAAGAAATCCAAGCTGTCACTGGAATAAAAATGATGTTTCATCATCCACAAAGTAATTATTGCATAAAGAAGCCCCATACTCTGGCATCCACTTTACAAAAATAAAAAATCAGGGAAAGGATGAATCGTCATGGACTCGAGTACTAAATTGTCAAAGAAGATTTAATCAAGAGGAAGATCAACCTAGGATAAAATAAAGGCTTGGAGGGATATGCACAAAATGACTCACGAATGAAATTTCAGGTGGTTGGAGTCTTCCGTTGATCATATTGGATTTCAACTTAGTGCGATATGCACAAATTGTGATGCACACCATCCACCTTCTGTTGATGATCCCATATTAGGCATCAAACAAAGTCTTGACAACTAATTCACATTTCGTCTTAAACAGCACTAACCTTTCGAAATATGAGTGTTATGATATTGACATCATGGTATTATCTTAAAGGGAGACAGATTTTGAGGGTGTGCGTTGGGGAATTGGGGAAATAACTGTGGAGTGCTTGACGAATTGACTGCTACCCATGTGTGGCAAAATGGCATGAATATTGATCCCTCAATTGAGAACTCCTTCAGAGTTAACACAGAGTGGCTACACATTCTTCTCAGGTCTCAGGTTGAGGTCATCTCTTTTTTTCTCTTTGTGTGTGGTGTATAGAGGGGAAGGAAGAGGAGGGAACTGAGAAAGCAACATGAGTTAGAAGAGAGGATCTGACAGACTCAGAGCAGCTCCGCGTTTCAAGCCACTTTTCTTTCCTCTTTGGTATTGCAAAATGTGTTTCTAATGCTTTACCTTGTCATTAAAAATCTCACTTCGTGGGATATTCAGAACTGAAAAGACATTTTTTACAGACTAAACAAGAAGGAACTCACTTATGGCTTGATTTTTGAGGTACTTTCAGCTCTAACATATTTTCGTTCAGCCATACCCAAATGACCCCTAAGAAATAGGCCATGGTGGTTCAGAGAGTAGAATATGTGAGGTGCAGGTGACACCCATGCCCCCTCACTCACTGAGTTTAAAACTCTCACTAATAGTCATTACCCTGGCTTGTGAAAAATACTGTATAGGCAGTGAGATTACTAACCACAGAGTTAACACCAAAACGCTGAGCAGAGCTTTCTAATTGATAGAGATTTTTTTATTTTTCTAATATCAGACAAGATGGCCTGTTCCCTCTACTTTCCTAACACTACGTTTTGAGGAATAGCCATAGAAGTTCCCATAATTTAAAAAGCAAAACATAGGAAGCATGAACTTTTTACAGTACCTCCTAACTGAAAGGCTGAGAAGCAATTAAATGTGAATTTTTTCGACTGTGAGCTTCATGACTTCCTCCATTTGTCTTCTTAATGCTTAAAATGTGATTGATAACATAGAGAGTGCTCTTTAAATATTTGCTGACTAAATAAAATTTGCTGCATGATATTTACAAAAGGCATACCCAGTAAAAAAAACACAGAAAGTGTAAAAATGAAGACATGAATTCATTTACCAGTTAGTAAATGATAATAAAAATAAAAGCATGCAATGAAATTTTAAAATAAAAAATAGTAAATGGGTCAAAGGAGGACGCTTTAGATGGACTTTTAAAAATGTCAATGCACAGGCATGGTGGTGCATGCCTGAAGTCCCAGCTACTTGGGAGGCTGAGGTGGGAGGATCACTTGGGCCCAGGAGTTCAAGTCCAGCCTGGGCAACACAGCAAGACCCCATCTCTGAAAAAAGAAAAGAAAAGGTCTCTTTTAAAAAGTTTCAATTCACCAGTAAGATGTTAACTTCTACTTGGGCTGCTTACAACATTGTATCAAAACACATAAAGCAAAAACTCCAAGAAGATTAGGAGAGGTGATAAATCCATGGTAATAGAAAAAGACTTTAACATGTCACTTTCCAAAAAAAAGGCGATGGAATTTTCTAACACATCTCCTTACTTCTTTCTTGACTCAAAACAGTTCATTTAACCGCCAGAATGAGCTTTTTAAGACAAAAATCAGTTCATGTCACTCCCTTGCTCAAACTCCTCAGTGGCTTCCCACCACACAATAAGTCTCAGATTTCTTATCCAGGTCCACAAGTTTCTTTATGAGACAGCCCCAGCTCATCTCTTTGACCTCATCACCCTTTTATTACTTCATGTTCTGGGTGCACTCTTACCAAAAAAACATAATTTGTCTTATAACTGAGGAGTTTTGTCAATTTAATATATATTATTTGGATTTTTTGACATTTTCGTGCTTTTAATTTCTTATGTAGTCTATTTCCACTTGTTTTAGTGGTCTTTTTGAAATTTTGCCAAGTATGCTTAGTTTCTGTGCTAATTAATTTCATTTAGGAATTCCTTCCTTGAAGGTATCTTTGAGGTGAAGTTTCAATCTTGTATAATAACTGGGAATAGAATTAGCTAATAGAATTAGCTGCGAATAGAATATTGATAGATAGTGTATTGAAGTTCTGTGAAGAAATTATTCTACCCTCTCCTCACTTGTTACTGTTTTGGCTTTCAGTCTATCTCCCTTTTTTTTTTTTTTTTTTTTGAGACAGAATCTTGGCCTGCCGCCCAGGCTGGAGTGCAGTGGCACAATCTCAGCTCACTGCAAGCTAGGGTTCCTGGGTTCACGCCATTCTCCTGCCTCAGCCTCCCAAGTAGCTTGGACTACAGGCACCTGCCACCACGCCAGCTAATTTTTTGTATTTTTTAGTAGAGACAGGGTTTCACCATGTAAGCCAGGATGGTCTCGATCTCCTGACCTCGTGATCCGCCCGCCTCGGCCTCCCAAAGTGCTGGGATTACAGGCATGAGCCACGGCGCTTGGCCTATCTCGCTTTTTTAAATAGATAATATATTTGTTATCCTCTGTTACTTTTAGAATATTTTCTTTCTAGTGTCCTGCAGTTCATTTGCTTTTTAAATTTATCATGCTGGGGACCCGTATTTCTAAAATCTAAGAATGCATGGAAGCCATCATGTGAGCTCCTACTTAAATTTTGTTTTACAGGTTTTTCTTAATTTTTGTTTCCGTGATTTCTTTTAATTTGTGGTGAGCTTATCTGTGCATTTAAAAGCCTGTTATAATTTATATCGCATTTCTATGTGTTTATAGTGGAATGGTTTTTTAATTTATCTAGCCAGAAATAGAATTCAAAACTGGAATAATGGATTACTTAGATATGAACAATGAGAGCACTACATATGAAAGCATACAAAATCACCTCTCAAAAATATCAAAAATTAAATGCATTTATTAAAAAAGGATGAAAATTAAGTATCTGAGTAAAGTTAGAAAAAATTAGAAAAATAATAAAAAGTAAAATGAGGAAATAAGGCAGATATACCACCAGATTGTATGATCCATGACCATAACAAGTGTAGATGAGAATATTGAGCCAGAACTCCAGCCCTATAAGGAAAGTGTAAATTGGTATAACCATTTTTAAAAAACAATTTGGCATTATGTAATATAATTAAAGATGTACATAGTGCATGATTCAGCAATTCCACTCCTAGGCATATATTCTAGAGAATTTCTTACATATGTGCCCCAAGGGACACACCATAAGAATGTTCACAGTAACGTTGTTTGCAATAGCAAAGAAATACAGGAAATAACGCAAATGCCCATCAACAGTAGAATGAATAAATTGTGATAATTCACACAATGGTATACTATGCAGCAATGAAAATGAATAAACTACTGCTACGCACATCTGTATGGATGAATGTCAGGAACCACGCTGAGTGAAGAAAGCAAGTTGCTGAAGTATAAATATAGTGTGATCTCACTCGTGGATTTAGCAGCTTTCAAACCTAGACACTTTATTGTTTAGGGATGCAAATGTATGTGGTAAAATGGCAACAAAAAGAAAAAAAATGACAAATGCAAATTTTGGGTCAGTGGTTGCTCCAGGCGGAAAGAGAGCAGAGTGGTGTCAGGGAGGAGGCACAAGAGGCTTCAAAGGTAATGGTAACATCTGGGTATAAAATGTCAACAACAGTTTGCAAAAGCCAGAATTCTCCGATGTTTTGTATTAGAAGGAATAGATGGGTACTAAATTCCTGTATCTTGGTTTCCTCAATTAGTATCATCTGAATGTCCCAGGTGAAGAAGCTAAGTCCTAGGGACAAGATTTGGACCTTTGAATGCAGGTTTCTCCATGTCGATCCAAGGGCAGCTGTGCTGTAGCCAACCCTGGGGACTAAAGCAAATTAGAGGTCTGTTTATTCTCTACACTTGTGGAGGTGTGTGTTATCTAGATTTACAACTATTCCTGAAGAGAAGACAGCATGAAACACGCCATTCATTCCACACTAAATTACAATTGGAACATAACTGAAGAGAAACGTTTCTTAAGAAACGAGGGACTTTCATTCTTCACATTAAATCCTTCTGTTCTCTTTGACTTTTCACTATAAGCAGAGCTTATATTCAGTGGGTATGCATCAGTAGGGCTAGTAAGTTGTTCGATCCTAATCTTTTCTGATTAGTTATTGCTCATACTGTCTTGGTTGTAAAATAGCTTCAACATCACTCCTAACTGCAAACAAAAACTGCAGGTTGGCCTAATACTTCTCCCGTATTGATAGAGCAATGTCTACAAATAGTTGAGAGAAAGAAAAAGTAAACCAAGAACTTTATAGCAAGTCAGGGTGTCCTTTACAGTACCAGATATTCTTAAGCATGAACGTCCTCAAAGATTACAGCATCATTGAGAGCTTCTTGAAAAACTACTTGATGAAATCTAGGCAATTCAGAATGAAGCAAAATTTGAAACCTCAGGAATGGAGAAGTAATGGTGAAAGAAGTGGTGATGAGCACTGAATCTACCTATACACAAAATTAAAGAAATGTGTGGAATTGCCATGATACAACAAGGATAATGTAACTAACAAAATATAAATGATGAAAATTGGCAGGTGGGGATGGGAACGAGAAGTGGAAGCAAATTTAAGAACGTTAATTTCTCCTCATATTTAATAGCATGGAGTGAACAGACAACTGCCTAGAAGTGAAATATGTGGTTTCTGTATCTCATCATCTCTTAATGGTTTTCTTTTTTTTTTTTTTTTGGAGACGGAGTCTCGCTCTGTCGCCCAGGCTGGAGTGCAGTGGCGTGATCTCGGCTCACTGCAAGCTCCGCCTCCCGGGTTCACGCAATTCTCCTTCCTCAGCCTCCCAAGTAGCTGAGACTGCAGGCGCCCGCCACCATGCCCGGCTAATTTTTTGTATTTTTAGTAGAGACGGGGTTTCACCGTGTTAGCCAGGATGGTCTCGATATCCTGACCTCGTGATCTGCCCACCTCGGCCTCCCAAAGTGCTGGGATTACAGGCGTGGGCCACTGCGCCTGGCGGTTTTCATAGTTTTAAAAATTAACTTGAGTGGAATTTCTTTTGGGAAAAAATATTTCTTATGGTAAGGAAACATTTAATATTTTAAAATAATATTTAATTGAATTCAAATAAAAATAAAATTTTATTTTAAAATATATATTAATAATATGGTTTCATTTTTTGATCCGATATTCCTATGTAGGTATTCATTTATTCATAAGTCACTTATTGAGCACCTAGTATGTGTCTAGGCACACTGTCCAGGCACTGGGGATATAGAAGTAAACCAAACAAAATCCCTCCCTTTATGAAGATGGTCTTCTAATGGCAAGAAAAAGGCAAGTAAATATAGAGGAGGTCAGAGGTTTATAAAAGCTATGGAGGAAAATAATGTAAGGTAAGAGATATGGAGTGTTCCTGGTGTGTGTGTGGGTGGGTGGGGGCAGGGGATGGGAGCAGCAGTAGTAATTCCACCTTCCATCTGCATATATACATGTATAAGGGGATGTCTGGAATGACACCTATCAAATATTAATATGTTTATTTCCAGGCCATAGATTTTTTATTTTTTCATACTTTCTTCTTTGCACTTTTTGTGTTGCTTTAATTTTAAAAAATTATGAATATGCACTATTTTTATTTTTCTTAAGTCATTCTATCTGAGGGAGAAAGACAAAAAGGAAGGTGAATAAGGAAAAGGGTTTTGCAACAGTAAGTCCAATAATAATGATTCAGAAATCATGCTTCTAGATATTTATCCAAATGAGTTGAAAACTTACTCCTACACAAAATCGCATATGAATGCTAGTAGCAGCTTTATTCATAATAGCCAAAAATGAATAAACAAACTAGGGTACATCTGTACAAAAGAATATTATTCAGCAGCAAAAAGAAATGAGCTATTAAGCCATGCAAAGACACAAAGGAACCTTAAAAACATATTGCCAAGTGAAAGAAGCCAGTCTAAGAAGGCCACGGCCTATATGATTCCAATTACATGACAGTCTAGAAAAGGCAAACTGTAAAGTGGGGCTCATACAACACAGTCTACCACCATTCACACCTGAGCAATCCTTCCAAAGTCTAAGGTTGGGCCAATCCAACCTGCTGCTACAACCACAGCTGGCACCCACCCACATGTGCTACCTATAGGCCTGGGGACTGGCCCTCCCAGCCCATCACAACTACTTCCAACATCAGCATAGCCTGCATGGGAGCAAATGGTTGTCCCATCACTGCTACTGCCATTGCCCATGCCATACTGCCTGCCCGGGGGTCCAAGAACCCACACACCTGCCTGGCCTACTGTTGCTATATCCAGCACTTACGAAAGCCACCTAGAGGCTTAATATTTGGCCCACCTGGACTTGCTAACACTGGTGCCAGCATACTCCACACTGGGTCCCAAGGACAGACATGGTCAGCCCACTGCTGCCACCCCTGGGGCCTAAATACTGGCCCACCTGGTGTCCTAGTCCCCAGAAAAACTTCAACACAGCCTCCACTAACAAATGCACCCTAAGCCATCAAGGAAATCATAGACACCACTGATGTTGTTTATAGCCAAAGAAATTACACAGAGACTACACTACTGTACACACTCAGAATCAAAGCCAAAGTATACTACCCAATCAAGATCATAGGACAAAAGGCAAGTCTCAAAAATTGTTCTAAAAATCAAAATTATATCAGATATCTTCTTAGACCACAATAGAATAAAACCAGAAATCAACAACAAAAGGCACTTTGGAAACTGTACAAATGCATGAAAATTAAACATGCTGCTACTGGATAATCATTGCATCAAGGAAGAAATTGAGGAAATAAAAAAATTCCTTGAAACAAATGAAAATTGAAACAACATATCCAAATCTATGAAAAAGCAGTGCTAAAAGGGAGGTTCATAGAAATAAACACCTACATAAAAAGATAAAAAAGTCAAATAAACAATCTAATCATGCACCTCAAGTAACTAGAAAAGCAAGAAAAAAAAACCGAAATTAGTGGAAGGAAAGAATTAATAAAGATCAGAGCAGAATAAAATGGAGACTAAAAAAAGATACAAAGGATCAACAAAATGAAAAACTAGTTGTTTTGAAAAGATAAAATCAATAAACAACTTGCTAGACTAACCATAAAAAAGAGAGATGACCCAAATAAATAAAATCAGAAATGAAAAAGGAGACATTACAACTGACATCACGAAAATATAAAAGATCATCAGAGACAATTATGAAAAATACACTAACAAGCTGGAAAACCTAGAAGAAATGGATAAATTCCTGGACTCATGCAACCTAGCAAGATTGAATCAGGAAAAAAGCCCAAAAAGACCTGAACAGACTAATAATGAGTAAGGAGATTGAATTAGTAAGTCTTCTGACAAAGTCCAGGACTGGATGACTTTACTGTCGAATTCTTTGTTGTTGTTGTTGTTATTGTTTTTGTTTGTTTGTTTGAGATGGAGTCTCACTCTGTCGCCCAGGCTGGAGTGCAGTGGCGTGATCTCAGCTCACTGCAACCTCCGCCTCCCAGGCTCAAGTGATTCTCCTCCTCATGAGTAGCTGGGACTACAGGTGATCACCACCACGCCCAGCTAATTTTTTGTATTTTTAGTAGAGACAGGGTTTCACCATGTTGGCTGCACTGGTCTCAAACTCCTGACCTCAGGTGGTCACCTGCCTCAGCTTCCCAAAGTGCTGGGATTACAGGCATGTGCCAACACACTTGACCTTTACTGCCAAATTCTATCAAACTTTCATAGAAGAACTAACACCAATTCTCCTCAAATTATTCCAAAAAATTGAAGAGGAAGAAATTCTCCCTAGCTCGTTCTATGCCAGCACTACCCTGGTACCAAAACCAGACAAGGACACAACACAAAGAGACAACTACAGGCCAATATCCCTGATGAATACTGATGCAAAATTTGTCAACAAAATACTAGCAAATCAAATCCAACAGCATCTCAGAAAAAAAAAAAAAAAAACCAAAAAACAAAAAACCAATGTGATCAAGTGGGATTTATCCCAGGGATGCAAGGATGGTTCAACATATGCAAATCAGTAAACATGATAAATCACATCAGCAGAATGAAGAACAAAAATCATATGACCATCTCAATAGATATAGAAAAAGCATTTGGTGAAATTCAATGTCCTTCATGACCAAAACTCTCAACAAATGAGGCATAGAAGGAATATACTTCAACATAAAAAGGCCATACATGACAAACCTACAGCTAACATCATACTGAATAAGAAAAAGCTGAAAGTCTTTTCTCTGAGAGCTCTGAGAGCTGGAACAAGACAAGGATGAACATTTTTCAACTACTCCTATTCAACATATTGCTGGGAGTCATAGCCAGAGCTATTAAGCCAGAGAAGGACATAAAAGGCACCCAAACTGGAAAAGAGGATGTCAAATTGTCTTTCTTGGCCAGGAGCTGTGGCTTACGCTTGTAATCCCAGCACCTTGGGAGGCCAAGACCGGCAGATCATTTGAGGTCAGGAGTTCGAGACCAGCCTGGTCAACACAGTGAAACCCCATCTCTGCTAAAAATACAAAAATTAGCTGGGTGTGGTGGCATGTGCCTGTATCCCAGCTACTCAGGAGGCTGATGCAGGAGAATTGCTTGAACCTGGGAGGCGCAGGTTGCAGTGGGCCAAGATCACACCACTGAACTCTATCTAGTCTGGGTGACAGAGTGAGACTCTGTATCAAAAAAGAAAAATTTGTCCTTCTTTGCTGATGATATGATTTTATACTAGAAAATCCTAAAGAGTCCACCAAAAATCTCCTAGGTCTGATAAATAGGTTCAGTAAAGTTGCAGGATACAAAATTAACATACAAAAATCAGTAGCATTTCCATACAATGAAAATGAATTAGCTGAGAAAGAAATCAAGAAGACAATCTCATTTATAATACCTATAAAAAATAAAATACTTGGGAATAAATTTAACGAAGAAAGTGAAAGATCTCTACAAGGAAAACTACAAAACACTGATTAAAAAAATTGAAGAGGGCCAGGTGCGGTGTGGCTCATGTCTGTAATCCCAGGACTTTGGGAGGCCAAGGTGGGCGGATCACCTGAGGTCAGGAGTCTGAGACCAACCTGGCCAACGTGGTGAAACCCCGTCTCTAGTAAAAATACAAACATTAGCCAGGCATGGTGGCACACGCCTGTAGTCCCAGCTACTCTTCTCGGGAGGCTGAGGCAGGAGAAATGCAGAGGTTGCAGTGAGCTGAGATTGTGCCAAGGCACTCCAGCCTGGGCAACAAACAAGGCTCCATCTCAAAAAAAAGAAAAAAAATTGAAGAGGACACAAACAAATGGAAAGACATCTCTATGTTCATGGATTGGAAGAATTAATATCATTAAAATGATCATACTGCCCAAAGCAATCTACAGAATCAAAGCAATCCCTATTAAAATACCAATGTCGTTTTTCACAGAAATAGAAAAAACAAAATAGTAAAATAGAAAAAAAATTTGTATGGTACCAAAAAGAGCCTGAAGAGCCAAAGCAATCTGAGCAAAAAGAACAAAGCTGGAAGCATCATACTACCTGACTTCAAAGTATATTATAAGACTATAGTAACCAAAACAGCATGTTACTGGTATAAAAACAGACACATAGACCAATGGAACAGAATAGAGAACCCAGAAATAAATCCACATATTTACAGCCAACTAATTTTTGACAAAGGTGCCAGGAACCTACACTCGGGCAAAAACATCCTCTTCAATAAATCGTGGTGGGATATCCCTACACCGAAGAATAGAACTGGACCCTATCTCTCACCATATATAAAAATCAACTCAAGATGGATTAAAGATTTAAATGTAACACCTAAAATTATAAACTGCTACAAGATAACATAAGGAAAATGCTTCAGGACATTGGTCTAGGCAAAGATTTTATGCTTATGACCTCAAATGCACAGAAAACAAAAACAAAAATAGATAAATAGAACTACATTAAACTAAAAAGCTTCTGCACAGCAAAGGAAACAATCAGCAGAGTGAAGAGACAATCTGCTGAATGGGAGAAAATATTTGCAAACTATTCATCTGACAAAAGGCTAATATCCAGACTATAAAAGGAACTCAAACTATTCAACAGTAAAAACCAAATAATCCCATTAAAAAGTGGGCAAAAATATGAATAGACATTTCTCAAAAAAAACTAAATCCAAACCCAGCATAACACAAGAAATAACAAAGATCAGAGAACTAAATAAAATCAAAACAAAAAAATACAAAAGATAAATGAAACAAAAAGCATGTTATTTGAAAAGATAATATTGATAGACCATTAGTGAGATTAACCAAAAAAAGAAGAGAGAAGATCCAAATAAGATTTCATTTCGCATCGAGAAATGAAACTACAGCCAATACCGCAGAAATACAAAAGATTAGCTAAGGCTATTATGAACACTTTTATGTGCACAAACTAGGAAATCTAGAGGAGATAGATAAATTCCTGGAAATATAAAACCCTCCTAAATTAAATCAGGAAGAAACAGAAACCCTGAACAGACCAATAGCAAGCAGCAAAATTGAATCAGTAGTTTAAAAAAAATTGCCAACCAAAAAAGTCCAGGACCAGATGGATTCACAGCTGAATTCTATCAGACATTCAAAGAAGAATTGGTACCAGTCCCACTGAAACTATTGCAAAAGATAGTGAAAGAGGGAATTCTCTCTAAATCATTCCATGAAGCCAGTATCACCCTAATACCAAAACCAGGAAAGGGCATAACAAGAAAACTACCGGACCAATAGCTCTGATGAACATAGATGCAAAAATCCTCAACAAAATGCTAGCTAACAAAATCCAACAGCATATCAAAAAGATAATACATCATGATCAAATGGGTTTATATTAGGAATACAGGGATAGTTTAACACACGCAAAGTCAATAAATATGATACATTACATAAACAGAATTAGAAACAAAACCATATGATCATCTCAATAGGTGCAGAAAAAGTCTTTGATAAAATCCAGCATCCCTTTATGATAAAAAACCCTCAACAAAATAGGCATAAAACGAACTTAAAATAATAAAAGCCATATATGACAAACCTACAGCCAACATTATACTGAATGGGGAAGAGTTGAAAGCATTCCCCCCGAGAGCTGGAACAAGGCAAGAGTGCCCACTTTCCCCACTTCTAATCAACATAGTACTGGAAGTCCTGGCCAGAGCAATCGACAAGAGAAAGAAATACAAGGCATCCAAATTGGAAAAGAAGAAGTCAAATTGTCACTGTTTGCTGATGATATAATCGTATACCTAGAAAACTCTAAAGACTCATCCAGGAAGCTCTTAACTCTGATAAAGGAATTCAGTAAACTCTCAGGATACGAAATCAATGTACGCAAATCAGTAGCTCTGATATACTCCAACAACGACCAAGCTGAGAATCAAATCAATAACTCAATCCCTTTTACAATAGCTGCAAAAAAGAAAGAAAGAAATACTTGGGAATATACCTATCCAAGGGGGTGAAAGATCTCTACAAAGAAAACTGCAAAATACTGCTGAAAGAAAGCATATATAACATGAACAAATGGAAACACATTTCATGCTCATGAATGGGAAGAATCAATATTGTGAAAATGACCACTCTGCCCAAATCAGTCTACAGATTCAATGCAATTTCCATCAAAATACCATCATCATTCTTCATAGATTTAGAAAAAACAATCCTAAAATTCATATGAAACCAAAAAACAACCTGCATAGCCAAAGCAATACTAAGCAAAAAGAACAAATCTGGAGACATCATATTACCCAACTTCAAATTATATTAGAAGGCTATAGTTACCAAAACAGCATGGTACTGGCATAAAAGTAGGCAGGTAGACAAATGGAACAGAATAGAGAACCCAGAAACAAAGGCAAATATTTACAGCCAACTGATCTTCGACAAAGCATGCAAAAATATAAATCAGGGAAAAGACACCCTATTCAATATATGGGCTGGGAAAACTGGCAAGCCACATGTAGAAGAATGAAACTGATTTCTCAGCCTATACAAAAATCAACTCAACATGGATCAAAGATTTAAATCTAAGACCTGAAGCCATAAAAATTCTAGAACATAACATTGGAAAAATACTTCTAGGCATTGGCTTAGGCAAAGAATTCATGGCTAAGACCCCACAAGCAAATGCAACAAAAACAAAGATAAATAGATGGGACCTAATTAACTAAAAAGCTTCTGCACAGCAAAAGAAATAATCAGCCAAGTAAACAGACAACCCACAGCGTGGGAGAAAATATTTGCAAGCTATGTATCTGACAAAGGACTAATATCCATAATCTGCAAGGAACTCAAACAAATCAGCAAAAAAACTAATAATAATCCCATCAAAAAGCGGGCAAAGGACTTGAATACACAATTCTCAAAAGAAGATATACAGTCAACAAACATGTAAAAATGCTCAACATCACTAATTGTCAGTAAAATACAAATTAAAAACCACAATGAGATACCACCTTACTCCTGCGAGAATGGCCATAATGAAAAAGTCAAAAACCAATAGACGCTGGCATGGATGTAGTGAAAAGGGAACACTGTTAGACTGCTGATGGGAATGTAAACTAGTACAACCACCATGGAAAACAGTATGGAGATTCCTCAAAGAAAAGCAGAACTGCTATTTAATCCAGCAATCCCACTACTGGGTATCTACCCAAAGGAAAAGAAATCATTATATAAAAAATACACACGCACAACCATGTTTATAGCAGTACAATTCACAATTGCAAAGATAAGGAACCAACCTAAGTGTCCATCAACCAATGAGTAGATAAAGAAAATGTGGTATATATACACTATGGAATACTACTCAGCCATAAAAAGGAATGAAATAATGTCTTTTGCAGCAACCTGGATAAAACTGGAGGGCATTATTCTAAGTGAAGTAACTCATAAATGGAAAACCAAATATCATATGTTCTCACAAGTGGGAGCTAAGCTATGAGGATGCAAAGGCATAAGAGTGATATAACGGACTTTGGGGACTTGTGGGGGAAGGTTGGGAGCGGGGGGTGAGGGATAAAAGACTACATATTGAGTGCAGTGTACACTGCTCAGGTGACAGGTGCACTAAAATTTTAGAAGTCACCACTAAAGAACTTATCCATGTAACCAAAAACCACCTGTACCCCAAAAACTACTGAAATAAAAAGAATTTAAAAATTTAAAAGACATACAAATAGTCAACAGATATAAGAAAAAATGCTCAACATCACTAATCAGGAAAATGCAAATTGAAACCACAATAAGATATCATCTTACCCCCGTTAAAATGGTTATTTTATACATACATGTATATATATATCATATATATACATATACATATGTATATCACATACATACATATACATATGTATATCACATATATACATATGTATATCACATACATACATATACATATGTATATCACATATATACATACACATATGTATATCACATATACATATATGATATATATATTTTTATATATACCATATATGATATATATACATATACATATATATGTGTATATATACACACACACATATATATATATATGATTATATATATATATTTTTGAGACAGAGTCTTGCTGTGTTGTCCAGGCTGGAGTGCAGTGGCACTATCTCGGCTCACTGCAGCCTCCATCTCCCGGGTTCAAGGGATTCTCCTGCCTCAGCCTCCTGAGTAGCTGGGATTACAGGCGTGCATCATCACATCTGGCTAATTTTTGTATTGTTAGTAGAGACAGGGTTTTGCCATGATGGCCAGGCTGGTCTCAAACTCCTGACCTCAGTACTGGAATTACAGGTGTGAGCTACCACGCCCAGCCTAGAATGGCTATTTTTAAAAAGACAAAAAATGACATGCTGGTGACAATGTAGAGAAAAAGGAAGTCTGTACACTGTTGGTAGGAATGTAAATTAATACAACCAGTATGGAAATGTCTCAAAAAACTAAAAATATAACTACTATAGGCTCCAGCAATCCCACTACTAGGTATTTATCCAAAGGAAAAAAAATTAGAATATAAAAGAGATGCCTGCACTTGCATGTTTATTGCAGGACTATTCACAATAACAAAGATTTGGAATCAACCTAAGTGTCCATTGATGGAAGAATGGATAAAGAAAATAAAGAAAATAGATATATATATATACACACACACACACATGCATACACACATATAATAGAATACTATTTGGCCATAAAAAGAATAAAATCATGTCATTTGCAGCAACACGGATCGTACAAGATGTCATTATGTTAAATAAAATAAGCCAGGCACAGAAAGACAAATATCGCATGTTCTCACTCATATGTGGGAGCTAAAGAAGTGGATCTCATGGAGGTAAAGAGTAGAATATAGATACCAGAGGCTGGGAAGGGTGGGTGGATGGAGGGAAATGAAAAGAGCCTGGTTAATGGGTACAAACATACAGTTAAATAGAAGGATTAAGTTCTAACATTCTATAGCAGGGTTAATATAGTTAACAACAATGTAATGTATATTTCAGAGTAGCTAGAAGAATGGGTTTGAAATGTTTCCAACATAGAAATGATAAATTCAAAGATGATGAATAATCCAAATACCCTGACTTAATCATTACACATTCTATGCATGGAATAAAATATTTCATGTACCCCATAAATATGTAAAGTATTGTATATCAATAAAAAAAGAATTATCACATGGGAGAAAAATCCAGAGAGTGAAAAGATCGGTAGTGTTCAGGGGCTCCGTGGGAAGCGAGAGAAGGATGAATATTGGAGAGGACAGGAGATTTTCAGGGGCCATGAAACTCTCTAGTATGATATTGTAATGGTAGATATATGACATTATGCATTGTCAAAACCCATAAAATTATACAACACAAGGAGTGAATCTTAATGTAGTCTTGAAATGTAAGTTAATAATAATGTATCAATATTATTTCGTCAACTGTCACAAATGTATGCTACCAATGCAAGACATGAATAATAGGTGAAACTGGGATGTGGAGCTGGGAAGGAAGTATATGAGAACTTCACTTTCTGCTCAATTTTTCTGTAAACCTAAAACTACTCTTAAAAATAAACTGCACTAATTTTTTTAAGGTCCATTAATTTTCTTAAAGCAAAGCATTCTTGAATTATCTGGGGCAGATATTTATTTTTAGCAAACCTTTAGCAAAAGACTATGGTTCTTGCTGCAGGTTTTAGAATCAATTATCTCCATACTCCTAACATTTCTGTGAGGAAAGTACCAGTGTGATTGCCCCTTACACTGCTGAGGAAACTGAGGCCAGAGTGTGTGAATATCTTACTCAGGGCCACATTGCAAGTGGCAGGGCCAGGATTCAAGTAACCCTTGCTCCTGGGTGTGAGTCTGCCTCCCCTTAAATAGGCCAAGGGCTGCTGAACGATGGTGTTTATTGCTTCCACCTTGGAGCTTCTTGAATTTGCCATCGGGAAACTGGTTTTGTTTTGTCCTTTATAGCAAGCCATTCCAAACTGTTATTGGAAGTAGGTGTAATATAAATAATAAAATACTGAAACTAGAGATCTCAGCTGTTCTATAAAGAACCAAAATAAATCTACCTTATACATCCCTTAGTTCCCCAGGTATCATATTGTTTACTCCTTTTTGCTGTAATTGTCAACATGGTTTGTATTTAAAATCCCAGAGGATGAAAATATTTAAACCAGATAAGCACAGCGTCAACAGCCTTTTGATAGGGAATTTTTTTTTTCTTTTTTGTGGGGAAGAGAGGATCTTATTTTTTAAAAAAGACTCATCATACCACCCTTCCCCGCAAAAAACACACACAACTTAATGGGATTATAGTAGGTTAAAAAGAAGCATAAAACTCAGGTTTGTTTAGGTGTAAAACCATAGCTGACAATGATTTTTACTACTAGCTTCTGTGTTGTTAATACAAATGCCCAGTAAGCACAATTTATAAATTGATATATATGGAAGCACAAGAAAGAGCAAGTGTTTTTTTCAACTCAAATATCTTAATTCACCAAATTGTTTTTTGAATTCCTAGTGTGCACTAGAACCATATTGAGTACTGAGGGTGAGGGAGGGGGGTCAGAAAAGGAGATCAGCCTTTTACCCTCAAGGACCTTGTGACCTGGTTTGACACACATGCAACACAGATGAAAGGGACAGAAGGAGATGCTGCTTACCTTGTAGTTGTTGCTGGAGGGCTGGAGGATGAGAACACAGACTAAAGCATGTGGTGAAGGTTTTCTTGTTGCACTGGAACCTACATAGATTCTTTAGGGATGGATGGGAACTAGACTGGTGGAAGAGGGATGGAAGAGCATTCCTGGCCATAGGACCGTCATGGACAAGGCTGAGTCATTCAAGAGTGTGTGTGACGTGTTCAGGAACAAGTAGTAGATCTATTTTTCTGAGGTAGGGATGTGGAGGAGCTCAAGGAAGATTGTTGGGAAAGGTCTAAAGAGGAAAGATGCTAGAGGGCCAATTAACACATGCAGATGAGTTTGTGCTCGAGCTGAAGCGTGACTGGGGGTAACTGCAGGTTTTTGAGCAGTGGCGTAGTGAAATAGAAGTGATGGTTTAACAAGGTTCGTCTGATACAACTGGCCAGAGGAGAAGCTTCCCTCACAATCTTATCCTCCAGCCCACAAAAGATGGGTTGTTTTCTTACCCCTGATTTACACTGAGAAAATCCTGCTATTTTACCTACCAACAATAAGAATCATTTATTGAATGCCTACATCTTGCCAGAAGAAAAGCTCCAGACTTCCTCACAATTCCAAAAGGTAGATAATAATTATCTTTGTTTACATTAAAAGATACAGGTCAGAAGATTAAGTGATTTGCTCAAAGCCACATTTGAGAGTCAGATTTTTAACCCAGACCTTCTTGGTTCCAAAGACCATGCATCATCTATTAATATTTTCCCCATCTGTGCTTATCTAGCAAAGTGACCTATGGACTCTTTACTAGTAGGCTAAGAGTTAGCAAACTTTCCTATAAAAGGCCAGATAAATGTGATATACATATATATCATATGTAAATATGAGACACATATATACACACATATATAATACACACACATATTTTTATTTTAGGCTGTATAGGTCATGCTGTCTCTATCACAACTTCTGCCATTGTAGTGTAAAAGCAATCATAAACAATATGTAAACCAACGAGTGTGGCTGTGTTTCAATAAAACACAGAAATTGGAATTTCATATAATTTTAATGTGTCAGAAATATTATTTTAAATTTTATGATCTATTTTATTTTTATTCTTTTCCAATCACTTAAAAATATAAAAACCATTCTTAGTCATGGGCCATATGAAAATGGGCAGTGGCCTTTTGACTTGTGGGCCATGGCATGCCAATCCCCATTTTAGGTTTATAGATTAGATCACTAAGCTAATAAAGCCACCATTAAATGATTTGTCTCCATAAAAGACAGATTGCTGTATGCTGCCAAAAATCCTGTTTTGTCGGCAATATGCTATTGTCCTGTTTTTAGTCAAGTGTCTTGCAGATTTACAGGGGATTACAAGGGCAAAGATAGCTCAGCGCAATCCAAACAACAATAGGAAAAACAATATATTTGTCCTTCTCACAAATGTAATGTCAAGAACATTTCTATTATAGTCTAGTTAAAATGTTCTAAAAATGTGTTAATTGTAGGTTTTGGATTCTAAAAATGTCTCCATGAAGAATGGCACAAAGCACTTTTTCTGTTATTTAATACGTTGTATGCACTCAGTAAATATTATAGCAGTCCATGGTCAGGGTTTATTACATTAGAACTGTTGGGTTTAGCTCCATATTAGCCTGCTTTTAATTCTTTAGATCCCTGATTCACTTACTTGATTTACTCACCCCTTAATCAGTAAACATTGCACATCTACCACAAGTCCAGACTTATGCTGGGTGCTGGAAATTCAAAGTTGAACACTAAAGTCCTTGCCTCAAGGAACTCATGATAGGGAGAGAAGTCAAACACATAGAAATAGCAATAATGTCGAATATACTAAATGCCACAGTATCGATGTGTTCTGGTGCTGAGGAAACACACAGAGATGGGCTCTGCCTGGGTGAACCAGAGAGTACCAAAGAACACTTTTAAAGGAGTGTGAGATCTGAACCAAATCTGTAAGAATACATTCACTCATGATGCTCTCATTTAGGAATGAGAACAATACTAACTCTAACTTGTTACCTAAGAGACAAAGGCAAGGGAGGGCTGCTGGAGAGCCGTGAAACTGTGGTCTGGTCAGTGTTGTTGAACTGAATCATAGCTAGTAAACAAGATACATGCAAGTCCCACATGCAACACACTTGTAATGTATTTTATACACTATACTTTTAGTGTATTTTATTTTCAACATTTCATGAAAAATGTTAGGTAATAAAATTGAGCACAAAATTTGTAAGTGGTAAGACAACTCAATTTTCCCCTAAATTTCATTTGAAAATAATATAAGGGTACATATTTAATTTTTAACTAAATTTAAGACTCATATATCCAAATATTTTGGAAAAGTAGAATGCATTCTTACCTGAAGGACCTTCCTAATTCTTTTTAGATTGTGTATCAAGAGTAGGTTTTTCTCTTTGGAAACACGACCTAACTGTTCATCCAGTTGTATTAACAAGTTTTGAAGAAGAATCGTTGCCATGGTTTCATTGTTAGAAGCTGCCTCCCTAAAAAAAAAAAGGATTATTACACAACAGAAAACAACTTTGTAAAATGTCTACTTTTTTACCATACTAACTTTAAAACAATAAACCTATTACATGGTGATAAGCATTTAAAAGTTTTAAAAAATTAAATTGTTAACATGAAGAGATGCTCAACATCACTAATCATTAGGGAATTTCAAGTGAAAATCAGAGTAAGATACCACTTCATACCCATTAGGGTGGCTATTATAAAAAGGAAAAGAAAAAACAGAAAATGAGTGTTGGTGAGGATACAGAGAAATTGTGCAATGCTGGTGGGAAGGTAAAATGGTCAATCACTGTGGAAAACTATATGACAGTTACCCAAAATATTAAACATAAAATTGCTATATGACCCAGCAATTCCACATCTGGATATATACCCAAAAGAATTAAAAGCAGGGACTCAAACAGATATTTGCATACCAATGTTCCTAGCAGGGTTATTAGCAATAGCCAAAATGTTTGAACAACCCAAATGTCCATTGACAGATACATTTATAAAACAAAATGTGATATATACAAACAATGGAATATTATTGAGCTTCAAAAAGGAAGAAAATTCTGATATGATACCTGTTAAACATGAATGAATTTTGAAAACATTACACTAAGCAAAATAAGTCAGTTACAAAAGGAAAAATATTGTGTGATTCCAATTATCTAAAGTACCTAGAGTAGTCAAATTCACAGAGACAGAAAATAGAATGGTGATTGCCAGGGGTTGGGGGTGGAGGACTAGGGAGTTACTGTTTAAAGAGTACAGAGTTTCAGTTTGGAAAGATGAAAAAGTTCTGCAGATGGATGGTGGTGATGGTTGCATAATAATGTGAATATATGTAATGCCACTGAATAGTACACCAAAAACAATGGTAAATTTTATGTTATGTGTATTTTACCACAATAAAAAAGATGGCTGAAAAAAATTAAATGGTATAAGGTGAATAGAGCTTTGAAGAGTATAAATCTTACTGAGAAAAAAATATTGATTTACATTGAGTCTGTGATAGAGAACTGACAATCAATTGATTTGCTTCTTTTTTTAATACATGAAAAATTATTTGGGTTTTTGTTTACAGAGAAAAGAAGCACTGGAACCATTAACTTTTCATTTACAATGAATGGAACCAGAAAGGACAATTATTCCCCTTCTTTGGGAAGGCTTTCAAATCCTTGAGAAAGTTCTTTACCTGAAAAGAATGCATCTACTGAGTAAAAAGTGGACCATAAAATAAATTCACATGGATAGAGCATCAGACATTTGTGCATCAACTTCTAGGGAAAATATGTTTGATCCTACCAGTCTTGATTTTCAATCCATTGGGCCAACAGATGCCGAATTTCCATGGGAAAGTTGTCATCATAGAATTGATCCACCTGCTCCAAAAACTTGATTTCTAACTGTTGGACTTGATTCCACTGAGACATGCTATAAAAGAAGGTGTAGAATTAGAGTTTTAAAATATTGTTCATAGCCCTAGTACATATTTTCTTCTTTCCTTAGAATTAGTCAATGTTATGACTGAATTCCAATATATCCAAGGATACAAAAATTTCACTAAGGTTTTTTTTCATAATTCAACCCTAATGAAGGGAGCAGCCTTCTTTCTGTGCCCCTAAACTACAGCCTTCCTTGCTCTAAAATGAACTCCTGTTCTACCTGCTCCAAAAAGTTTTCACTCCCACTCTGCCAAACACCCCACATCCTGCCCACAGCTGTCTATGTGAATTTCTATTATCAACAAGCTCTTTCCCTATCTCTTGTCCCCTCAACATTTAGACTTGGAGCAACTTGAAGGCAAACGTATTTGACATTTACTATACCTCCTAAAACCCTCTAAGACTTTATATGTGAGGAACAACCCCCCAAGAAGCTTCTTTTATATGAAATTGCCAAATTTCTTTTTTCTTTATTTCAGATTTGTCTGGCTTCTAGAGTCAGCTTTATGTTCTTGACTTCTAGTCCAATTTTGTCTTAGCTTCATGAAGAATTTTATGTATGCATTTTCGTAGGCTCCAGTTTTTTAAATTAAAAATATTTCTGAACCAGTGAATGTGTTTCATTTCTCTCTGTGAGGATCCATTATAGATGGGCAAAGCTCTTAAAGGATGTAGTCTTTTTGTCTCTGAGAAACATCTGATAGTGGTTAAACCCTCAAGTTACTTAAGGAGTAAGAAACCACACTTGATACCTATTTGGCAGCCTGTCATAAAAGAAAAGTACGCATTTCCCCCTTGTAACCCCACTCTGGCCAATTTAGAAGCTGTAGACATATTTCCTAACTCAGGAAAATTAGTATGACGCTGCCTCCTTGAAATTACAGCATTTTATGTTTTCCAAAGTCAAATTTTTGGTTGTTTTCTCAGCAATTCTAAGTCAAGTAAAAACACCAAACCCCCTTTTACATGATTAATCACCATAACATTTCAACATATCTCATAGATAGGCTAAGGTTTCCTTTTGCCTATAGAACACCAGGGTAATTTCATATATTTCATATACATATTCTTTGGGTTTTAAGTAGAATCATTTTGAGCACCTTTTCCCTGAGCTCCTGGTAAATGACTTAAAATTTATAAAAAAACGTGTTGCCAATGTTTTGCTAAAGAGAAAGCAAGTGGGAAAAGAAGTAATGTTTTATTTGCATATCATTTTATATTTATGAAAACCTTTACACTTTACAATTCTAGGCATATTGTAAATGCTCAATCAATGCTTGTTAAATGAAGAATGAGTGGCACTCCTGACATTGCTATGAATATGGTAGGTGGATATAAGTAGTATGTCAACTTTAAAAAGGAAAAACTTGAAGATCAAATAGGCGAAATGACGCCTGCCTAATGTGTGAGGCTTCTAAGGGACAACCTGAGGTTTCCTGAGTCTGAACCATTTGTTTTTCCAGATATCGGATGTATATATATTCCATCGGATGTGTATATATTCCACACAAAATTGGAACATTTGTTCTCATGCTACTATCAACATTGTCCTATCTATCAATTTATTTTAGTTAATGACAACAGAGAACATGAGTTGAAAATAGCATTACAGTTTTTCATCATACTATTGTTAAACCCCCGCTATGATTTGGATGAAAAATCTATTTTCTAACTAAAACTTACAGGTAGATGGGAGGAATAAGTTCTAGTGCTGTAACACTAGGATGAATATGGTTAACAATAACTTAGTGTATATTTTCAAAAAGCTAAGAGGATTTTGAATGTTCACAACACAAAGTAATGATAAATGTTTGAGGTGATGGATATGCTGAATATCCTTTGATCATAACACATTGTTCATATTTATTGAAATATCACTGTATATTCCATAAATATTTACAATTGTGTGTCAAATGAAAATAAAAGGAAAATTAAAAAAAATAAAAATAAACACCGAAAAAAATCACTACTAAGATCTGAGTCTTTCGGAGAGCTGAATTCAAAGCTGAAAAAAGGAAGAAGAAGGAATACATAGTCCTAGGACATTTTCTATTGCAGCCTCTGGGAACGCCTTTAGACATCCTTCAGCAGGTTTCTTTGCTTTCACTCTCTAGGGGCTACTTCTTTCTCATGAAAACTGTGACGTTGCTTCTGAAAACTCAGTGCCTGTCTGTCCTTTTTGCGTGCATTTCCTAGAAGATCCCACTAAAGGGGCATTTTGTCCCACCGTCTGTGAGCTGGTGGTGCCGCTTTGGCTCTGTGGCCTGTAGCTTGCAAAAGGAGATGACCTGCCCTAAAATGTCACTCGCGCCCATCAAAGCCACAGTCACCGGCTGCCGTAGCTGCAAGCTTTTTTCTGAAATCCAGGTACGCTAATCTAAAGTCAGACATCACAGCTCTAGAGAAGCTGGCTAAGAAAGTGAAGAGGGGCTCACTTTCAGCCTCCGCGAGGACACACCTCCGCAGCCGCCGCAGCTCCCCTGGCCCCCGCAGGGAGATTCGCCCGGGCACCGTGGCGCGGGCCTGCGGAGCGGTTTCCGCGGAGAACCCGTGCCAGGGCGCATCTGTGGGTCGTGGAGTCGGGCGCTTCCTTCTATAATAAGCCTCCTCAGGAAGGTTAAAATGAAGCAATTGTCAAAACGCCAAGGGAAAGCAAAGCTTCAGAGTATCCTGCATAATAAGCATGTCCTCCTTACAAGAGGCAGCCAGAAGGTGTGGTCTGGCCACTTACCTAGCGCTCTCTCAGCACAGGTCCCAGGCAGTGCTCAAGTCCAAAGTCAGAAGCGCCCCTCACAGTCCCTAGGAGAAAGCCGCTGACGCCATCATCAGTAGGGGATTTGCATTTCTCCTCCCACTTGAGGCTTTCCTGTGCGTCAGTGTTCGAGTCTCTGGGACTTTACTTGGGTCAGTTCCCACCCACTCTATTCTAGAAATGCTAACACGCAGAAACTGCCAGGCTGGAGCCCCTTCACCGGGCGTCCTCTTCCCTCTTATCCCTCCCAGCGGCTCTCGCAACTGCAGGTGGCTCAGCAGTGCCAGGAAAAAGGGGAGGGGCGGGGCATACATTTTCTTCAGTGGTTTCCTTAGACAATCTGAGATCCTCTGCAGAGTTACTTACCTGGAGCCCAGTTCTTCAGCTTCCTCTCTCCCTAGTATAAGGCTCCACTCAGCCTGGTGAACCACCCCTGGGATGGAAGGGATGGGTAGCCAGGATCAAAACACCAAACTCATAGACCTTACTGGGCTCCAATTCCAGCGGGGTCCGCTCACTCCGACGAGGGTGACCTGACCCAGAGGGTTGGGCCAAGTCCTGGGTAGGCCACCAGTGCTTGCCCTTCCTGACCTAGCCTCCTCCTACTCTCCTTGAGTAGCCTTGCCCCTGGTTGCTACGGTGCGTTCTTCTCCCTTTGTGACATCAGCCTGTTCTAGAATCACAGAGTTGGAGGAAGTCTTGGTCCCATCTAATGCTAAATCCTCTTTCATATCTGAAGAGACCCAGTGAGGTGACCAAGAGGACTCAATAAGTTAGCCACGGAGCCCGATAATAGCCCAGGTGTTTCCCTTCCCACTTCAGTGGTCTTTTCATTTCATCTCCTTGTAGTTAGCTCTTAACCCCTTGATTCACAGTAGGGGTTCAATAAAATAAAGAGAAGTCCAGGCGTGTGGCTCACACCTGTAATCCTAGCACTTTGGGAGGCTGAAGTGGAAGGACTCCTTGAGCCCAGGAGTTTGAGACCAGCCCAGGCAACACAGTAAAATCCCACCGTATATTAAAAAATCAATAAAAATGTTTAAGAAAGTAAAAATAGTAAAACAAAGACAAAAATAAAGACAGACAGACAGACTGAAAGAAAGGTAGAAAGTGTCACTCAATTTGGTTATACACATGCTTAGAGCAATATACCAAGGTGAAAGGCCTGCCTCCCTCTTCCCTGACGGGTTTCACACAGGTACACCCTCTGGATTCTTCTCTCCCAGGTGACATTATCATGTGCTTAAACTTACCACCCACCCCCAAATAGGTCAATCAATCCAAAGTCACACTTTCCATATCACTGTAAATTTCCTGGTTAGGTAGGCCTGGTCCCCACTGCTTGTTGAGCAGGCAGTTTCCAGGAGCTTATGCTGCTCTGACCCTACATAAGAAAGTGCCAATTTCAGGCTATTCCATAAGCTACTAAGCAAAGTCTGATTTTCTTCTGGAGAAGCTGTCACTGCCTATAGGAAAAAAATCCAAATTCTTGGCAGTTTAAGTTCTGTACAGTTTGGTCCCAACCTATCCAGGAAACTTTTCTCCCCTATAAGAGCCCATGATGTGACCCAAGCAGTCACCTCAGCTGCCCAGATTAACCTCATATTTCACTACCGAGGCTTTCTTCAACTGGATATTCCTCCCTGAGCCTACCTACTTAGTGAAATCCTATAGTTCTCAGTGAAGACTTCCCGATGACCTGAACCCACAGCAATGTTTCCCTGCTCCAAATTCTTCATACTTCCTGTCCAAACCAGCGCTCTCCAAGAGAAATAAAATGTAAGCCACATATGTAATTGTAAATTTTCTCATAGCCATATTAAAAAGGAAAAAAGCACAGGTGAAATTAATTTTAATATTGTAAATAACCCAATATATACAAGAATCTTAACATTTTGGCATATAATCAATATAAAAAATTATCAATAAGATACTTTGCATTCCTTATTTCATACTCAATCTCTGAAGTCTGGTGTATATTTAGCACTTACAGGGCATGTCAGTTAGGACTAGCCACATTCCAAGCCACATATGGCTAGTGGCTGCCGTGTTGGACAGTGCACATCTAGACCACTTATTTAGCACTTTTCACTTCCTGCCTCATAGTGTTAGTCACACTGGTTTTACATGTCCTTATCATTATCATATTCAATTGTTGAGTGCCTGCTGTACAAAACAGAGTTTGTTCTCCTCCTCCTTTTCAGGGCCTTACCTTGCGGCTTCCACAGCAGTTTTTAAACCTTTTGTTCTCAAGATACCATTATTCCCTTAAAAATTGTTGACAAACCCAAGGAATGTTTGTGTATTACTGTTCTGGATGAAATTTTTATTTACTGTGTTAAAACTTAAATCTGAGAAAAAATTAAAATATGTATTTATTCCTTCAAAATGACAATAATAAACCCACTCCATGTTAAACATGTTTTAAGAAAAACAAATATATCTTCCAACATGAAAAACGTAATGAGAAGAGTGGCATTTTAAAAATCTCTTTAATGTCTGGTTTGAGAGAAGACAGCTGGATTCTCATATCTGTTTCTGCATTTAATCTGCTGCAAAGTATTATTTTGGTTGACATATTTGAAGAAAGTATGGACTCACACATTTATGTAGTTGGAAAAGGGGAGTATTATAATGACCTTTTCAAATAATTATTCTTCTTTGATACCACATCAAAACTCAATGAGTGGTAGTTTCTGAAGGGCTAGTTGCATTGTGAAATCTGAAACCTTATCAACATATACTTTATGTATACTTTATGTAAACATATACTTTATGTATACTGTTACATTCAAATCTTTTGTTGTATATATTTTGAATGAAACTATTACCCACAAATTATTTTGCAATGTCAGACACTGGTCATTTAAAAAACATTGGTCCACTGAAGTATGCAGATTTTCTAAATGCTGCCTACTTCATCATACAATGAATACAACATTTCATCATACAGTGTTCAGAAATTCATGTCAGGTAATATCAATGTTGATCTCATCATGTAAGTATTTTAAATACTGGGAAGCAGTCAAGCTCAAATTCTAATTTTTGCTTGAAAGCTCAGTTTTATTATTGGCAGCAGATACTACCAGTTGTTTTCCTTAAAGTGACAGGCTCGTCTTGGCAACTCAAACAATCACGCAAGTGCTTTTCCTCGAGATGACCATCATCCTTTAATATGTGCCTTTTCCATTTCATCACAAAGAATATTAAAAAGACGTGTACTTAAGGTCTGAGATTTAATAAAATTAATAATTTTTACTGCTTCATCAAAAACATTCTTAAGTCAAACTGGCATTTTATTGTAAGTGCATGGTGGTGAAATATACAACTGCTAGTATAATTTGGCACCACTTCCTTGCTTTGTGCTAAGGCCCCAACAGTTTCACCCACCTTTGCTTTGGTACCATTGGTGCAAATGTCAGCAGGGTGAAAAGACAAAACTGTATTAGTATTATTATAAAAATAGTTTAACCTTGCAGATGCTCTAAAAAGATCTCGGGGACCACTCCCAGGGATCTGCAGGTAACACTTAGAGAACCTCTGCTCTATTTGCCATATGCTGCCAACTGTAACTCGTTTATCCAGAGATGTCTATCATGAGGGACTCTCTGCCCAAATACGCACTTTTTTCTTGGTTAAATCTTCTGCCTTGAACCTCTGTCTTCCTTCTGTATTTCATGAGTGGAGGAAGACATCTAAGAAAGGGCGCTTCTATGTCCAATTTGTTTCTCTTTTTTAGAATCAAAACTAAATAAGCAGGTCTGCAGTTTCTTGACCCTACACTGGCCCTGGCCTTGTCAGTCCCTCAGAGACAAAGACATAAAAAAATTCGAAGTAAAATGAAGAACAAACCAAATGCTAAAATGAAACCCCTGGAAGGTTTTCCAAATTCAAAGGCCCCCACAGATTCCTGTCTCCTTTCTCAAACAGCCACCCAGTTGCCCTGGTGATAAGCCCTATATCTAATTTTTTGCTGCATCATGCTAAGAAGAAAATCCCAGATTAAAGACTTTCAGAAAAGTAGCTTCTAGTTCTGGTGTGTCAATTTCTAGTGGCACAAAGTTATATAAGTTACCTAACTTCTCTAACCCCAAAACTCCCTGTCTATAAAAGTGGGGATATTATGTCCCACCTGAAATTGCTGGGAAAAGTCAAAGATATAATGTAAGAAATGGGATCAGGTTAAATGCTGAATCAATAGCTGTTAATAATAGAATAATAAACAAGTTATGGGTAACTTTGGCACTCACCAGGTTAACCCTCCAGCTTCCCTGCCACCTTGCTGTACAGAGCGGAAATGGAGATGAAGAGAGTCTGGGTGGGATAGGCAGGTTCACAGTTGTAAATAGAAGATAGGGTGGATTCAAAATCGGTTCTGATTGTGCTTTTCCCACTCTGCCCAGTGGAGCTGCTTTTGTGGGAAACAGAGAGAGGAAGAGAGAGGATATCACTCTTGCCGCTGTAAGGGAGGTAAACCAGCTCCACCTTCTCCCAATTTTTGTACAAAGAATATAAACATTTGCTAGTTTCAGTTTTGTGATATCACCATACTTCTCCTCTCCCCTCTTAAGTGTTCTGAGGAAACTGGGGTGAGCTGGAGTTGGAGGTTGGACAGACAATATGTACACGCAGAAAGATGCGTTGAGTTCCCTGGTTGCATATGCTAGTACCACATGAGTGGGACAGCAAGGATTATTGGGATAAGATGGCCTGGTGTGAATCTCATCGACTCATCTGTGTGCAGGTTGCTCTAGCTCCATCAGAACAGGAACATTGTCTTGTAAAAGGGTTTAATATCAATCTTGCTAATTTTCTGAAGTCCAGTTCCCATTGACTCTGCTCCCTCTACTGCCATCTCAGAAGCATTGCAATTTACAAATCATAGTCATATACCTCCATGCCAGACATAGTGCCAAGAACTTCAAATGCATTGTTTTAGTTAATCCTCACAGCACTCCATAGGATTAAATATCATGATTATCTCCAATTGGCAGATAAGGGGACAGAGGTTTAGTGAGCTTTAGTGAGGCTTATCAGAGGTAAGGACAGATTTGGGATTCAAACTAAGGACTGTCTGAGCTCCAGAAACAAAGCCCATAACCATTCTGCTTTACTAAAAATCTTATCTGCTCTTATGAGAAAAGCAATAACTTGCTCAGAGAGCTATAGAGGAAATAAGTTTGATGACTTAAACATGAATTCCAAAAAAGAGAGGATCATTGCATAGTCCAATCTTTTGGCTTCCCTGGGCCACATTGAAAGAATTGTCTTGGGCCACACATAAAACACACTAACGCTAACAATAGCTGATGAGCTTTAAAACAATCTCATAACGTTTTAAGAAGTTTAAGAGTTTGTGTTGGGCCGCACTCAAAGCTGTCCTGGGCCATATGCAGCCCATGGGCTGGACACACTTTGTCTACAGTTTTCTTTTCTTGTAATGTCTTCTGGAAGCTTGGGTAGAATTGGTATTATTTCTTCCTTAAATGTTTGAAAAAAAAATCACCAGTGAAGTAATCTCTGACTGGAGTTTTTTTCTGGTGGGAAATTTTTAAACTACAAATTCAATTTATTAGATCTAGGACTACTTAGGTTACCTATTTTCTCTTGAGTGAGCTTTGCCAGTTTCTGTCTTTCAAAGAATTTATATATTTCATCTAAGCTGTTATTATATACATAAAGTTGTTTATAATATTCCCTTTTAGCAAGTTATTCTTTTAATTCCCTTTTATCCCAGTTATTCTTTTAATAGCTGGAAAATCTGTAATAATCTTACCTCTCTCCACTCTGATATTGGTAGTTTGTGTCTTCTTTTTCCCCCCCCAGGACAGTTTTACTAAAAGTTTATCAATTTTATTTATATTCTCAAAGAACAAACTTTTGGTTTCATGGATTTTTTTCTATTGTGTTTCTGCCTTCTGTTTCATTGACTTCTACTCTTCGTTTCCTTTTATTTACTTCTGTTTCAGTTTGCTTTCTTTCTCATATATATATATATTTTTTTTTGAGACAGAGTCTCGCTTTGTCACCCAGGCTGGAGTGCAGTGGCACAATCTCGGCTCACTGCAACCTCTGCCTCCCGGTTTCAAGTGATTCTCCTGCCTCAGCCTCTGAGTAGCTGGGATTACAGGCACGCACCACCACGCCCAGTTAATTTTTGTATTTTTAGTAGAGACAGGGTTTCACCATGTTGGCCAGGCTGGTCTGGAATGCCTGACTTCGTGATCTGCCTGCCTCGGCCTCCCAAAGTGCTGAGATTACAGGTCTTATATATTTTAAGGCAGAAACTTAGGTCATTGATTGGATCTTTCTTCTTTCCTGATATAAGCATCTGCATATTTCTTCCTTTCCATTGCTTAAACTACATCAAACAAATTTTGATATGCTGTATTTTAATTTTCATTTATTCTACTTAAAATTTCCCTTGTGATTTCTTCTTTGATTTATGTTTGGGTTTTAATTAATTAATTAATTAATTAGAATTGTGACTTTTGTTTTCCAAACATTTGGATCATTTTCCAATATTTTCCTCATATCCATTTTTAATTTAATTCCATTGTGGTTAGATAACATACTTTTTTGTTATTTGAATTATTTAAAATTTATTGAGTCTTGATCTATGGCTGAGAATGTTTTGGTCGATGTTTAAGACACTTAAAAGAATGTCTTCTCTGCTCCTGTTGGGTGAAGAGTTTTTGCAATCTCAGTGAGGTCAAGTTGGTTGATAGTATTATCCAAGTCTTCTATATCATTCCTGATTTTCTTCCCATTTATTCAATCTATTATCAGAGGAATATTTAAATCTTCAGCTATAATCCTGGATTTGTCTGTCTTCTTTCAGTTCTTTCACATTTCATTGCATGTATTTTGAAGCTCTGTTATTAGATGCATAAACATTTATAATTGTTTTGTCCTTTTGATGATTTTCCTTTTATTTTTATGAAATGACCCTTGTTATCTCTGTTAATATTTTTGGCTCTGAAGTCTACTTTGTTTTATATTTATATAGCCACTGCAGGTGTCTATGATTAGTGTGAGCATGATATATCATTTTCCCAATATTTTACTTTTTACTTATTTATTTATATTTGAAATGTGTTTCTTGTCTGTAGTATATAATTGGGTCTTGCTTTTTTATCCAATTTAACAATTTCTAATTTCTGCTTTCATCAAGTATAAAGAGCTTTTTCCACTCTGGCTGTTGAGAATATAAATTATGCCTAGCCTTGTGTGAGCTCCAGAAATTTTTCCACCTGCTCCTCTTTAGTGAGTCCTCCCCACATCTTTGAGTAGTTCCTTTGCAAACATGGACTATTCAGTACTCAGCTGAAGAATCAAGGGGAGCCCTTTGCAGTCTTCTTCCTGGTACTCTGCCCCGTAAATTCTGACCAAACTCTCAACTCTGCCTCTTCAACTCTGAGAGAATGCCAGGCTCTATTTGAGCTTCCTCTTTCTGTGCTGGAGCTTGGAAACTTTCTCCAGAAAGTAAGCTATGAGAATCATAAAGATTGCCTCATTTGTTCACTTCTCTTGCACTGCCTATTTGTCAATTTCTGAAAAATCATTGTTTCACGGTTTTTGTTTGTTTGCTTAGCTGTGTGTTTAACATGAGCAGGTAATCCACTAGGGAAGGGTTGCCAGATTTAGCAAAACAAAATAAGACTGCCAGTTAAATTTGAATGTCAGACCAATAACGAATAATTTTTTCAGTCTATATATGACCTGCATTTATAGTATAAGTATGTTTGAAATTCAAATTTCAGTGGGCTTCCAGGATTTTTATCTGGAAACCCTAATCCCTGTTAATCTATTATGTCCAAAAGCAGAAGTCCCCTGAGACTCTTTTAGGTGCTAGAGCTTGTAGTTGTTGGAAATCTATTCAATTCAGTGTGAAATATTTACTGAGCTCATACATCACAATGAGAATAATTTAGGGTTGAATTGGCAGAGAAGACAAAATAAGCATATGAAATTAATAATGCTCAGTTGAATGGCAATGCCAAATGTAAATGCCACAGGAATTCAGAAGAATGACCACAATGAACTGAAGTGGTCAGAAAAAGCCAGAAGATGAGATTAATAAAAAAAGTGAAGGATGAAAGAACTGTATTCAGGTATGGAGAAGAACAGTGATGCTCAGCCTGCTTAAAAAAAGGCCGATCCTGATCCAGGACTAAGATCGGCACCCTTCTAGACAGGGAGAAGAATAACCTAAACCAAAGATTTATAGAGGGTCATTATAAACAAGATTAGTTGGTATCAGTGTCTCTAAGAATAGCTGTTTAGTTTGCTCATTATGCAAGAGTGACTGGTTGAGGGGGATGAGTGAGGACTGAAATCTAAACTGAACTTCAATTCCCAAGACATAAGCATTGGTGCAGGGCTGCAGCCAATTGGAGGAAGAAATGATTTTTCTAACTTGAATGTACCTTGTGGGGCATCTGAGGTCTTGGTGGGAACTTCAGTGTCTTCCTTCTGAGTAGCTGTGATATGATGACTTCTGTAACTTGACCCAGACTTTTTAGTGCTAGAGTCACTACGGGGAGAGATGGGTGGAGAAGTTAGAAGATACATCATCTCTGAACTGTGAGCATTCTGTACTGGGCTATTGTGCAGAAGAGGGTGAGAAGGGACAGGATGAAATTGGTTTTATAGTTGGGGGGAACAAAGTAGGTGAAGGGAGATGGAGCTGATAGGGCTTTAGATGAATATGTGATAGAACACCTCCGAAGTTCGGCACCAGCACCCAGAGGTCTGAATATCAATAGTCTGAAATATTGGTGCCATCCAATAAAGAGTGGCCCCTAAATCAAACACTGTGAACTCAAAGCCCTCCTGGGACAGCCAGATGATGGGTCTGTAGAGAATCAATCTTTCTTTCTTTCTTTCTTTTTTTTTCTTTTTTTGACAGAGTCTCACTCTGTCACCCAGGTTGGAGTGCAATGGCACAATCTTGGCTCACTGCAACCTCCGCCTCCCAGATTAAAACGATTCTCCTGCCTCAGCCTCCCCAGCAGCTGGGATTACAGGCCTGCATCACCATGCCTGGCTAAATGTTTAAATATTTTTAGTAAAGATGGGGTTTCACCATGTTGGCCAGGCTGGTCTCAAACTCCTGACCTCAAGTGATCCACCTGCCTCAGCCTCCCAAAGTGCTGGGATTACAGGCTTGAGCCACTGTGTCCAGCCAGAGAATCTCTCTAACAGGAAACTGGAAATCTGGATGTTTAAGAAAAAAATCACCTGAATTTCAATTGTTAGTATAATTCAAAGAACTTAACCACATGCACATACACACATGCACCAAAACACAGTATAGACCCACCACACTGTTCTAACTAAATAATACACATCTATAGGTGTGAATGCTGCTAAATTTCCTTCTCTGTTTGAAAGCAATATTTCCCAGCCCTAATCATCCTGTGCACTGTCACTGTTATCTACTGGGAGTCTCCCAAAAATTGGAAAGAAAGGGAAGAGGGAGGAAGAGGAGAACTAAACCAAATATTACTCTTTAGAGCCAGGTGGGTGAATGTAAGTACTTTGGAGGATGTGAATCCGAACAGTTACTTTCACCCCTCTTATCATTCAGCAGTTTGATCTTTTTAAAAGGATGAGGCAGCATAGGAACAGCTCCGGTCTATAGCTCCCAGCGTGATGGATGCAGAAGACGGGTGATTTCTGCATTTCCAACTGAGGTACAGGTTCATCTCATTGGGACTGGTTGGACAGTGGGTGCAGCCCACAGAGGACAAGCCGAAGCAGGGTGGGGCGTTGCCTCACCCAGGAAGTGCAAGGGGTCAGGGGATTTCCTTTTCCTAGCCAAGGGAAGCTGTAACAAACTGTACTTGGAAAAATGGGACACTCTAGCTCAAATACTGCGCTTTGCCCATGGTCTTAGCAACTGGCAGACCAGGAGATTCTCTCCCATGCCTGGCTCAGCAGGTCCCACACCCACAGAGCCTTGCTCATTGCTAGCACAGCAGTCTGAGATCGACCTGCAAGGCAACAGCCTGGCAAGGGGAGGGGCGCCCACCATTGCTGAGGCTTGAGTAGGTAAACAAAGCGGCTGGGAAGCTCAAACTGAGCAAAGCCCACCACAGCTCAGCAAGGCCTCTGCCTCTATAGACTCCACCACTATGGGCAGGGCATAGCTGAACAAAAGGCAGCAGAAACTTCTGCAGACTTAAACATCCCTGTCTGACAGCTCTGAAGAGAGCAGTGGTTCTCCCAGCATGGCGTTTGAGCTCTGAGAACGGACAGACTGCCTCCTCAAGTGGGTCCCTGAACCCTGTGTAGCCTAACTGGGAGACACCTCCCAGTAGGGGCTGATAGACACCTCATACAGATGGGTGCCCCTCTGGGATGAAGCTTCCAGAGGAAGGATCAGGCAGCAAAAGTGTCTGTTCTGCAATATTTGCTGTTCTTCAGCCTCCGCTGGTGATACCCAGGCAAACAGGGTCTGGAGTGGACCTGCAGCAAACTCCAACAGACCTGCACCTGAGGGACCTGACTGTGAGAAGGAAAACTAACGAAGAGAAAGGAATAGCATCAACATCAACAAAAAGGACATCCACACCAAAACCCCATCTGTAGGTCACCAACATCAAAGACCAAAGGTAGATAAAACCACAAAGATGGGGAGAAACCAGAGCAGAAAAGCTGAGAATTCTAAAAACCTGAGTGCCTCTTCTCCTACAAAGGATCGCAGCTCCTCTCCAGCAAGGGAACAAAGCTGGATGGAGAATGACTTTGATGAGTTGACAGAAGTAGGCTTCAGAAGGTCAGTAATAAGAAAGTTCTCTGAGCTAAAGGAGGATATTTGAACCCATTGCAAAGAAGCTAAAAACCTTGCAAAAAGGTTAGGCAAAAGGCTAACTAGAATAAACAGTGTGGAGAAGACCTTAAATAACCTGAAGGAGCTGAAAACCATGGCAGGAGAACTTCATGATGCATGCACAAGCTTCAATAGCCCATTCGATAAAGTGGAAGAAAGGATATCAGTAATTGAAGATCGTATTAATGAAATAAAGCGAGAAGACAAGGTTAGAGAAAAAAGAGTAAAAAGAAACGAACAAAGCCTCCAAGAAATATGGGACTATGTGGAAAGACCAAATCTATGTTTGATTGGTGTACCTGAAAGTGACGGGGAGAATGGAACCAAGTTTGAAAATACTCTTCAGGATATTATCCAGGAGAACTTCCGCAATCTAGCAAGGAAGGCCAACATTCAAATTTAGGAAATACAGAGAACACCACAAAGATACTCCTTGACAAGAGCAACCCCAAGACACATAATTTTCAGATTCAGCAAGGTAGAAATGAAGGAAAAAATATTAAGGGCAGCCAGAGAGAAAGGTCGGGTTACCCACAAAGGGAAGCCCATCAGACTAACAGTGGATCTCTCGGCAGAAACCCTACAAGCCAGAAGAGAATGGGGGCCAATATTCAACATTCTTAAAGAAAAAATTTTCAACCCAGAATTTCATATCCAGCCAAACTAAGCTTCATAAGTGAAGGAGAAATAAAATCCTTTACAGACAAGCAAATCCTGAGAGATTTTGTCACCACCAGGCCTGCCTTACAAGAGCTCCTGAAGGAAGCACTAAACATGGAAAGGAACAACTGGTACCAACCACTGCAAAAACATGCTAAATTGTAAAGACCATCGATGCTAGGAAGAAACTGCATCAATTAACGGGCAAAATAACCAGCTAACATCATAATGACAGGATCAAATTAACACATAACAATATTAACCTTAAATGTAAATGGGCTAAATGCCACAATTAAAAGACACAGACTGGCAAATCGGATAAAGAGTCAAGACCCATCAGTGCACTGTATTCAGGAGACCCATCTCACGTGCAGAGACACACATAGGCTCAAAATAAAGGGATGGAGGAAGATCTACCAAGCAAATGGAAAGCAAAAAAAAAGCAGGGTTTGCAATCCTAGTCTCTGCTAAAACAGACTTTAAACCAACAAAGATCAAAAGAGACAAAGAAGGCCATTACACAATCGTAAAGGGATCAATTCAACAAGAAGAGCTAACTATCCTAAATATATATGCACCCAATACAGGAGCACCCAGATTCATAAAGCAAGTCCTTAGAGACCTACAAGGAGACTTAGACTCCCACACAATAATAATGGGAGACTTTAATACCCCACTGTCAATATTAGACAGATCAATGAGACAGAGGTTAACAAGGATATCCAGGACTTGAACTCAGCTCTTCACCAAGTGGACCTAACAGGCATCTACAGAACTCTCCACCCCAAATCAACAGAATATACATTCTTCTCAGCACCGCATCACACTTATTCTAAAATTGACCACATAGTTGGAAGTAAAGCACTCCTCAGCAAATGTAAAAGAACAGAAATCACAACAAACTCTCTCAGGCCACAGTGCAATCAGATTAGAACTCAAATTAAGAAACTCACTCAAAACTGCACAACTACATGGAAACTGAACAACCTGCTTCTGAATGACTACTGGGTGAATAACGAAATGAAGGCAGAAATAAAGATGTTCTTTGAAACCAATGAGAAAAAAGACACAACATACCAGAATCTCTGGGACACATTTAAAGCAGTGTGTAGAGGGAAATCTATAGCACTAAATGCCCACAAGAGAAAGCAGGAAAGATCTAAAATTGACACCCTAACATCACAATTAAAAGAACTGGAGAAGCAAGAGCAAACAAATTCAAAAGCTAGCAGAAGGCAAGAAATAACTAAGATCAGAGAAGAACTGAAGGAGATAGAGACACAAAAAACCCTTCAAAAAATCAATGAATCCAGGAGCTGGTTTTTTGAAAAGATCAACAAAATTGATAGACTGCTAGCAAGACTAACATAGAAGAAAAGAGAGAAGAATCAAGCAGATGCAATAAAAAACGATAAAGGGGATATCACCACCGATCCCACAGAAATGTGAACTACCATCAGAGAATGCTATAAACACCTCTACACAAATAAACTAGAAAATCTAGAAGAAATGGATAAATTACTGGACACATACACCTTCCCAAGACTAAACCAGGAAGAAGTTGAATCCTTGAATAGACCAATAACAGGCTCTGAAATTGAGGCAATAATTAATAGCCTACCAACTGAAAAAAGTCGAGGACCAGACGGATTTATAGACAAATTCTACTAGAGGTCCAAAGAGGAGCTGGTACCATTCCTTCTGAAACTATTCCAATCAATAGAAAAAGAAGGAATCCTGCCTAACTAATTTTATGAGGCCAGCACCATCCTGATACCAAAGCCTGGAAGAGACAAAAAAAGAGAATTTTAGACCAATATCCCTGATGAACATCGATGTGAAAATCCTCAATAAAATACTGGCAAACTGAATCCAGCAGCACATCGAAAAGCTTATCCACCACGATCAAGTCGGCTTCATCCCTGGGATGCAAGGCTGGTTCAACATAAGCAAATCAATAAACGTAATCCATCACATAAACAGAACCAATGACAAAAACCACATGACTATCTCAATAGATGCAGAAAAGGCCTTTGACAAAATTCCCCAGGCCTTCATGTGATAAACTCTCAACAAACTAGGTATTGATGGAACGTATGTCAAAATAATAAGAGCTATTTGTGACAAACCCACAACCAATATCATACTAAATGGGGAAAAACTGGAAGCAATCCCTTTGAAAACCAGTACAAGACAGGGATGCCCTCTCTCACCACTCCTATTCAACATAGTGTTGGAAGTTCTGGCCAGGGCAATCAGGCAAGAGAAAGAAATCAAGGGTATTCAATTAGCAAACGAGGAAGTCAAATTGTCCCTGTTTGCAGATGACATGATTGTATATTTAGAAAACCCCATCGTCTCAGCCCAAAATCTCCTTAAGCTGATAAGCAACTTCAGCAAAGTCTCAAGATACAAAATCAGTGTGCAAAAATCACAAGCATTCCTATACACCAATTACAGACAAACAGAGAGCCAAATCAGTGTAAAAATAATGAACTCAGTCTTAAAAATGAAGGGTTGGCATCATCTTTCTCTTGAGAATTGTTTGGCTTCACAGAGTCACATCATTGTTGATGAGCTGGAATAAATGCATGTTTTCCATTTGACTACTGCTTCCATCTTTCTGGGTGGAGTACAAATTCTCTGTTTTATGCTAGATGAGAGCAATGGTGAATAGTCTTACAACAAAGAACACAGTTTTAAAATGGAAAAGGAAAGCGCTATTTGAACGATAGTCAGTCCTTTTGCATAAATTGTTAATGTTGGTCAAATTGCAAAGGACTTCTTTTCCTTAGCCAGTTCTGGAGGCAGGAACTTTAAAAAGCACCAGAGGGCACTATTCTCACGTGAAAGCCAACTAAAAACCGAAGCTTCTTTTGAGTTTACTATAAGAGAGTGCCTTTCACATTTAAACAAGACCAGTATTAGTCTCTAGCCTTTTGGCATCTGTGATTGTGTAATCACTTGTCCTGAGATGTCACAAGGTTTATAGGATTAATAAACTAGACCCCTACCAACTTGCTCTATGGCTATCGCAAGTGTATCAGTCTTACTTTACACCAGGATGGATGTGGAAGAAGGAGAGAGGATGCAAGCAATAGTACTCATGTGAAAGGATTGTGAGGATTTATTCTTGGCTTTGTTTAACCTGAGTACCTGAATGGTGACATTGGTCAGATTCATACCTGAGTATTTACTTACAATTTAGATAAAGCCTTTGTTCCTTAGGTATTTAGGTATGTCAAACTTACACAGGGTGGTGATGACAAGAGATGGCTCAGAGGTCTCTTGCCTGTCTCCAAAATCCACCCTACCACCCCATATTATCTAGGTAAAGGTGGTTTCTTTGCTATACAACTTTAAGACAAATTCCCTGGCTGTCCCAATAAGTTGCCCCGTTTAACTCCTTTATAGAAATTCTAGAGCCATGACTGCTTGCTGGTTGGTTTTCCAGAGAATTTTCTCTAATAATCCAATTCATTTCCCATACAAAGGCATAAACTCTGTATTCACTTCCTCATTGCTTCAAGGTTTAGAAAAATCCACGAGGAAATCACAAGGGCAGTAGTCATCTATATCAAGTGCTGCTATATATATAAAAGATTAATAAAAATCAGGGACAAAAAGATCCATGGTAATGTATCAAAGAGCTATCTATTTAGGCTCCCTTTTAGATGGCATTCAGTCTGCAGATTCTCTCAGAATGGAGAAGCTTGTCATGTTTGGCCCTGTCAGAAGCAGCCAGTTAATCAGCTGTAACATGAGACTTTGACAGAACCAACTGCACAGTGGTAGCTTGTACTGTGAGTGCATTGTCCTCTCACCCACACTCTGCAATACTGCCCCATTGTAAACAAGATGTCTGGCTTAAATGGGATATCCTCTAAAAGTATTTAGGCTAAAACAGAAGCTGACATCATACGGGAAAGCTGCGTTCCCTCTGTTTGTATTTCTAACTTCCTATACTATTCCCAGAGAATTCCAGTGGATGTTGCTTAATAATGATAACAATGGATTACATACAGGTTGGCAAAGGGGGCAAAATTATTAGATCATCCAGTCAATTGGTCTTTCCAGCAAAGGGCAGAATCTCCAGATAGGGAATCTAACACTTCATTTAAGGCAACGGGCCAAGTAGTAGGAACCACACTGACTTTGTTGTCTTCTCTGCAATACTGCCAGAGCATTGAATCTATTTTAGTTGGCTGTACTTGTGCCCTACTTAATTCCTTAAACACGAGCTTCCAACACAGTGTTGCTCTTTCCTTTGGAGATAACCAGTGGAGTAAATGCTATCTGGTGGAAGGCAATTAACTCTTGTAAATGATGCCTGTGCAAAACCCAAGGTCTTGTTACCACTGAGAACACCTTGACAAGACAAGGCCAACACAGGAGAAAAGTCCTAAAGAGTCGTCCTGTGGAGAGTCTCTCACCTTTGCTGTGTACTGTATTGTATAAAACCTGGCTCAGAAAGGGCTATTGTTTCAGGCTTATTTATTCACCTGATGGAATTTATTCAATAGCACAGCTGAAACACTTCGTTTCTCACCTCTGGGTTTTGGTCTTTATAATAACCTTATTCCTGGATATATTTTCTTCTTATGTTCAAATATATGGCTAATTCAAATTCTCAAAGTGGATTTTATAATATCTGGGAGTAAGACACAAATTATCCAGAATGGGTGCTGGATACCTACTTCACTTTGGTCTTTGTTGTCAAGAAACCAGAAGTCTCAATCTAGCACTTTATTCTTACAGTGACTCATACTTTTGGACCGGTGTTAGGACCCAGTCTCTCTGACTCTCTCTCTTTGGGAATTGTGTACGGTAAAAACCATGTAGGCCTGAAGCTTTCAGTGGCCTCTTCCCTTGTCTATAAAAGACATTATTGAGTAAAACCCACATATGTCACTAGATCTAGTCATATCTTTGTACCCTTGATTAATACAATGTAAGATAGTACCAAACTATGGGCCAGATACGGTGGTTCATGCCTGTAATCCCAGCACTTTGGGAGGCAAAGGCAGGCAGATCACCTGAGGTCAGGAGTTCAAGAACAGCCTGGCCAACCATGGCCACCACGGTGAAACCCCGTCTCTACTAAAAATACATACATTAGCCAGGCACGGTAGCAGGCGCCTGTAATCCCAGCTACTTGAGAGGCTGAGGCAAGAGGATCACTTGAACCCGGGAGGCGGAGGTTGCAGTGAGCCGAGATCATGCCACTGTACTCCAGCCTGGGTGACAGAGGGAGACTCCATCTGAAAAAAAAAAAAGAAAAAAAGATAGTACCAAACTATGGACTAGAGAGAAGGACAGAGAACCCCAGAAAGAGAGCAACAGACAAACAGTAGAGTGGTTATAAAGAAGCTGTGTTCAAACTTATGAGGAGTATGACTTACTTCACAGAGTACTTGATGAATTGGTTGAAGCCTTTGCTGGGTTACATCTGTTACTCTTTAGCGTTTCTTGGGGAACTAAGGAAGTGCCAGGACACTGGGAAAAGAGCCAGCATAAAATGGTTGTGTAATAAAAGGGTAAAAGGTTTAGTTCTGAAAATTAAAGACCTCTAAGCTCAACTTTTATAGCAAGGGAAAAAAATTGTCACACTGAATAAATAATGGGAATAGAACAAGATACTGACTTCACATGAACAACATTTCCCGTCAGACTAATCTAACAATTTAATCTATTGACAAAGGATAGGTAAATTGTATCTGTGGATTAGAGCTGGGACCAGAGGTATCTGGGAGCACAGATACAGAGCTAAGCCTAAGAAACCATGGCAAGACTGGAGTCTCAAAGCAGGAACAAAGGAGGTAGAGGTCAGAGATGGGGACAGACCTGGAACCAGGGGCCTAATGCCCAGATAATAAGATGATGTAGGGGTCAGGCGCGGTGGCTCAAACCTGTAATCCCAGCACTTTGGGAGGCCAAGGCAGGTGGATCACTTGCAGCCAGGGGTTCGAGACCAGCCTGGCCAACATGGTAAAACCCCGTGTCTACCAAAAAAAATTTTTTAAAAATTAGCCTGGTGTGATGGTGCTCACCTGTAATTCCAGCTACTGGGGAGGCTGAGGCAGGAGAATCGCTTGAACCTGGGAGGTGGAGGTTGCAGTGAGCCGAGATCATGCCACTGCACTACAGCCTGGGCAACAGAGTAAGGCTCCATCTCAAAAAAAAAATATATCATCTAGGATTTTGTGCCATTTTCTGTTCCTTAAAAAATTGAATTTCCAGGCATGAGCCTGTGAAGATTGTTTAATTCCTTTGAGAACCTGAGCCCATCATTCAAAGAACTGTCACTCAGTGACAGTATCATTTCTTCATTCTTTATTCATTCATTCACTCATTCACCAAATACATATCAAATGCCTTATTTTTGTAAGGTAATTTACTAGGAGTAAATAAAATAAAAATGATGGACATTAGTTTGTTATCTCCCGAGTCATAATAGAAGAGTTGAAAAACATTTTGATCATTATCTAATCACAACTGCCTTTTCTATTAAAAAAAATTATCAAAAGAATAACAGTTAAGATGTAACTAAGTCCCGACTACTTTGAAGATTTGGTATAAATTAGGAAAAAAATTCAAATAAAATTTAATGTTTTAAAACAGCCCTTTTACTAAAGACTTGGCTTCTTTTTTGGCTTTTTAAAAAACTTACAGTTGCAGCCTTGATTAAAGACCTCAGGTTTCCTAAAGTACTTTTAAACTCATTGCTTTATATAGTTTCAATATATTGCTGCTAATCAGTGCCCTGTTCTTACCAACTAAAGGTGCTATCTTTTATCTGCAACTTCGTTTGTGTCATGTCCAGAAGCAAAAGCAAACATAAAACAAAACATATGGAGGAAAAATGATTTCAGTCTTTTCACTGTTCACTTCTATTTTTTACTCTTCTTATAAATCAGTAAAATGTTACTCTTGAACTACCATCACACCCACTTACTGTGGTTTTCCATTGTTGTATAGGATTTTAAAAAATAACTCATTAAATAAGCTTCATTTGAAGATCTCTGACAAGCTTGCTTTTCACTTATGAACCTAATGTAAAACATCCAATTTAGATACATTTTAAGCAGTTACTAAATAATTCCCTTACAGCTATATAGGGGTGCCTATAAGATGAGTCAATGGGTGGTTTATTTAGTCATCTATTTATTCAGCAAGTTATAGAGTGCCAACATTGAACAATGAGCCATCATAGGTTAAAATCAGGTAAAATACCAGCTTGTGCAAGAGGTGTGCCTGCCATCACATTTGAACCCAATTGCTGGAAGAGACAAGTCACAGTATGGAACATAAATACCTCAATACAAGGTAATTTATGAATCATATTAGGTAATTTGAACAAACTAAGAAAGACTGAGTGAAGAAGATGGACCCTAAAAGAACGGTTAGGATTTTTGATAAGGACTAGAGGAATATATAAGTGAAGAGAAAGACATAAGTACGGGCTGAATAGGCAGGGAAACCCAGTGTGTATTCAGGGAAGGTCAAACAGAACATATTGGCAGGAGCAGAAGCTTCATACTGGAAAATAGAAGCAGGTAAAGCTGGTGATGCGTGGAAGTGCTGTGGTGTTTTAAATGCGAGGTGCCTGAGTTTGAAGTATTTCTACGATTCAATTGCCACTCCCTTGTCATTCTTAGCCACTCCAGCCTATCCTCAAGCTGCTGCCAACATGATTCCTCTAAAAGATAAAGTTAACACATAACTCCTCTGTTGAGGATTTCTCAGTGGATTTTAGAAGGGTATGGGTCCCTAAGCCCACTCAAGTATGGGGGTCTATGAGACTGTTCAGAACTGAGCACCAAGACACAGGTTCCCTCTGGCTGAGCTCAGCTTGGAGGGTCACCACTGGCCCTGCCTGGTCTCATAGGGAGCTGGATAAACAAGAGCCCTCTTTGATCCAAGCAATGGTCTCAGACAGAGGTGAAATTGCACCTGGCAACCCATTATGCGATGGCAAATAATGGCAAACAGGCTGAGAGATCTCTGGGTTCTGATTAAATTCCAGGACACTTACACAGTGGAATTTGATGTTACTGGCTTACTAAACTCAAACAAACTTTCAAATTCACTGTGTAAATGCATTTAATTTCAGCAAAACAGCATCCATTATCTTAAGTTTACATTCAAATATTATAGATTATATTTTTGTTTTAATTTTATTTTAAAAATTAGTGCTGTGTATGGTGGAAAGTAGGAATATAGATATAGATATCATACGGCATTATCTAATTTAGTTTTAAAATGATCCCTGCAGCGTAGTTATTATTATCCCATATTATAGATGAGGAAATTGAGGGTTAGAGGGTTCAATAACTTATGCAAATTCAAACAGCAATTAAGTAGCAAATTAGGGATTTTAAACCAGTTCTATTCAATGCCACTTCTTCTGCACATGCACATTCAGATGTCATCTTCAGAGACATCAAAGTAGAATTTGTAAATGACAGAAGCTGAGAAGTGCAAGGACCCAGACTCATCTACAATATCTACTTCCTGGCCGTGACTCATCAGAGGAAAACTACGAATTATGGTTTTACTAAATCAAGGAGTTATATTCGATGACTTTTCAAATCTTCTCTCATCCCCTTGAGTCTATGATCCCTTATCAAATTTCTACTGCTCCCTAAACATTTCAGATTTCAAGAGCTCAGTTGAATCAATGAGGAACTCTTACCCATATTGAAGGAAATGTCTTTTATAGTGATATGTTCCTGTTTCCCTAAAACACCACGAGCAAACTTCAAATACCATTCCAACTTTTGCCCTTTTTTTTTTGTCCACACCTCTTTCAAAAATAAGTAACAGCATTAACAAAAACCAACAAAATTTGGCCCTAGCCCATCTGAAGTATCAGCCAGATTTGCATTTAGTTCCCCAGACCAAAGTAGGAGAAGCAGTTAGCTGGTTACAAGCCCTTCACAGTGCTAAAGAACAATGAATGGAGGGCTTCAAAATCAAAACCATACGTTTGGTAGGAAACAGCTCCAACTGGTGCTTGATTACTAACTAGGCGTTCTGCTTCTAACATGATTAGGACAAACACAGAAAACCCTGTAGGGTTTGAACTGATGGACTGATGTTTCCCTCCCAGGAAGAAAAAGAGCAGTATCCAATGGCATTGAATCACTGTGATTCTGGATACCTTCAAAAGCCAGGGCTTTGAGGGGGTTCTCATTTCTATGCCACACAGTGAGCCCTTCTCTTTCTCAGGAATCCTCTCCAGAGAGAGAGGCTTTGTGTAGAATTTTCCTGAATGCAATGAATGTCAGCACATTCCCAGCTAGAATGTGCATTCTATTCTTATCAAGTGAAACTGACCTCCCTGCCCCAGCATGCTCTCCTTGTTCAACATGATGATTAATTTCAATGATGCAGGTTTCTAGATGAATTGCACTAGAATTTGCATCCACTCCAGATGGCAAATATGTACCTCTGGAATCTCCTCACCCTTAGGAAAGAGGTCATGTGCTAGCTTGCAAGAATGAGGATTTTTAAAATAGTTGGCTTACAATCAAATCTGTGTCCCACAAAATGCTCTGTCCAGACTAGCCTCTCTCCTTTTAGTTGGCAGCGATCCTCTCCTTCCTACTCATTTTCCATCTGATACCATGTGACTCAAGTAGGAGTCACAACCAAAATGAATTTTTTTTACTGCAAAATTCAAGATTTTACAGTATTTTTTCAGCCAATGGAAGCAACCAGGATTCATAAGAGTCTGCAAGTTGATGTTCAATAGGCCCCTGAATCATGCTTATTCACAGATTTCCAAGTTAATTGCCCTGATACATGCTACTGAGCTTCTTCTAGTGAACAAAAATCTTACTCCATTAGTCATCACTGTCAAAAGGAATACAGTACGCAAAATAAAAGCTGGTCCTCTTTTTGTGTGCATTTCTGCATCAGAGTGATTGTTTCAACATTGATTAAATACAGATTTCCCCCCAAAGCTTTGTTGGAAGCGCTAAGTGGTTCAGGTGATGGAAAGTGAGTTAATTCATGTGCTCCCCTAAGTATTTTTTATTGAGGCATTTTCTTAGGATTCAAAGCAAAAAGGAAGGAAATTGCTCTTATGTGTATCAAGGAAGTCCAAATACTCACATGGACAAATAGCTGCCCCACTTCATTCGCCCTTCTTTGCATCCCAGAACTGTCACCTCCAGGAGCCTCTGCTGAGGTTACCATGGAGCTGTGGGGAAAATTTTGTTTGGAGCTTTCAGAGGATCTGTGGGGATAAACGTGGATGAAGACAAAAACCTGAAAATCTAGGGGCTGGCTCTGGGTTGGGGCAGAATCATAAGAGCTGGCCCACCCACCCAGCAGTGTCCTGGCTCCCTCATTACCTGAAATTCCACAAATTTAGTTCAAGACAACGCACATTTGCTGTGTCCTGGGAATTCTGAGATAACTAAAAAAAAAGCTCACGGTATAATGGGAAAGGTAGGAACTTTGTTATAAGATAACTCTGCCTGAAAGAGGTGAAAAGGCATTACTGAGGTATTTTTGAGCCAGATTTTGAAGGCAGGATGGAAGATTGCCAAATGCAGAAGAGAAAGCCAAGGGAATCCCATTTACAAAGGTCAGGGCCTGATTTGCTGTGGCAGAAGAATGGGATCTGGAGGAACCTAGCACTCACAGGAGAGGAGATGAGGCAGGTTTCGCCAGGCCCGAAGACGTGGCCACCAAAGTGTAAGATAGTGTGATCTGCAACAGTGCTGGAAATAGACTGGGGTAGGGAGAGACCAGTTGTGAGGTTTTTGCCATAGTCCCAGCAAGTACTTATGAAGATCTGGACGGCAGTGACAGCAGGACTTAAAAAAAAAAAAAATCACATCTTAGAAATTTTTTTTTCTTTTTTTTTTTGAGATGGAGTCTCTGTCTCACAGGCTGGAGTGCAGTGGCTCAATCTCACTGCAACCTCTGCTTCCTGCCAGAGTGGCTCACTGCAATCTCTGCCTCCTGCCAGGTTCAAGCTATTCTCCTGCCTCAGCCTCCTGAGTAGCTGGAATTATAGGTGCTTGCCACCACGCCCAGCTAATTTTTTGTGTTTTTAGTAGCGATGGGGTTTTACCATGTTGGCCAGGCTGGTCTTGAGCTCCTGAACTCAGGTGATCCTCCTGCCTCAGCCTCCCAAAGTGCTGGGATTACAGGCATAAGCCACCGTGCCCAGCCCTTAAAGACATCTTTGGAAGGTAGAATTGACAACATTGGATGTGGGTGATAAGGGAGATGTCTGCAGAGGTTTCTAGTTTGGGGGATTAAGCTGATGGTGGCAGTTCTGAGTGAGGTTTCTATCTACCTCTATCTCTTCATCTGTCTGCTTCTCTCTCGGTCTCTTTCTCTGCCTCTATTTTTTCTATTTCTGTTTTTCTCTGAGACATTCTATACCTGTCTTTTGTCTCTTGCTTTTTTATGTTATCAGCTTCGTTCTACACATCAGTTCCATTCTCCTCTCTATAATGACCAACTTCTTCTGCCCCCTGGTAACTCAAGATGACACATGCCTTTGACTTTCCATAGCTTTCATTCCCTTGAAATTCTCTCACTTCCCATTCCACTGTTCATTATAAAGTTCGTTCCATATTTTTCTGTTCAAATTTCCAATAAAGAGAATCTAATGAGAGGCAGCATCTGGCTCCCACTGTCATGGCTATTGCAGTACATTGAGCTCCATAGAAATAGTGCTGGGGAAAGTGAGAATTGATAAGCACTGGGCCACTCTGTTGGTGGCTAAGGAAAAATTACTAAACATGCGCAAAGGAGATCCTAAGAGGCCATGGGGCAACATGTCATCATATGCATTCTCTGTATAGACTTGCTGGGAGGAAGCACAAGAAGCAGCATCCAGCTCCTTCGGTCAGCTTCTCAGAGTTGTCTCAGGAGTGCTCAGGGAGGTGGAAGGCCATTTCTGCTAAAGAGAAAGGAAAATTTGAAGACATGGCAAAGGCAGACAAAACCTGTTATGAAAGACAAATGAAAACCTAATCCCTCCTAAAGGGGAAACAAAAGAGGAGTTTAAGGAAACCAGTGCACCCAAGAGGCCTCTTTTGGGCTTTTTCTTGTTCTGTTCTGAGTATCACCAAGATCAAAGGAGAATATCCTGGCCTACCCATTGATGACATAGCAAAGAAACTGGGAGAGATGTTAATAACACTGCTGCAGATGGCAAGCAGCCTTATGAAAAGAAGGCTGCTAAGCTGAAGGAAATATGCGAAAAGGATATTGCTGCATACCGAGCTAAAGAAAAGCCTGATACAGCAAAAAAGCGAGCCATGAAGGCTGAAAAAAAGCAAGACAATGAAGGAAGAATAGGAAGATGAGGAAAATGAAGAAATGGTGAAGAAGAAGAAGATGATGTTGAATAAGTTGGTTCTAGCACAGTTTCTTTTCCTTGTCTATAAAGCATTTAACCCTCCCATACAACTCACTCCTTTTAAAGAAAAATAAAACGGAAATGTAAGGCTGTGTAAGGTTTGTTTTTAAACTGTAAAGTGTCTTTTTTGTTTAGTTATACTATCAATTGTGTAGTTAGATAGCCCTCTTCTAGTGGTATTTTCAATAGCCGCTAACCTTGCCTTGTACAGTATGTGGGGTTTAAATGGCATGGAAATTTAAAGTAGATTCTTCTTGGTCCATAGCACAAATTAGTTATATATGGGGATGGTCATTTTTTCATCTTCAGTTGTCTCTGACGCAGCCTATATGAAATAATTGCTGCTCTGTTAACTGAACATCACTCTGTAATTGCAAGAAAAAAAAAAGTTGTAGCTGTTTTGTTGACATTCTGAATGCTTCTGAGTAAATACAATTTTTTAAATTAAAAAACCTTTTTTAAAAAAGGGAATCTAATGAAATCAGCTCTTCTTTCCATGCTACTTCAGAGAGTCATTTACACTGGCTGCTTATCAGAACCACCTGAGGGAGTCTAAAAAAATACCAATGCGTGGAACCATCCTTGACTTAGTGAATCAGAATCTCTGAGGATGGAAAGCTCAGCATCTGTATTGTTTTAAGTTCCAGTGGCAATACTGATGCACAAATCGGACTGAAGCCACTGCCATTAGTGACAGGTCATACATAGGTCATGGTTCCTAGAGAAGACCTTGGGTCAGCCACTCATAACTACTCTGGTCAGTTTCAATCAGAGGTGGGAGATAAGGGGCAGGTAGGGCCACACTGTATGCAACATGGCCAGCCAGGGACCTGCGAGTATCCTGGCCATAAAGGCACCATGAAATGTTTGCTACATTAGTCTTGTGAGGGGTAAAATATTTAAACATAGGTTTACAGTGCTCTGTGATGTGTTTTGTGGACAAACACAGATGAGGGGCCTCTAATCCAGATGCGGAGAGGAAGGGAAGATTTTTTCCCAGGTAGGAGACATCTGAGCTGAACCTTGGGGGAAAGCCAAAGATTAGTCAGGTGAAGAAAAAGAGAAATGAGACCACCGGTGAATGAAACAGCATATCCCAGGCAGAGAGGAGATGTTTGGGCAGCATGGTAGCATGGTATTACAGGTTCACACTTCAAGCATCCTCTGCCACCCTTCTGCAAACTATAGCAAGGCTTCAGAAAATGTCTCAGTTATTTATTCTGGAAGTGATTTAAGTCTCTGCCAGACATTTAAGGGCTACCCAAACCAAAATAAAGTGAACTGTGAGAGGATATTGAGAGATTAGACCAGAGAGGTATGCCGAAGCACAATTGTGAAGTTTGGTGTTCAATATTCTAGAATAGTAGCTGCTATTTATTAGTTATCCACATACCAGGTACTTTATTGCATTATTTCATTTAATCCTCACAGAACCCATAAGGTCAATATTATTGCACTCACATTATACATAAGGAAACAGAAGCTCAAATAGCTTCATTTTACTTGCCACAATCATAAAGCTGGAAAATGCAGAGCTGGAATTTGAACTTAACAGTTAAAGTTCTCAGACTTTAAATTTAGAAAAAGGGGAGAAGGAGAGTTCTGTATTTGAAAATGAAAGAAAAAGATACCAATGTTTATGTGGTTGACGATTTGCATAGTGGGATCATTTCAGTACTCAAATGGTTTAAAGAATTTATAAATACATTTATGCAGGTAAATATTCTGTATCCTTTATTTTAGTTTATTTAAAACATTACAGCAATAAAAAGAACACAATCTAGACAAAACCTGGTGTGGATGCCCAATATGTAAGATAAATGAAAGGGAAGCTGCTCAGTTCAACAGGAGGTGGGAGGTTCATAAAGCATCAACATCACCCCATCTCTCCTCTCAGTCTTTTCAAAATTCAAGGACCCCATGGCTCTCATATATGGCCCCAAATAATTTTTAGACTCATAAACTTTTTTTCATACCACAAGCAAATGGCTCCAGGAAGCAAGCAAATGTTATATGAGGTGACAGAGGTGTTCTTTGCCCTTGTGGAAAATTGTGGCTGTGCAGGAGGGCTCTGGCCACCTATTGAACCCACTCCTGTGCTGTCATGGGTGCTCCTATGACCTAGAGAAGGGCAGAACCGATCATGGACAGGGTTTAGTGTCAGCTGCAAGCCACCTTCATAGAGAGGCCCTGACCTTTAGTCCACAGAAACAAATAAAGAGATTAAACCTTATTTTGGAAGGGAGATTGCCAAGACTGTTTCTGGCAAAGTCTGCCCACAGGAGATGATAAAGTCACCCAGGGATAACGCCCCCTTGCTGGTCCTCTGCTTATTTTAAGGTTCCTTCCAAGGGGCAATAGAAGGCATCATAAAGTGATTCACACCTGTTCAAACACAGATCATTTTAGGGCCAGCACTGACCACTCCTAAATCCCTGCTCATTTAGGGAAGTAGGAAGGATTTTAGCACAGCCCATTCATTATGGCAATATTTGCCCTGGTTTTCCCAGGACTGAAAGGTCTTGGAGGGCATTGAATTTTCAATACTAGATCCAAGAATGTTCCAGGAAAACCAGGACAAATTGGTCATCTTACTACAACCCAACACACCACAAAACTTCAGGGTGTTAACTGATCTATAAAACTTAGGGCCAGACGCTGCCATAGGAGTTCACAGAGTACAAATAATTTTTGTGTATTTTAGATGTGCTCTTTAACAACCAAGTCATAGCATTTACATTCTTCCTGTTACAAACTCAATAAATATACTCATTGTCTCAATGCAAAAAACCCAAGTGTATAATCCAGTTAAATATACATGAATACTCACAGCTTGTGATGGTTAATTTTATGTGTCAACTTGGCTAGGCATGGTAGATATTTGGTCAAACATTATTCTAGATGTTTCTGTGAATATATCTGTAAGATATTAATATTTAAATCCAAAGACTTTGAGTAAAACAGATTACCTTTCATAATGTGGGTGGGCCTCATCCAATAAGCTAAAGGCCTTAATAGAAGAAAAAACTGACCTCTCTTGATGAAGAGAAGATTCTGCCAGCAGACAGCCATCAGACTTGAACTGCAACTCTTCCCTGGGTCTCCAGCCAGCAGATTTTGGACCAGCACTGCTACAATCATGTGAGACAATTCCTTAATATTTATCTTTCTATCTATCTATCTATCTATCTATCTATCTATCTATCTATCTATCTGTCTGTCTATATCTATCATCTATCTATTCATGTACCTATTACTGATTAAGAAAAAGATCTTACTAGAAACCAATAACCTGATAAAGTTGTTTGTTTGGACTTTTAAAAACTTAGAGGGAATTTCCAGCATTACCCCATAATTTTGCAATAACCACTTTTATTCAATATTTGTTGAGTCCTCCTGTAGCTGATCACACACTTGTGTATTTAGAATACAAATCCAACATACTGTATGAACAGAAGACATGGGGGTACATACTGTGCAGGGACGTCCTTTACAGACACCCAGCTTACTTCACTGAATCTTGACTCGTCACATAGACTGGGTTATTTCTTGGCTCCTTAGGTTCATAATTTCTACTTTCTTAGTCCCAGGTACAGCCCCTTTCATGGCCACCTGAATCTCAATCCAGTGGCTTATCAGCTTAGATTAACAATGATTAACAGAGCTCTAGCCCTTCTTTCCTCCTCTTCTTTAGTTCATCATTAAACTGATGTGCATTTATTATCTTCCTGGAATCTCCCCAGTGTGTTCTTCTGGATTCTTCTGAGAGGTAAAATTAAAGTTTTCTTGCCTTTACCCTGTAACACTATTGTATATGTATACAGACACATAGACACACACTATTTGAGTTTTTATTTAATATGAACAAATGTGGAAAAGCTTTCTCCTCATTTTCTTCATTCCACATCCTGGTTCCGAGGCAGCTGATCTAGTTGGCAGGGGCTGCTCTTTCCTCAATGACTCTGTCTTTCTTGGAGGAAACAGGATGAGCAGCCTCAGAAGAGTCTGCCTCACTGTACATCAAGAACACGAGAATCTTAGCCAATATACACCCCTGGGGCAGCACGTGCAGGCTGTTCCGAGAATCAATGTTGGAATCAAGATGTGGCTCTTGAATCACCGCCATGCCCCAGTGCTTTTGCTAGTTACACTTCATCATGACGTACTCTTTGGACTGGTTTCACAGAAATGTCTTAGTTCTCCCCTTGAGGGTGGAGAGACATCATGATAGAGCCTGAGGGCCAGTGTGATTCTTGCACCATGAGTACTGTTACCTCACAGGGAGCCTGAAGAAGAGCGGGGGAGAAGCTTGTCAAAATTTCTTTCTTGTGCCACTCAGACCTGATATCTAGATCTCATATGATGACAGGAAGTTCCTGGCACAAGTCCAGTCCTTCGAGGTAATGGTCAGTTGCAATCTCTGTAAAGGCTTAAGGAAGGTTAGCAGGCCAAGGCACAGTCTTACTGCTGCAGCTGGTCCCAGGGCACTACTGATATGCATTTCCTTATCACCCGTTCTAGACTTTCCTCATCCTTGACCAATATTTTCATCTGGTTTGCATTCTTGCCCTGTGTGGTGATAGAGACCTTCATCCCTGAGGAGTTTCAGCCTTTAATTGTCTTATTCCTGTCAAGTCACTTTTGATACAATTTCCCTTTATTTTATTTATTTATTTATTTATTTATTTGAGACAGAGTTTCGCCCTATCCCCCAGGCTGGAGTGCAGTGGTGCAATCTCGGCTCACTGCAACCTCCGCCTCCCGGGTTCAAGAGATTCTCCTGCCACAGATTCCGGAGTAGCTGGGATTACAGGGGACTGCCACCACACCCACCTAAATTTTTTTGTCTGTTTTGTTTAGTAGAGACAGGATTTCACCATGTTGGCCAGGCTGGTCTCGAACTCCTGGCCTCAACTGATCTGCCTGCCTCGGCCTCCCAAAGTGTTGGGATTACAGGCGTGAGCCACTGTGCTCAGACACAATTGCCTTTGATCGATGAGACTGGACACAGAAGAACTAAGAGAAGCCCGTGAATCCTGTGGGTTCTAGACATACTTCTCTCTGTTGCAGCAACCCTCATTCCTCAAGGGAATCATCATCAATTATGCCTGACAGTACGGTAACTCCTTTTTTTGAACACTGGCATATAGAGTCCAAGGTGGCTTCAGTGGATGTCATGGCAGAAGAGTTTCCACCCTGGGAACTAGGATCACTAATCTAGCAGAGACTAAGTTTGTGAGAGTGAGGAGCCCAAATTCTGAAAGTGGATCATTTGGAGTTACAGTGGAACAAGGTTGATCTTATATCCTGTATCTATCATCCTTCTAGCACCCCTTTGTCTGTCTACCAATCTAGCTATCTAACTAATATGTATTATGTATTACATATGCAATCTATCTGCCTAATATATATTATCTATCTAATATTTTATTTATCTATATATTATCTCTTATCTATCCAATCAATCTTACCATGAAGGGCAGCACCCCAACCCCACAAGGTGTGATCTCTTTGCAGGTACTTATGCTGAGCCTTCCATGGGCCTTTCATTAGTCTCTCAAGCTAGTTGCTTCTGAGGAATAGAGTACACTTTAAAACTCATGACTCCATAGCCATGAGCCTGTCGCTGCACTTCCTCTAGTTCTTTACTCTGAGGAAATGTCATGTGTACAATGTTAGCAGATCAGGCATTTTGCAGGTCCTTAGATGGTGGTGTTGGCAGAGATAACACCGCCACTTCCCTGTGGCAGGGAAGACAGATCCTTCTCCAGAGTGTCAGTTCAGGTAAGTGTGAATCACTGCTCTTCTAAGGTGAAAGGGGTCTGATGTATTTGACCTGCCGGTAGCTGGCTGGCAGGTCTTTCCAAGATTGGAGCCATATCAAAGGCTCAGCATCAGTCTCTGATCCTGGCAGGGAGGGAATTCAGCAGCAGTAGCTAGAACAGCCTTAGTGAGAGGGAGTCCATGTTGTTTGATCCATGCTCAGTTTCCATTCTTGCCACCATAACTTGCAGCCCCATTGCACAAACACTGGGATGACTCAGTAGGAAGCTGGCTGACATTCACAGGGCAGGTCATGCTGCCAACTTGGTTGTTGAGAACTTTGCATGAAATTGCTGTTCTCTAATGGGTATTCATATGACATAAAAGGTCTGCATGTATTGTTTCCACTCCCTAAGTCTCTGTACATGAATATCTGCTAGACATCCTTGTCCCATGTCCTTGAGTCTTGACTATTTGATCAAATCATTTTCATTGCTCAGGACTCAGTATATATTCTTTCCTCAGGCCACTTCTCCTTCAACATGAAATGATAATCAATTTTATTGCCCAATTGGAGAATTTCTCTCAATTACTTTTCTTCAGGGTCAATCTTTGGTGAGACTTTAGTACAGCAAAAGTTCATTTCTGGCTAGCACCAACATATTTCACCAAACTTTGTGTAAACCAAGCCCTTTGTCCTTCTGTCGGTCGGTCACAGGAAATCCTCAGTGATGACATAGGAATGGATTGATGGAAAGATGCTGGCACAAGAGAGATAGATGAAATGGGCCTAGGCTACCTGCTGATACAATTTACAGAGGTGTCCTGCATTGACATCAGTCCAGTCCAGTCCAATCCTCAATGTACCTTGTCCATCATGTAATAGATTGCTGCCATAGCCCCCCCTGCCCATATGATTTGGTAGATCTGATCAACTCAGCTCATGATAAGCAGCTCTGGTTTCACAGAGACTTGGTGTTCCATGATGGGAACTAAATTTTTATTTGTGACTAGTGTCATGCTGTTTTTCAAAGGGAAATTTATTCTGTTATATATATTTCAAAGCCATATAGATATGTCTTCACTCCAGAATCTCAGTGGTCTGTGCTATGATTTTTCTAATGAGATTTTTTTCAGAGATTCTATATAGCATTCTTACCCCTAAATACCTTGAAATGCTTCAAACTAGATGAGACATATGGCTCAAGAGGCAGGGCAGCTTGTATTGCAACTTGGTCTTTCTGCAACTCCCTGTCTTCCTCTGGACCACATTTGAAGCTGGCTCTGGTCTACACGTGTGTGTGTGTGTGTGTGTGTGTGTGTGTGTGTGTGTGTGTGTATAGAGAGAGAGAAAGAGTGAGAATCCAACATTTAGTTGGCTGTCTCTCCAACTCACTCCTAGTAATGTTATAATTCATTATCCATCACTACAGTCTCTGTGACTCAAAGCACGCCCCTGGCAAGATTGTTCTGAGATGTTACCATGATCATTGGCCTGGAGGCAATGAGATGTGGTGGTAGGCAGATTGTGAAGAGAACAAGTACTGTCTTATAGTACATCGAGTGATATAACTGCATAGTCTCCTACTGAGGAGACTGCATAATCTCCAGAGAGGCAGGGAAATTTGGACATTCAAGATTATTAGATTTGTCCACTCAAATGTCCACCTTGCAGGTTTCAGGTTCCTACTCTTTCCCTATCAAAGCCTTCACATTGACACAGGAGACATTTTAAGGCTGTGAATTTTTTCTCCTTTGTAGGTTTGCAACCCTATACCATGAAACCCTGAACATGATTTTCTTCCTCCATCATTTGCCCTGCAGCTGCAGTAGATAAGAGGATTTGGAAGGCTACCATAGAGGCCCTCTGACTTTCACAGCATATTTTAAGTGGGCAATTAGCTTTCCTGAGTCTGTTATGCCTTTTTGCAAATCTTCCAAAGCCATCAAAGGCAGCCACCATGTAACACAATCCTTATGATTATCGTTCCCTCTGTACTGATCAAGTACACAGCCACTTGATATGCCAATACCTTGCCTTCTGCCTATACCACATAACATATTGGCAATTGTACTATCACTGCATGCCAGGAATCCGGGCCACCCAGTTTGCCACCATCGGTGGAGACCCAAAGTTCTCTTTTGGAGGTCTGCTTTCTAAGGACACCCATTGAACCATGTCTTAGCCTGGCTTCCCTAGACAACAGAACTTGAGACAAAAATTTGTGTGCTATTACTTCAGTGTAGGGTAGAATCCCAGGGAAAAGGAGACATGAGACAAGGAACGAGGAAGAGCAAATACAAGGAAGTGCATTACCCAGCTAGCCAGAGCTTCATAGCAACACATTGGCTGCTCAGTCTAGAGAAGACATCTCCAGAAAGACCATAGGAGAATGACTGCATCTTGGAACAGTCCATCAGGCCAGGAAGTCTAAAGGGCAAGCAATTTATGTGCAGGCATTCCCTCATGTCTTGTCTTCCATTGGTAAGAGTTCACGAATTTTGTCTACTTTCTCTCACATCTGAGTTGCATCAACTCAGCACCACCTCAGGCAGCCCCTGGAGCTTCTGGAACTCCATTCCAGGCAGTGTGTGGCTTCAGTGGTTTCTTCTTTAGTTGGTGATGTCTGTTGAAGCTTCTCCTCTGTGGGGATGACCCGAGCAGAAACAGACTTTGGACTGCAGCAATGGAATGAGCTATTGCTAGGATATTCCTGGTTAAGGGAGAAGGACTGTAAGTAAAGCCAGGCTCTGGGGGCAATAAGTGAGAAAGAGTGGATCTGAATGGCACATAAACTGGGCCTGGTATATTCATTTTCTCTTTAAGGAAATAAAGCTGAATGTTAAAGTTAAGCCCACTTCCTAAAGGTGTAACAAGTTTGTGCTCTACCTCTCTAAATAAGAGCTTTCCCACATTTTAGAATTTCATAGACTCACAGGACTGGAAACTTCTGTGCAAATCATTTGGTTCAGCCTCCATATTTTTCAGATGAGAAGCACAAAGTTTAGAAAGTTAAGTGACACTTTCAAGTCAAACAGTAAATGGGGAAGCAAGAAGGCCTGCCTTCATTCCAGTCCTCATTCCACAATATCACACTGATAAAGCAGATGAAGGGGGAGTCATTTGCACTCCACTTTTGCCTTTATTAAAGTCTTTTGAAGGTGTTGGTTTAGTGAGGTAATGTCTCAAAGCAGTTTTAAGAACACTGAAGGAAAGATGTTATGTACTTTTGAAATGCAATTGTTGGTTTTGGAACAAAAATGTTTAAGACAATGCCAGCCTACTTTGTTGATGAACCAGAGTGAGTGTTACAAGCCTCTACATTTCCAGAGGCAGAACCTCATCTTTGGAAGTGAAATAGAATACAACACAAAGAAAGAATGCCAGCAAACAAAAGTGAGTATGTCAGATCACAACTACCTCCCTTTAATTCTGAATCTATTAGGTTGGTGCAAAAGTAATTACGGTTTTTGCTACCATGTTAAGCAATTCACAAGGATTGGCTCAGAGATCTTCCTGTGATCTTTGCATTCACACCTAAGTGGAAACCTAGTACCCTATGCCCTCTTTAGGACAGCTATCAAGGTGACATTTGTAGCTGTGGTAAGGATCAATAAGCAGCTAGAGCAGAAGCTGCCTGTTCCGTGAAAACAGCCTAATTTCTAGCAAATCTAGTTGCTTTGCTCTTGGTGGACACATTAACGACAGTGACATCTGGAAATTCTTGCCCTCCTGACACATGTGCTAAAGGGTATAAAGATGTGAACTCCACCTTCTGACAGCCTTGATTTCTGTGGCTACTGAAGCTGCAATAGAATGAACCAATCTTCTTCCATGTTCCAAATATTATCCTAGAAAATGTCTTGTTTTTGTTTTCTGTCTGAGAAAATAAAACAAATCTGGCTTGTTAAAATCCATTTCCTATCATGTCTTAAATTAGCCTGGGACCAATTTGTTTGAATATCTGCTCCACCTCTGTAGGGGAAAACTGATGAGCAGGCTTCGAATTTCCACAAGTGGGTGCCAACCACGGTGTGCCCTGGCACTGGCTTGGGATGCTTTCTGCCAAAGGCAGGGTTTCACTTCTGATTTCATGGCAAATCAAACCCTGAATGAGAAGACAGCTATAGACAGGAGGGAAAACAGTCTCTTCAGTCTGTCAGCTCTTCTCCTAATATTCCTCTCCACCCCAGAAGAATCCACTGATATGTAACAGGAAAAATACAGACTACATGCAATTCGGGGAAGTGTGAGAAAACACTTAGGTAGTTTCCAGGCAAGACTATCATATCAGCAATGCAAGTAAAGCATTTGAAATAGTGATTATACTGTGGAAATGATACTCACTTCCAGGGCCTGCCAGGTGCTACTCTTGATGCTGAAAACAACCTCTCCTGGAATGGAGGTAATAGTGCACTTACTTTTGTGTATGTAGATTAACCTATTTTACCCCTTTTAGATGGAGAAAGGCTATTGCCCTCCTGTGGTACCATGAGGCTGAAGACTGACAAATATATAATCACGCATTTTTTGTTGTTTCCTGAATTATGCAGGATGTTTTCTCCAGTGAATTCTACTGTGGAGGCTTTCTGAAGTGTCAGAGTCTATTACCTGCTGCCCAGGAAAATCTATTACAGGCATGCACAAGTGGAGCTGAAAAATAGGTCTTTACTCACTAACAGAGACTGAGCAAGAACTGCTAAATTGTACCCTCCAGCAGTGTGTTCTCGGCTTTTTCTCTCCTTCTTTATGTATGCTTAACAAGGAAACTTGTTGAATGCACATGCTTCTCAAACCTGGGCTTCCCTGGAGGTGCAGTAAAGCCTACAGAAATCCAGAAGGGGCAATCTCCAAGTCTTTAGTAAGTACTGGAGGACTTTCTGCCTCTCCTTTAAGATACATCCTTAGTAGAGCAATTTGAGTAACAGCACTAGCGATATTCCTGGCATGTCTGATATTATAATAGTTATTGTCTCTGAGTGCACGTTGAGGGTCCCAACCTCCTACACAAACATGGATGCAAAGTTATCACCAAAATGAGGTCCAGGAATATTTTTAGCACTATGCATTGAAGTAGAGAAACCATGTCTAGCACATGTCTGTATAAATGCAGAAATGCAGAACTGTAGTATAATATCATAATGAGGATACTGACATTGGTACAATCTACTGATCTTACTTATATGTATAGAAATCATGTCATTAATAAAATATACATTCTTTAAAAATAATAGATTCTAAGAAACAAAATCTCAGCTATTCATGAAAGCATATGCATGGGTGCATTAACTATAATACAAAAATGGCTAAAAATAAATTATGTCACACCTCTTAAAGCATACTATTCAAATTATTATTGGCTGATGGAATTAGCATGATCTTTGTTTTATTTTACTTATTTTGATTTCTACATATTTTCAGATCTACCATTTAATACCTCTTTTATGATGAAGACAAAAATCTTTTTAAAAGAAAAGAAAACAAAAGGTTTCTTTTGGCATGCCATGAACACACAGCCTGAGAGTAAACATTCCAGTAGCTAGAATGGGCCAGGCATGGTGGCTCACGCCTGTAATCTCAGAATTTTGGGATGCCCGAGGTGGGCAGATCACTTGAGGTCAGGAGTTTGAGACCAGCCTGGCCAATATGGTAAAACCTCGTTTCTACTAAAAATACAAAAAATTAGCCAGGCGTGGTGGTGCACACATGTAATCCCAGATACTCGGGAGGCTGAGGCAGGAGAATAGCTTGAACCCGGAAGCCAGAGGTTGCAGTGACCCCAGATCTCACACCACTGCACTCCACCCTGGGCAAGAGAGTGAGACTCTGTCACAAAACAAAACAAAACAAAACAAAAAACAACACAAATCCTGAATAGCTAGAATGGTCAGAATTACCTTTAAGAGGGGCTGGTTTAGTTGACTGACATGTGTTGTTGATTTGGTTGTTACTCCATCAAACTATAACTCCATCAAACTATATATGTAAATAAATGTTATACACATAGTTTATACACAATGTTTATATGTATATAGATAATTTTACATATTTTGTATATAATTATGTAATATACAAAAACATAATATAATTCTATATAACTAAAATAATTATAAAATAATATCTAATTAAATTATTATAATTATGGAGTTATATGAAGTTGTATGAAACCAGACAGAGAGATTCTTAGTACACTTTACCCAGTTTCCTCCCATGGTAACATTTTGTTAAACTGTAGTCTTTATATAATATCACAACCAAAATATTGACATTGATAGAATCTACTGATCTTATTCAGATTTTCCCAGTATTCCCATATTCATTTGCATGTGAGCACGTGTGTATTAAATTGTATACAATTTTATCACCTGTATAGGTTGGCGATCACCACAGCCAAGACCTGAACAGTTCCAACATAAAAAGGGTCCCTTATGTTACCCTTTTATAACCACTTCCACCTCTTTTGTGTTACTCCCCCAGTCTAATCCCTGGCAACTACTAATCTGTTCTTTACTTCTGAAGTTTTGTCATTTCAAAAATGTTATGCAAATGGAATAATGCCCTACGTAGCCTTTGGAGACTGGCTTTTTCCACTCGGCATACATCCCTGGAGATTCATTCAGGTTGTTTTAGATATCTCAAGGGTCTGTTTCTTTTTGCTGTTTTGTTGCGCTAACATGTTATACTTGTACCACGGTTTAACCATTGACCTGTTGAAGGACACTTGGGCTGATTCCCATTTTTATAAGTAACAGCTATTTACTTTTATAAGTCAAGCTGATTTACTTGTAACAAACGTTTGTACATGGGTTTTTGTGTAACCATACGCTTTCATTTTTCTAGGATAATGACCCAAGAAGTGCAATTGCTGCTGGATTATACGGTAGTTGCATGTTTAGTTTCATAGGACACTGCCAACGTGTATTCCAAAGTAGCCATATCATTTTACATTCCCAGCAATGTGTAAGTGAGCCAATGTCACCACATTCTCCCCAGCATTGGGTATTGTCACTCTTTTTCCTTTTAGTCATTCTGATAGGTGTGTAGTGATATATTACTGTGGTTTCAATTTGTACCTCCCTAGTGACCAGCGAGGTTGAATATCTTTTTATATGCTCATTTGCTATCTCTGTGTTCTCTTTGGTGAAATGTCTAATTTTCTAACTGGAGTGTTTGTTTTTTCAAGTCCTGCATTTTGAGAATTCTTATTATAGATACCAGTCCTTTGCAAGATATGTGGTTTGCAAATATTTTCTTCCCAGTATATAGCTTTTTATCTTCTTACATAAGCTTTCGCAGCAAGTTTTACATTTTATTAGGTTCAATTTGTTGATTTTTTCCTTTTATGAATTGTGCTTTTAGTGTCACATCTAAGATCTCTTTACCTAGTTCTAGGTCCCAAAGACTTTCTACTATGAGTTTTTTCTGTAAACATTCTATAGTTTTATGTTTTACATTTAAGTCTATGACCCATTCTGAGTTTTTGTTTGTTTTGTTTTGTTCAGAGAGGGGATCTCACTCTGTTGCCCATGCTGGAGTGAAGTGGTATGATCTTGGCTCACTGAAGCACATTATTTTGAGTAAATTTTTGTGTAGAATGCAAGACTTTTGTCAAATATCCTCTTGTGTGTGTGCTGATGGATGTTCAGTTGCTCCAGCAGCATTTGTTCAGAAGTTACCTCCATTAAATTACTTTTGCAACTTTATCAAAAATCAGTTAAATAAATTTGTGTGGGTCTATTTGTGGATGTTAACAGCCTTTTGCCACAGCATCTACTTCCCATGGAGAGGTGGAGAATGGAGAGTTACTGTCATGAAAGAAGAGAAGTGGAGTTATTCAGGTAATTGATCCAAATGGAGAAGCAGTGAGTGAGCACAGACCCTGGCCCTTACAGCAAACATCTGTCTGGCAATTGTTGAAACATCAGGCCTGAGCTTTTTAAAAAATCATTCTTGTTTAAGGCATGCAGCAGGAGATTGTAGTGAAGTCTCTGCCTCCCAATAGTCTCTCGCTGTTTTATCACTTAAAGGAAACAGGGCTCTTTTGATTCCCTACTATCTTCTGTGACAGATAATCAAAGACTAATTTTTAGTCTTTGAGCTTTCAGTGTTTGCCAGATGTCTTAGTCTGTTCCAGCTGCTATAACAAAATACCATAAACCGGGTGGCTCACAAACAACAGAAATTTATTTCTCAAAGCTCTGAAGGCTCAGAAGGCTGGGAAGACCAAGATCAAGGCACCAGCAGATTTGGTGTCTGGTGAGGGGCCTCTTCCTGGCTCACAGACAGCTGCTTTTTGCTGTAACCTCACAGGGCAGAAGGGGTGAATAAGCTATCGTTCTCTTGGATAACAGCACTTGAATCTCTTGGATAACAGCATTAATCCCATTCAGGAGGGCTATATTCTTGTAAACTAATTGCCTCCCACAGGCTTTACCTCTTAATACCATCACATTGGGGGTTAGGATGTCAACATATGAATTTTGGAGGGACATGACATTCAGACTATTGCACCCGAGACTACAATTACCACCTTCGAAGTACTATTTCCCCCACCCCAACTCCCGGGTGCTTATGTGTTTGCACGTGCTCAGACTGGGTGTCTGAGTGGGATGCCTCTTAGGTTTTTCATGCTGAGAGGTCATTATGAACCAGAAGAATCCCATAAATCATTTTCGTGAGGAGTAGTCCTGACTCACCTTACGTCAGGCAGGTACTTCACTGTATTTTCTCTGAATCAGTATGATCAGATGGCTTCCCATATTCTTTGATCATTAGGAGCAGTGTTTGGAGGATGAACTGACTCTAATCTGGAATTCTCCCCAACCACAGTTACTTTCACTTTCACTCTTTCCACCTTTACCTTTCTCTTAGATACTAAACTCTTTTTAATCAGAATAATCTACAACATAGATGGGTATACACAATAAACACTTAAAATGGCTTGGCGCGGTGGTTCATGCCTGTAATCTCAGCACTTTGGGAGGCTGAGGTGGGCAGATCACAAGGTCAGGAGTTTGAGACCAGCCTGGCCAACACAGTGAAACCTCGTCTCTACTAAAAATACAAAAAAATTAGCCAGGCGTGGTGGCGGGCGCCTGTAATCCCAGCTACTTGGGAGGCTGAGGCAAGGAGAATCACTTGAACCTGAGAGGTGGAGGTTGCAGTGAGCCGAGATCATGCGACTGTACTCCAGCCCGGGCGACAGAGCAAGACTCCATCTCAATAAATAAATAAATAAACAAACAAACAAATACTTAAAATGTTCTTAATTAATCTTGAGAAAATGAATCACCTCTTTCTCCTCCTGCTCCGTAAGGTATTTATCCCATTCTGTCCTCTGATGTCTCCCACGGCAGCCTCTTACTTCCCATGGGAAAAAAAATCTCATTCTCATTCTGTCTCTCTCTCTCTCTCCCACTTCATGTCTTCCTCTTCCTCATTATATTTTAATCAAATTTCTTCTTGTCCTTCTTTCAGTTGTAGGAATCAATTCTAATTTTTGTAGTTTGAAATATTTGTGAAGACCAAAGCACCTATTTTCATCACAGATCCTTGAAATTTTAGCTTCTTAGACTACATGAAAATAGTTTCCACATGCAATAGCAAATCTATTCTCAAATTTTTTTTTAATTCAAACTAAAAAAAATTTTTTAGAGACAAAGTCTTGCTATGTTGCCCAGGCTGGCCTCAAACTTCTGGGCTCAATCATTCCTCCCACTCTGGCTTCCCAAGTAGCTGACACTGTAGGCGTGAGCCACCACACCTGGCATATTCTCAGGTTTTTGGCAGTGGTAAATAGCATATGTTTATTCTGTCAGTCACCTAATAAATATATACTATCTACCTACTATGTACAAGATACAGTGCTGGCACTGGATGCTGTCAACAGTTTCTGTGCATTTTTGACTTATCACAATCCAGGCCAGGTTCATTGCCGTAAGCAACATGCATAGAGGCCAGTGAAGGACCCACTCATTAAGGGGCACTTCAGGCAAAGTGTACAAAAGAGCTCCTTGCTCACACAGGAAAACAGCTGTGTGGCCCTAGGCCTTTCTGCTTAGACCACATAGTATTTATTTTGCTTTCTGAATCACGCCCTATGGTGATACCTGCAGAGTTTCTTTGCCCCCCATAAATATGCCCACCAGTCAAAGGAGCAATTATTTCTCAAGAGATAATTTTCAGTCCATAACAATTAACATGCTAAGGGCTTTAATACGTAATCTCATTTCATTTAATCCTTACAACATCCCTCCAAAGCTGTTATTATTATTATCCCTACTTTTACAAATGAAGAAACTGAAGCTCAGAAAATGTGGAAATAAATGAAGATCACCCAAATGATAACAAGCAAAGACTGTTTACTGAGAACTTGCTACAGTGAGGAAGTTGGCCACCATCACTTGCACTGGGCAGAGATTCTAGCAGGCAGAGGAGTGGGAAAGCTTTATAGCAGAAAAAAGGGAAGTCTTCAGGTACGCCCCAACTGGAGGCTATTGGCATGGGGAAGCTGTAGGTGAGACAACTAGAAGTGGGACATCCTATGTGATTGTTGAGATGTACATAGTTGGCTTTCTCTAGTTGGTCCTAAGTCGAAAGCCGGGGTGGGTGAGGGGCAAAAATGTGGAAGTTGTCAGTTATTAATCAAACCCTGGCCATTTTGGGCCAATGAGAGTTATTGTTTATTTCATGGACTGCCTGCTAGACATAGTAGTCTGACTTCCTGAACTGGTTACTGTAGATAGTAGACTGACTTTCTGGACCGGTTTCCTCGGGTTGTGGGTCAGAATTTTATTTTCTATGTGTGGTGTGGCCATTGTCCTTTTGTATATCTAGTCTCTCAAGTTTTGAAACAACTTGCTCATGAACAGATTTCAGAATTAATATTGAAATTCATGATGCAATGGACAGTATGAATTTTACCATCTCAAAACATTGTCTCTGTGGAAGGACCCCAAGGAAAAGGGTAGCAGAAATAACCAAGTTGGCAGATGTGATCATGCTTCAGCTGAATACCTGCCAATAGTGGACACTGTCCATTATTTTCCCATCAAACTTCATCCTCCTTGCTAACCAAAGGCTGACTTTATTCAGTTATTAAATCCCTTAGTTAGCAGTAGGATTGACTCAGGAGAAATTTACCCTTTCTCCAACTCTAGGAATCTTGTTTTTTTCTAAGACAAACAACATGTGACATTGCCCTGGTTTCCTTCCCCTCCACCCTCCAGGCATGAACACGTGACCTGATTTGGCTCAGAAAGAATGGAAGAGGATAGGAGTATTTCTCTTTCTGGCTGGGTAGCAACAAAGAAGAATACATGTGCCCCTTGTTTCTGGTTGCTATTATTGACCATAGGGCAACCAGCCTTAGGTGAAGTCAATGCTGTGGATAACAGAATCAAAAGGCAAAAAAGAACCTGGGTTCTTTATGACATCAATAAATCACTGATTCAACCAATTTTGTAGCTGTCCTTCCTCTGGGCTTCTGTTCCATGAAATAATACATTTTCTCATTGTTTAAGCAAGTTCGAATTGGGTTTTCTGATACTTAGAGCAAAAAGCACCATAGATAACACAGCAGCCTAGCCATGAGTCTTTGCCTTCATACTGTGTCCCAAGTCCAGTGGTAACACCTGTGAACATTCAATGGCGCAAGGTGGTTAAGAGACATTGCACTAGACTCAGAATGCCTGCATTTGAACCCTGCTCTACCTCTTTTAATTGCTGACTTTGGGCCAGCTACTTAGTTTCTCTGTGCTTCACCCCTTTATCAGTAAACTGGGGAAAATGATAATACCTAACTTATAGGGTTAGGATTATAATAAGGGCTAAAATATGTCAAGTGCTCAGAAGAGTGCTTGGAACATTATAACAGCATTAAAGTGTTCGTATTATTATTAAACACTTAGCAAATATTTTCTTAGCTTTCTTCCTTCCAGAATTTAAAAAAAATATATTTACATCGTTGAAACTTCATTTTCATTACTGAATAATTACATAATGATTCAAAAATCATTTTTATTACTGAAGCCACTTAAGTCCAGTTTTTTTTTACCTCTGATTCAAATGCATAGCTGGGCTTCAGCATCACAGAAGCAATCATAAAAAAAGGATCACTCTTTGCCTCCTTTCTCTAAACCCCTCGTGTTCTGACAATTGACATTTCCACCCTGTGTGGAACAGACCCATGTTTGCTTTCACTTAGCCTCTTCTAATGTCTTTTAACCATCTTTTTTTTTTTTTTTTTTTTTTTTTTTTTTTTTTTTGAGACGGAGTCTCACTCTGTCACCCAGGCTGGAGTGCAGTGGCGCGATCTTGGCTCACTGTAAGTTCTGCCTCCTGGGTTCAAGCCATTCTCCTGCCTCAGCCTCCCAAATAGCTGGGACTATAGGCACCCAGCACTATGCCTGTCTAATTTTTTGTATTTTTAGTAGAGACTGGGTTTCACTGAGTTAGCCAGGATGGTCTCTATCTTCTGACCTCACGATCCACCTGCCTCGGCCTCCCAAAGTGCTGGGATTACAGGCGTGAACCATCTTAATAACTGCCATGTCAATATCTTCTTTTAAAATTGTTGAAAAGCTACTGCTATAGTAGCAGTGGCAATGCATTCTGAGGGAGCTGCCACATAGCCCATTCCTGATTGCACCTGTGGTCTGCACCCCTCGTCTGTGATGATATCGAACCAAGAAAAGGAAAACTTACTACCCAAGAACTTGCTCTGTGTTTAGTACTATCCTAGTTGTTTTCACTAGTTCTTGAAGAATATTTCTATTAATAGCATGCATACAATTTAAGTGATTTTTAAAGAGTTTTGTGTCAGTCAGAATAACCTAAGTTATATACAAGTAACCAAAAAGCCCCCAATTTTTGTTGGTATAGAGTAACAAAGGCTTGTCTTCCCCTTCAACCTACATATCCACTTGAAGTAAGCGGGGCTGGGGGATCAGGGTCTATATAAGGAGTCTGCAAATGTTTTCTTAAAAGGCCACTTAGTGAATAGGCTTTTAGGCTATATGGTCCCTGTTGTAACGACTCAGTTTTGCCATTGTCATTTCAAAGTATGCATAGACAAATGGGTACGGCTATGTTCCAATGAAGCTTTATTTACAAAAACAGGTGACCACAGGCTGTAGTTAGCTAACTCCCACTGCATATCATCCTCACTCCAGGACCCAGAGTGTGAACGCACCATCATTTGGAAAACTGTCGATCATGGTGGCAGAAGGGAAAAGGATCATGGAGAATCTCTCACTAGTTTTTAAATGTTTCACCTGGAAGTGACCCCTGTCACTTCCACTCACATTTTACTGACATGGAAAATCATATGACCACACCTAACTTCAGTAGATTGGGGAGGAAGCTGTCCTCCTTGAGCCTAGAAGAAGAGAACAAGAAACACCAGTAAGCAGCCTTAATGTCTATCGCATGTTGCATCATTCTTCTGTTCATCTCTTTCTGTGGCTTTTTGTTGAACTTTATGTTCCTAGTTAAGGAAATGAGTTGCAAAGTTGTGGTTTACTCAATGTTCTTACAGGTGTATTGCTCAGTTTCTGGATAAGCTGGGCCTCTTTACCTCCTTTTTCTGCTTTTCTTGTCCAGGCTGTAGGCTTGTTATTACTCTTCAACCAGAGCACTACAGAGTTAGAGGGAAAGTGAAGCATAATGCAAATTCATTCACCTCAAGTGTGGTCTCTGGGCCTTGCCTTACCACACAGGAAAGTCCCTTCAGTGGGCTTATTGTCAGACTTGTCTGAAGTTTTCATATTATTGACTATTAGCTAATTCACACAGTCTATTCAGGGTAACTCTTCTTAGGGGCCAATGTCTGGCCCGTGTTGGACAGCTATATATATATATTAGAACGGCGTGTGTGTGTGTGTGTGTGTGTGTGTGTGTGTGTGTGTGTGTATGTGTATGTGTGTGCGTAGGGATGAAGATTAGAGAACCTAATTTGGTCAACCTTTTCCATAGCTTCAATTGCATCTCATTACAGTTTTCTGCTATTTCCTCTTTACATTTTCTCTCCTTTTCTTCCCAAGGAACCCCAATGTTTTCAGAGAATAAAAGTTAGGTTGAAGAGAGTAAGAGATAAAGATAACTTTTTGGTTAAATTTCCTTTGCCTATTATATGCCTAATCATACCCTCCTCCAAATTCCTTTCTTGCTTTCTCTCTCCCTCCCTCCCTTCCTTCCTTCTTCCATTTATCTATCCATCCAATGTCCAAATGAGTGTCTATTGTTTGCCAGGCCCTGTGCTAGGCAAGTCATGGGTATATATAAATGCGGCTGACAGAGACTCAGTCCTTTGCTTTATGGAGCTAATAACTTTAGTGGGCAAAAATTATGATAATTGATAAGACACCTGAAGAATACTGGAAACTGGAGGATTCCAAGGGAGTAGGTGGTGATGGCATCTACCTTATGGAAGGTCTTAAAGCATTGGAGGGAAGGGTTCCTGTTGTTTTGCATGAATGAAGATAGTATGAAGGGATTTTATTCAAATGTTTTTGTTCTTCAATCTTTTGCTTCCATTGTTTATGCTCCTGCCATCTTTAGTCTTGTTCAGAGAATGGCAAACAGCCAGCAAGTTCTCAGTAGATTTCCCATTTGTCATAGGTTTCTCATGTATCCGGGTTTGGCTTAAAGATCAAATTGCCTTTAGGTTGACTTCTGATCCTTGCCAGAAAGAGCTGACCCTTTCTCCACTCATCTGTGCAAACCTTTACTCAGGTGAGACTTTCACACAATTTGAATAAAAGAACAAAAACTCTCCAGTAACTAAAAGGAGTAAGAAAGGCATAACTGTTTTATTTTGTTGGCTCCAAAGCTCAAGCCTATTATTTGAAATTTTTATGTTCTCTTATCATTTTGGTTTTATTTCATTTTAATTTTTTATGGAAAAAATGTATGTCTAATTGGAATGCAGACCAAAATAAAATTATTAGAGTGGAAAAAATATTTTAAGAAAATAACGTTTACATAAAATCAGCACAATGTCCAAACAAACAAAACCATGTATGTACAGTGAAAACACATTTATTTTAAATACTGAAAAAAGTGCTACTTCATATTATAGGATTTCCAGAAAGTATGCTCCTTTTGTTTGCTCATTAGGAAAAATTTTTGTTTTAAAATAAGATATTTTGATTTAAACTATTTCTATGTACTCTCTTAAACCAAACATAACTTGCTTTTTTCTTGATGACTCCGAGCCATGATTATTAATTCAGGTGATTCTGATTTTCTATTATGTATTGATGCCTTCATTGCCTACGAGAGAGTTGTAGGACAATTTGCCTTAATAGGAATAACAGAATGCTATCCTTTAAAAGTGTTTCCATGAAAACTTATTTATAGGTTTGGCTGTTTGGGGGTTTTGTTTTATTTAATGTCTCCTTCATTATTAAGGATGTCAGACATCCTTCCTCCCATATATTATCGTTTCTAGTAACCAGAAAGCTAACAATTTACTATTTTTTATTTATGTTGAGCATATTTATTAGGATAAACTTGTATGCACAGGTAAACATTTAGAATAAACTAACGTGGCTAAAACAAAAAAAAGAAACTTATTTACGTGCCATGCATAAGAATTCCAGAGATATGTAGCACAAGACCAGTATGGCACATTTTGAATTTCATAGGCATTCAGGCTCCTTTAGCTCTCTGCTGAAATATCCATAGGGTGTAACTCATGTGTCCAAGATGGTTCCTAGAGACAACAGACCAGAGTTCCAGACAGCAGACTGGAAGGCAGGAAGGCAGGAAGGCAGAGGGCTGGGTCCCACCATGGTGGGGTATAACCTAGACTTCCTTTACAACAACATTTCTGCTTGTATCCCATTGCTCAAAAGTTTGTCACACTTATAGCTTTAAGAATACTGAGAAGTGTAGTTTCTACCTGAGTACATGAGTTCCTTGAATAAAATTGAGTTTCTGATAACAAGTAAAAATAGAAGAAGGGCTGTTGGGGTCAACCACTAGCAGCTTCTGCCATATTCCAATATCAAATATCCAAACCTATTAGAAAATTATGGGCCGGGCCTGGTGGCTCACGCCTGTAATCCCAGCACTTTGGGAGGCCGAAGCGGGTGGATTACAAGGTCAGGAGATCGAGACCATCCTGGCTAACATGGTGAAACCCCGTCTCTACTAAAAAATAGAAAAAATTAGCCGGGCGTGGTGGTGGGTGCCTGTACTCCCAGCTACTTGGGAGGCTGAGGCAGGAGAATGGCGTGAACCCGGGAGGCGGAGCTTGCAGTGAGCCGAGATTGCGCCAATGCACTCCAGCCTGGGATACAGAGCGAGACTCCATCTCAAAAAAAAAAAAAAAAAAAAAAAAAAAAAAAAGAAAGAAAAGAAAATTATGTAGGGATTTTGAGTAATGTGGATTTCTTCTAGGAAGTAAAATGAATGGCATTTAGTGCATGGACTTACATATTTTAATCATTATAAGGCCTTCATTTTTTTTTTCCAGATTCTCTGGGTTCTGAATACATTTGCTACATAAACGGCATTTGAATAACTGAGGTACTACTGTGGCTGAAATGAATACTTCTATATAAAATCCTGTAGCAGAATTCAAGCAATTCTACTTTGCCATATCACGCCGATGCATTCCAAAGTTTCCTCTCAAAATATGTGCTTCCAGTATGTGCAAGAATTATATATGGCCTGAACAATTTGGATTGGATCCTTACATTCAGTTACATCCACTTCCTTTATCACTGTTTCTCAGCTTACACAATTTATGCCAGGACTTACTAGAAATAATTTTTTCACATTACATTACATAACTCCTAGAGTATAAACAAAACCTTCTATTTGGAGTATTCCCTAGATCTCTCTAAATTGATTCCTTGCAATGTTTGAAAGCTTGGAGTGAAGAAGGTATTCATGAAAATAAGATGTCAATTTGTGTGTTTGATATATTTGTGTTTGGCAAGGATTGCTATGGGCATTATTTCTTTGGTTCCCCAATATTTGGTTTAAAATCAGAAGCAACATTTGCATTAGTTAAACATGTATCTGATTTAGAGCTGGGTCTTTTGCCGCCATCTTCTTAAGTGAATTAGTTCTATGGGTAACTCTCATGGTGGCACTCATAGACCTTTGATGAATTGCACAGGCTGGATTTGAACTGCCCTGATCTAGCTGTGCCCACGAATGTGGCTTTTGTGTCTGAAGCAAATGGGAAAATTGGAAATAATGTTGAGCTCACTGCAGAGCTGATGAGCAGCTGTTATGAACTAATACAGCTGCATGGGTTGTGAACAACTACCTTACCAGGTGTCAGATATTTTGAGTATCTTCCTGCTAAGGATGGGTAGATCATTCTAGTTAAATGTCAGGGACTCCTGATGTAGGATTTCCAGCCTTCTGAGAAGAAAGTGGCTCCCTGGCCCTCCTGCCCCACAACCATCTCCTGCATCTCAAGCTGTCCACCATAGTAAGAGTCTGCAATCCCAGCCAAGCATGAGGAGACAGGTGCCTGAGCTGGGGCAGAGGATGCAAAGTTCTTTGTCTTCTACATTTGACATAATAACCTGTGTTCACTCTGTTTTGCTCTGGCATCTTAGCCATTCCTTGCCTTAGTGAATTCACATGATGTTTTAGCAGTGAGAGTAGATGCTTTCTTAATGTAGCATTAAAAGTAAAAGGGGATGGACACCCTAAATACCCTGACTTGATCACTAAAATTATACACATGTAAAACAATTTTTATATAGTCCATAAATTTGCACAAATATTTTAAACAAGTAAAAGTTGAAGTAACAAGAATAGCACAGGGGCTCCCCTGCCGCACCCTCTACAGCCATGCGCCATCACTGTGCACTCACTCATGACTGCAGGGGAAGAGCCTGCTCAGCACTGGGGCATGATGAGAGTGGCTGAGACCCAGTCCCTGCCTCACGTGCTATAAGCTAGTGGTGGAGATGGGAAGAAGCTATGGTGAGTACCACGAGGGACTTATCTTGACCTGATCCAGCTCCAGCTGTGGAGGAGCTTGGGTTGACATGGGGCAAGAAGGGAAAGGATGGGTGTATTAGTTTGCTTGGGCTGGCATAGCAAAATGCCACAGACTGGGTGGCCTAAACAACAGAAATTCATTTACTTGCAGTTCTGGAGGCTAGAAGTCCTAGATCAAGGTTTTGACTGATTCAGTTCCTGGTGAGAGCTCTCTTCCTGGCGTTCACTTGGCCTCTTTCTTACCATGTCCTCACATGGTGAAGCAAGACAGACATGTCTGGTATCTCTTTTTATAAGGACACAAATCCTGTTGGATAAGGGACCCATCCTTAAGACCTCATTTAACCTTAATTACTTCTTTAGAGGCTCCATCTCAAAATACAGCCACACTGGTGATTAGGGCATCAACATATGAATTTGGGGAGGGACACAGAAATTTAGTCCATAATAACAGGTTTGAGATGAAATGCCCAGATGGATCAATCCACCTCTGAAATTTCATTCTTGTTGTCTGAAAGATTTACATAAAAACCAATGGCTTATTCACTTCAATATTCTGACTGGCATGGCTCCCCCACCTCCTAGCTTAGAACCTCAGCCTCAGACCTACTTCCATATGAGGAGACGGAGGATGCTCATGCCAGTTCTAGAAGGAGTGACTGCCTGAGGGGGGAGTTGAGATAAAGATGTCCTGATTGAACTCGAGACTGCACTCAGGAATGACCCCATGTCCAGAGCTGGAACCAGACAGACCTTGGGACTCAGATAATAATATTTAAAATAGGAAGTTATCCAAAAAATATGTCATATGTGGTTGCTGTAGAGTGGGTACAGGGGACATAAAAAAAAATAGAGGGCTGTGTAAAGGTAAAGATGTAAGGAATAAAGGAATCTGGCTGAAGAGCAAGATCCAACTGAAGAGCAAGACTTACACCCTACACAAAGACCCCCTGTCTGTCTCTCCCCTAGCCATCAAAGCTGCCATCAGGGTTCACCCAACAAGATTTTTCATGTCTCTTTGTGCATGTGAACAGACACCATGGGAATTTCTTGTTCTCCTCATTCCTCCTGATATGGTTCAGCTGTGTCCCCATCCAAATCTCATCTTGAATTGTAGCTCCCATAATTCCCAAGTGTTGTGGGAGGAACCCAGTGGAAGATAATTGAATCATGAGGGTGATTTCCCCCATACTGTTCTTGTGGTAGTAAATAAGTCTCATGAGATCTGATGATTTTATAAAGGGTTTCCCCTTTCACCTGGCTCTCATTCTCTCTTGTATGCTGCCAGGTAAGCCTTCCGCCATCATTGTGAGGCCTCCCCAACCACGTGGAACTGTCGGTCCATTAAACCTCTTTTTCTTTATAAATTACCCAGTCTCAGGTATGTCTTTATCAGCAGCATGAAAACAGACTAATACACCTCCCCAGCGGGTCATCCAGAGCCAGCACCTGGAAATGGGGGAAGCAGGTGTGGTGGACTGAACCAACAGTGGACGGAACTTTGACCTCTGGACATGTGTTATAATGCTTTCTAGGTCCTGGTTCCTAGAGAGAGGTTAAGAGTTCTACAACTCCAGAAGAAATATAGCCCTCTCCCAGGTAAGCCATGTAGCACAGCTCCAGAGGGTGCAATTCCCACTGAAGTCTGTGAATGATGCCCATGGTGTTGTGCAGTGTGCATGCTGCATGACCATTCACAGTGACCCTGCCTCTCCCGGTGATTCCTAGTCCCAAAGGAATCAATCACTGTACTCACCATCTCTGGCAATAGGAGGAATGGAAACAGTGCTAATAATGACAAGGCCAAGATTTATTCAGGTGCTTATGCAAAGATACATTATTTTGCATACCGTTTTATTGCACATATTGGAAGTGACTTTCACGGATCTCCACTTTTCAGATTCCTTCCAGCTTTGCCAGGGGTAATTTGCCCAAGAAGCACAATTATTTATTCCAATTAAATGCTAATTTCACTCCCTTGAATCTAAATCTAAATCTCCTCTAGGAAAAAGAGGTTAATAATTCTTCTATTAACAAGGATGACTTGATCTAGTCTACAGTGGGCTCAAAATGTGCAAAATTATTTAAATTAGGGCGGGAAGCTAAAAAATATCCATGATGTCTTCAAAGCAACAAGATTTTTCCTTAATTATTTAAAATTTAGCAGTGGTGTGTACTATTATTGAGTCTCTAAACCAATGGTTCTTAAAGTGTGGTTCCTAAAATTGTATCATCAGCATCACCTGGGAACTTTGTTAGAAATAGAGTCTCAGGTCCTACCTAAGACCTGCTGAATCAGAAACTCTGGGAGTGGGCCCAGCAACCTGTGCTTTAACAAGACCTCCAGATGATTCTGATGCACATGCCAAGTTTGAGAAGCAGTGTTCTGGATCTAAGATAGTGATGCTAGTCTTGGCTGTATGTTAAGATCACTTGGAAAGTTCTTAATATGATGCCCAGGCCACAGCCCAGGCAAATCAGAATCTCTGGGGGTGGAGCCCAGATGTAATTTCCCCAGGTGATTGCAATGTGCATCCAAGGTTAACAACCATTGCTTTACAAGCAATAATTCTAAAAGTTAAGTGTGTGTGAAAAAGACTTGAGATACTTGTTAAGGATAAGACGTGCTCCTGGAGATTCTGATTCAGTAGATCAATGGTGAGGCTCAGGAATTCATATTTTTAGCCAGTAGTCCAGGTAATGCTGCTGCACAAGATGCATGGGCCACCCCACAAGGAACACAGTATACTTAAGAGCCAGACCGCTTAAATAGTCTTGAGGAAGGACTGTGCTTACTAGTGGGAAGTCAGAAACCGTAGCTCTGAGGAGTTAGGGTTGTATGTCAAGAGACTTTGACAGATGACTGCATGAACAAGGTAGGAAATGGAACTGTAGGTGCAGAAAGGTGATGAGGCTGTTTAATTGTGATGTACTTGTCAACCAGTACCTTTATTTGTCTTGGGAGCTCATGAGCTCTCTTTGTGAGAGAGACTGACCCAAATTACCCCTTCCATTGTATGGTTCTGTGCTGGACACCTTGGCTGGCACACCCTAACAAAGTGAATCCAAAAACAAGAAGCAAAGTAGTCACATGAAAATAACACAGATGGGTGGGGCATGGCAGCTCATGCCTGTAATCCCAACACTTTGGGAGGTCAAGGTGGGTGGATCACCTGAGGTCAGGAGTTCGAGACCAGCCCGGCTAACATGGTGAAACCCCCATCTCTACTCGATGATACAAAAATTAGTCAGGTGTAGTGGTGGGCGCCTGTAATTCCAGCTACTCGGGAGGCGGAGGCAAGAGAATCGCTTGAATCTGGGAGGCAGAGGCTGCAGTGAACTGAGATCATGCCACTGCACTCCAGCCTGGGTGATAGAGTGAGACTCCGTCTTGAAAATAAAAAATAATAATAAATAAATAAATAACACAGACTTTGGAGTCAAGCAATTTGAATTTGGATTTAGACTTGAATCTGCATGTCACCACTTGCTGTCCATGTGGCCTTGGAAAGTTACTCCTCTCTCTGACTCTGTTCTGATCTGTCAAACGAGAATATTGATAACTACCTTACAGAGTCATTATGAAGATTAACATGAAAAGCACTCAGCACCCAGTTGGCTCACAACAAAGGTTGATTGTTATTTTGAAGTGTTAAATGTCCCATCACCATTTATCAACCAGAGTCTGTGTTCTAATTTACTGTACCGGATGCTGTCCAGTAGTTGTGACATCTGGGAAATTCCTCCAGCTCCTCTGCATTGACTCACAGAATTCACAACAGGAACAGACATGAAAACTCACCATAATCTTTTAAACTAAGTAAAAACAACTAAGACTGGATAATGTAGGCAATGTTTTTTATCTACATAAGCACTGCACTCGATTAAGTCCTCTGAACTATTCTCCTAGCATCAGTTGAGCAAACTATACCCATAGCAATTTGGCTGGTAAAAAGTTAACTTGGGAAAAGAATCTTAAGTACCTTCCCAGCTGTGTTCTAATTGCATGTTTAGAAAGAGTATGCATACATTTTTTAGTGTGGTAACATCAAGGATAGATGTTGCTAAAGAGAATTTTAAGTGATTCATGCCCTGTTTTCTTATTCAGGAAAGCTTTTTCTAACTTTCTTCTGATAAGCCTACAGAAATAAAAGAGAATATGGCAGAGGAAGGCATTAAGAATTAAAGTCGGGAAAGTATTCAAGAAGTTACCCAGTTTATTTTTTGAGTTTCAGACAGAAGGGTCTAGCCTGACCCTCATAAGGATCAGATGAGGCAGATGGAGGCACCTCGTCTCTCAACCTAAATTCTTAGTGAAGTCCCTTATGGCTCAGCTGCAAGCCTCCTGCCACAGGACACGCACATTTCCTCTAGTGGGTTTGGGGGTGGAGAGCAGCTGGTATCACTCTCTTCATAATTACCCCGTATACTTAAAGAAGACAATTGAGTCATCCTTTATCCTCTTTTTTTCCAGGAAAACATCCAGTTCCTTAAAACTTACCTCATAGGTTCTGTTTTCCAACACTTTAATCATTGTGTCTTTTGTGTGCCCTGGCCAAGTCCCCTGCTTCCTCTTAGACCTGGACCTGGTCCCTGAACAAGGACCTGACTGTGCTGACAGGAATAGGAAAGCCCCCCTGTTTCCACACTCACTTGTAAGCCAAGAAAGTAGGGAACAGCCATCCCTGGCATTATTCCAGATGTGGGAAACTCTGCTGTCCACAGGGACAGGCAGGAGCATACACAGCATGGGTGAGGATCGTGTCAGAAGGAAGAATGTGCACAGCCTGGCCAAAGAGGCCGGCCCTGCTTGGTTACAGTGGTCTGCTGCCCTGAGGCACATTGTTGCCAGGTCTTCTGATTTTTCTAGAAAAGTTCAAAATCTGGACTTTAAAAGTATCTGCTTTTTTTTTTCCAATGTTGTCTACCCTCTCAAAAATATTTAAACAATCTGTGGGCAAATAAAACATGTCTGGAGGCTGAATCGGGTTCCTGGGCCTCTTAAGAAATTCTATTCTATGGCTGCATAGTATTCCATGGTGTATATGTGCCACATTTTCTTAATCCAGTCTATCATTGTTGGACATTTGGAATACTATGCAGCCATAAGAAATGATGAGTTCATGTCCTTTGTAGGTACATGGATGAAATTGGAAATCATCATTCTCAGTAAACTATCGCAAGAACAAAAAACCAAACACTGCATATTCTCACTCATAGGTGGGAATTGAACAATGAGATCACATGGACACAGGAAGGGGAATATCACACTCTGGGGACTGTTGTGGGGTGGGGGGAGGGGGGAGGGATAGCATTGGGAGATATACCTAATGCTAGATGATGAGTTAGTGGGTGCAGCGCACCAGCATGGCACATGTATACATATGTAACTAACCTGCACAATGTGCACATGTACCCTAAAACTTAAAGTATAATAAAAAAAAAAAAAAAGAAATTCTATTCTAGTTAATGTAGTATAAACAAAGGCCAGTCAGGTGTGGGTGGGAGCCTGGGGACAGGTTAGGAACACAGATAGAAGGGCAACTCATGTTTAGCAAGAAACAACCATAATAATGAACAGCTGTAAACACTCATTTAGATGAGGAAAAAAGAATTATTAATAAAGTATTGAAATAATTACCATTTTAATTCAGTGCCTGGAGTATAGTAAATGTTCAATAAATGTTTGCTAATAAATACCTTGCTTTTTAATATTGTTTTGCCGTTATGAAATACTTTATAATTTCTCTGCTTCCTTAGAACAACCTGAGAGGTAAGACTATTATTCTTCCCATTTTCATTACCTGCAGAGGTCATGCCCCTAGGAGCAGCAGAATGAGAGCTTCAATCCGCATGCTTGATTCACTATTTCTCCCTCTTGGATCTTGTCTTCCCAAAACCTTACAGGTGGGTATCAGTGGACACCTGGGTATGTAATGTGATCTGAGAGCCCACCCTCCCCTCTTTCCTACAAAGAACCACTTCTCACACGTAGTTAAAAAACAAAAACAAAACTGAAAGCAAATAAAAGGATCATGAAAATTAGGAATTCCCCTCTACTCTCCTCCAGCCACCAAGCTCTACAGGAACTCTCTAAAGACAATCCCCTTTTACTTTTCTTTATTATTATTATTTGTACAGACAGGGTCTTGCTCTGTCGCCCAGGCTACAGTACAGTAGCACGATCATAGCTCATTGGAACCTCAAACTCAGGGACTCAAGGATCTTCCCACCTCAGCCTGCCAAGTAGCTGGGACTACAGGTGCTCACCACCACACCTGGCTAATTTTTTAATTTTTTGTGGAGACGAGGTCTCACTATGTTGCCCAGGCTGGTCTCAAACTCCTGGGCTAAAGTGATTCCCACAACCTTGTCCTCCTAAAGTTCTGGGATTACAAGCATGAGCCACCACACCCAGTAAAGACAACTCTTATAATCAGCCTGTGTAAATGTATAGGTATTTTATGGGGTGTATGTATGTGTTTCTGTGTGTGTGTTGGTACATAAACGGTAAGATTTTATAATTTATTTTTTTTCTTTTTTTCTTTTTCTTTTTTTTTTTTTTTTTGAGACGGAGTTTTGCTCTTGTCACCCAAGCTAGAGTGCAATGGTGCGATCTCAGCTCACTGCAACATCCGCCTCCCAGGTTCAAGCAATTCTACTGCCTCAGCCTCCTGAGTAGCTGGGATTACAGGTGCCCACTGCCATGCCCAGCTAATTTTCATATTTTTAGTAGAGACAGGGTTTCACCATGTTGGCCAGGCTGGTCTCAAACTCCTGACCTCCTCTGAAACATGTGCTGTGTCCACTCAGGGTTAAATGGATTAAGGGCGGTGCAAGATGTTTTTGTTAAACAGATGCTTGAAGGCAGCTTGCTCGTTAAGAGTCATCACCACTCCCTAATCTCAAGTACCCAGGGACACAAACACTGCAGAAGGCCGCAGGGTCCTCTACCTAGGAAAACCAGAGACCTTTGTTCACTTGTTTATCTGCTGACCTTCCCTCCACTATTGTCCTATGACCCTGCCAAATCCCCCTCTGCGAGAAACACCCAAGAATGATCAAAAAAAAAAAAAAAAAAAAAAAAAAAAACTCCTGACCTCAGGTGATCCGCCTGCTTCAGCCTCCCAAAGTGCTGGGATTACAGGCGTGAGCCACCGCACCCGGTCTCTTTGCTTTCTTTTAAGTTAAGACTGTAATTGGAATAACTTTCCACATCAATACATATGGAACTGCCTTCTTTTTAACCAAATCCTTGATGGATTTAGGTTTTAGTCTTTTATTAATAATGTTTCAGTGAATAACCCTCACTGTGCATCATTTCACACATGTGGAAGTAAATCTATGGAATACAGTTAGAATTACTAGATTCAAGGATGTGCAGGTTTTTAGTTTTTAAAAACTAAATTGCCAAATTGCCCTTCATAAAGCCCACATTATACCCTCACAATCAATGTATAGAGTGCTATCATCCTATTTCATAAAAACTTTACTTTTCGGTTTATTCATCCACCTCCACGCTCACACACTCAATAGCCCCAAACTGTTCAGCTTCTGAAATGCAAAATTCAAACGTACACCTCGTCCATAACTTTTATCCAACTACTCCCATTACACCCCCACGCCTTCCCCAGTAGTTGGTTGCTGCATTCCCTTCCTCTTCCCATCACACCTAGCTCTGTGATCTGTCACTTCATCCTGAATCAGGCCAACCATTGCCACCTCCAAGCCAACATCCTAGCTACCAAGTGCTCCTAGAGAGAAATTACTCCACCTGGGCTGCTCCAAATTCATATTCCCCAACCTCACCTGGGCCCTCCGCACTGCTCCTTGTGATCAATGCTCCCTTCCCCGGAAGAGTTTTCAAAGCTTTCCATTCTCCTCGGAACTCCCTCCCCACCAACGGATAGCCACCCTTCCAGCTTCCTCGGGGAAATGATAATCCCATTTTTCTTCCCCCTCTCCTCCACTCTTCCTCTCTCCCTTCTCCTTTCCCTTATCATTTAAGCCTCTTCTAGCCTCTGTCATCTAAAAAGCCTCTCTCTTGACTCTGCTCTACCTCTTCCTGTCACTCTCTCGCCTCTCGCCCTGTTCACGGCCTCACTTCCTGTGAGAGAATCCACGCCGTGATTATTCCACCCCATCTCACATTAGTCTCCAAACCTCTGAAGTCTGACTTCAACCATCACAATTAAACTTGCTCTCGTATGCACCCAGTAAGCTGACAGTAATTACTGTCAACCTTCTGCCACTTGACCTCGCTGCAGCATTGGACACTCTTCCATCCTCCTTCATGAAACGGCCTTTTGTTCCTTTAGCTTCTGGCGCCTCATCTCTTGCCACTCACCACCTCCTGTCTGTGCTGCAGCCTTATTCAGCTCTTGACACTTCCTCATGTGGTGGATGGGGTGTTGACTCCTCAACTCTCCGAGTGATTAGTCTAAACCAAACATAGTGATCTCACTCCCCTAGCTAGCAATTTGATCCGGAAGAAGTATGTGACCCAAGCCTGGCCAATAAGACATGAGAAGTTGTCTGCTTGGGATCAAAAGAGATTTTTTTATTATTATTATTCCTAAAGGGTCATGTGGGAAAGACAATATATCTTCTTATGCCGAGGATGGAGCAGAACACAGGGAGGAGGGAAGAGCCAGGACAACACAGAGCAGAGGAGCTCAGCCATGTGGACTCTGCCTGAGGCCACACTGCAGAGGACCTCTTGTTATGTAAGATCCTAAATTGGCTCATGGCTTAGCCAGCTTGAGTGAGGCTTTATTTGCTTGAAGGCATTTGAACCTATACACCATATTCACCTCTCCATTTGTATGTGTTGTTTCTTCTGCCTGGAACCTTTTTACGACCATTTATCTCCTCTTTCCTACTCATCCATGAAGCCTCAACTCAGGCATACTTCTACCAGGGGGCCATCTATGGTCCCTCAAGAGAAGGCATCTTTCCTTTGTGCTCCTATAGTACTGCGTGAGAACAGAAGTATAATAACTTACTTGGGCCAGTGTGGTGGCTCATGTGGGTAATCCCAGCACTTTGAGAAGCCAAGGTGGGGGAGAACTACTTGAGACTAGGAGTTCGAGACTAGCCTGGGCAACAAAGCGAGATGCCCCCCAACCCTGTGCATTTCTATACAAAGTAAAAAGAAAAAAAAATAGCCTAGCACAGTGGTGTGCACCTATAGTTCCAGCTACTTGGGAGGCTGGGGTAGGAGGATTCTTTGAGCCTATAAGTTGGAGGCTGCAGTGAGCTATGATTGTGCTACTGCACTCCAGCCTGGGTGACAGAGCAAGATACTGTCTCAAGAAAAAAAAAATTACTTGAATATAACTCCCACTAGACTGTAATTCTTTGAGGAGGAAGATGACTTTTAGCACCCAACACAGTGCCTGGCACATAGTAATTGCTCATTAAATATCTGCTAAAAGAATAAATATTACTTTCATTGATCTAACCATCACTTTTTATGGTAATAACAATATTGGCAAAGACTCATGGAAATGAGCACTTCCCACACTCATAGCTGATGGTAGAATTTTTCTAAATTGCAACTTGACAATATGTTTTAGAGTACAAAAAAAAGTATGCCAGAATGCCACTTCTAAGAATTTATCATTACAAAATAATCAAGATTTATTTATATATATGTGCAGGACTGTCTTGTTCTTAATGGCGAAGCATCAAAAGCAATCTACAACAGTAGAGTGGACTGGTTAAATGAATTCTAGTATATCCAAATACTGCAATACTATGCAGCCAACATTTTGTGTTTCTGAAAAATATTTAATCATTTGGGAAAATATTTACATTATATCATTAAGTGAAAAAGCATGTAACAAAAGCTATAACCAAGTGTGGTTCCTATTTTTAAAATGTACATGAACAAAGAAGACTAAAGTAAGGAAGAGTGGCTGACACCTGTAACCTCAGTTCTTTTGGAGGCTGAGGTGAGAGGATCACTTGAACCTAGGAGTTTGAGACCAGACTGGGCAACATAGTAAGACCCTATCTCAACAACAACAAGAACAACAGCACAATCAGCCAGGCATTGTAGTGCGTGCCTATAGTCCCACCTACTAGGGAGGCTGAGGTAGGAGGATAGCTTGAGCCTGGGAGGTCAAGGCTTCAGTGAGCCATGACTGTGTCACTGCACTCCAGCTTTGGTGACAGAGCAAGACTCTATCTGTGAAAAAGAAAGAATGAAAGAAAAAGACTAGAAACTGTGCACTAATATTTCCATAGTGGTTGTCTGAATGGTAGGATTGTAATTTTAATTTCTTCTTCATGCTTTTCTAAATTGTCAATAATAAATATGTATTTTTAAAAGCTGTTAATATTAAGAATAGAAAAGAAAGGTGAGAAGAAGGAAGGAAGAACAGAGAGAGGTGAGAAGAGAGGAGAGAAAGAATAAGATGGGACTCTGAATCAGGATAATTGAGTTTTAATCCTAGCTTTACCATTAAGAGGCCATCCAGTTCAGGCTAAGTCATTTAGTCTTTATCCCTCATATCTCACTCAGCAAATGGGAATAATAATATTTACCCTACCTTATGGAATTTTTTTCAATACAAAAAAGTATATGAAGGGGCTTTGAAAAAAATGTATATATTTTGTAATATCAGATGGCATTTTTATTCACACAGATACTGTTTAATCACAGCTACCCTTTCTATAATTTAAGCCCTTAAACACATTTTTTATCTAAATATGAAATCTAATCCATTATTTCCTATGTGGTTTTCCAAGCATTTGAGAGATGTCAAGAGTTTCATTCAGTCAATAAAGGTGTCTGTTTTATTGAAACAAAAAAATAAAAATTTCTTCCACTTACCAAAATGTCTGTAATCCCCATCTTCCTCATTCCTTTAAGTTGAAATACTGATTGTTGCATGCCAAAATAAAAAGTTATATAAAAACTGGAGCATTTCTTTCATGCTTTACATTCTGTAAGATAAAACATGTGACCAGTGGTTTGTAAAGAGAATAGAGAAGATGCCTTGAAGAGCTAAGTCATAGATCACCACTTTGGGGAAAAGTACTTTCCATTTCAACGAGAGAATCTGAATATCCAGAGGTTATCTTACAACCTCAGGTACTTGGAATTACACAACTTAATAGCATTTAATATTCTCTATGGGTTAGCCTCAAACTGCTGTTATAAGATTATTATGTAAAACACATACTACCCTTCAGCCAAACTGGAATACATTAGACTCTTATTGCTTGAAAATATAACATTTATTTTGTATTTTTGCCAATCAAATAGGTATAAAATGGTATCTTATTGCATTCTTGATTGGTATTTCTCTCATCACTAATGATACTAAACATATGTTTGTATGTTTGTATTTGTTTCCTTTTCTGATAAATGTCTTTTATTATCATTTCTTTTTCTTATTTTGTGTATTTTTTCTTGTCGATTGGTAGAATCTATGTATTCTTGATACTAATAATGTGTCTATTGCAAGTATCTTTTCTCAATTTGACATTTTTCTTTTTATTTTAAGATATCTTTTGATAAACAAAATATATTAATTTTAATACAACTGATCAATGTTTGTAGCAGACATTTTTGAATAATCTTGCATATCTTTCCCTATCCTAAGGACTAAATCATATTTATTTATATTTTCTAATATGAATTTTAAGGTTTTATTTTTCAAATTTAAGTCCTTAATCCATCTTGAGTTGATTTTTGTATGTGGTAAGAGTAGGAATATAATATCACTTTTTTGCATATTTTTATTTTCCTACTGACCTGATATACTACTTCTGCCATCATCAAATTTTGATTCACGTGGAGGGATGTTTCTAGGCTCTTTATTCCACTGGTTAATTTGTCTGTCCCTTCACAAATACAAACTTATCTTAGTAACTGTAGCCTTATAATATAATCCTTATATCATTTTTTTAGGCACCTTAGGGTTTTCTATGCAGACAGTTATTGTGCATGTGTGTTTTACCATCTTCCTTTGATATTCTGTAGCCCTCTGATTTTCTTTTCTTCCCTTATTACATTGGCTAGGACCTCCATTATGATATTAATTAGAAATGGTAACAATGGACACCTTTACCTTGTTTCCAATCTTAGTGGGAAAGTATTCAGTTTTTCACCATTATGAATGATGTTATCTATAGGTTCTTTGTAGATGGCCCTCATCAATTTGAGGAAGTTCCCTTCTATTCCTAGTTTGCTGACTATATTTATCATGGCCCGAAGGTGAACTTTTTCAAATGCCTTTTCTGTATCTATTGGGACAGCCATATGGTTTGTTTTTTAATACACTTATGTGGTGAATTGCATTTATTGATTCTTGAATGTTACAGTATACTTACATTCCTGGTATAAATTCTACTTTTTCATGATGTATTATCTTTTAAAAATATGATTAAAATATGACTGAATGTAGTTTACTAATATTTAAAAATAATTTTACATTTATTTGTCTTTGTAGTCTATTTATCCCATCTGTTCTTGGATTCTTTTTTTCTTCTGCCTAGAAAACTTCCTTTAACAGTTCTTGTAGAGAACATCTATCTGCTGGTGATGAATTCTCTCAGGTTTTGTTGGTCTGATTTTCTGGATATAAAATTTTACACTGACAATTTTCTTTTTCTTTCAGTACTTTAAAGATGTCAAATCATTTTCTTAGTCTTATGTAGTTTCTGACAATGAGTCAGTTGTTTTCTATCTTTGTGCTTCCATGTCTTCTTTCCCCTCTATGCTTACTCTTCTTTTTTTTTTCTTTTTTTCCTTTTTTTTAAAATTATTATTATACTTTAAGTTTTAGGGTTTTCTGTCAGTGATTTTCAGAACTTTATAATGTGCCTTTGTGTAGTTTTTTGTTGTTGTTGTTGTTTACTCTGCTTGTGTTTGATGCAATTTTAAAATATGATTGTTTATACTTTTCACTATATTTTATATTTTTTAGTCATTGTTTCTCTAAACTTTTTTGTCTCTCCATGTCTCTCCTCTCCTTCTGGAATTCCAATTGCATATATTTTAGAAAACTTGATATTGTCCCACAGATCAATGATACTCTGTTATTTTTTTCTTCAGTCTTTTTGTTCTCCATGTAGTTCATTTTGGATAGTTCTGTCTTCAAATTAACTAACCTTTTCTTCTGAAGTATCTTGTCTCTTAGTAATCCCATGCAGTAATGTGCATTTCATGTATTATAGTTTTCACTCCTAGAAGTTTAATTTTGATTTCTAAAATATCTTGTATTTATCTTCTTATCATTTTAATGTTCACATTGGGGACTGCATTTGGAGTCTCATACCACAAGGCTCAGTTTGGGCTTTTTCTCCCCACACTATGGCCTGGAATCTCGTTCTGAAATAATCACAGAGGTTACCCTGACTATTGTTCAGTGTCTAAAAACCATCAAAGTATATATATTTGCCTGTTTTTTTAGTGATTTAATGCAGGAGGGCAACCCAGTCCCTGTTACTTCATTATAGCCATAGCCATCATTTGGGAAATATATTTTTGCTGGGTATAGAACTCTAGGTTGACAATATTTTTGCTTTCAACATGTTAAATTATGTTTTGATTTTCAGCAGGTTAGAGATGTTATCTTCTGGCTCATGGTTTTGACAAGAAATTAACTATTATTCTGTTTCCAGTGACTTTTATCCCTGGGAATAGGCCAAATTTTCCTGCTGCTTCTCATGTCTAGTATTTTTTATTGGATGCTGGACATTTTTGTTCTACATTCTTGTATGTCTGGATTTTGTTTTCTTTCCAATTTCTGTCTCCTCAACTTCATGAGATCTTTGTACTTTGTTTGGATTCTCCTACCTGTGGCATGGTCCAGAGTGTGTCTCCATATAGAAAGCCAGAATGATCATAGGACCACTTTATTTGATTTCTTTTCCTCAGGGATCACTTACATGTGCTGCTTATTTTCCAATATCTGAAGGTATTGTTTTTCTACATCATGTTCAGTTTTCTAGTTGCTCACAGTCAGAGTGCAAGTTCAGTACCAGTTACTATGACACTTTTGCCAGAAGCAGAAATTTCATTACATTATTAAAAATAACTATCCAACTAAAAGCAAATAATAAATAAGAGTTTCCATACATTAACCAAAGAAGAGTTTGTCATGAAGCATGAATTATCATTAATCCAATCCCACACCCCTGAAGTCCTTTTCAAAATAAGTTTTTTAAAAAGCAATTTCACATTTGTGTTTCCTAGTATTGCACACAATGCTGAAAGCCCACATCTTTAGCAATATATAATTTTTGCTACAACACACAATTGTGGGGCTGGTATACAACCTTTATTTTTCTCTGTCATGGCCTAATTCCCCTAAGTATTATAAAGAGGTATTATATAGAATAAGAGTATTTGTTATTTGGGACAGACTCAACGATTTCTGGACTAACTCTTCCAGAAGGATAAGGGTGTACTATGAACTAAGTTTTCAGAATTTACTCCATGCTCACACTATTCTTTCTCCCTTGCACATCTCATGTCATTCTACTTCTGTTAAAGTTCCATCCCTTCTTCAATATTCAGATAATATGTCACCTCCTTTATCTATCCTTTTCTTGTCAATATATTTAAATCAAGACTTAGCTTTTTCTCCTGTGTTTCCAAATCTCTTTGTTTGTGCTTCACATGGGATATTTATCACATTCTAATTTGTTTTGTAATTATTTATGTACATGTCAAGTTTTCTCCCCAGTAGGTTGTGAGTTTATGAAAGGCAAGGACTAAATCTTAATTTTTAGGCTGTTCCAGCACTTGTACTGTGCCTGTCAACAGTGCTCAGTAAGTCATTATTGAATAAATGATGGAGGAAAATAAAAGGGCCTACAAGACAATCTTCCCTTAATCCACTGCTTTTTCCTAATCCATTGAGTCTAGTAATGCAGGCATCACTGTTCTCTGAATGTGTGCTTCAAAGGTCAATGCTCCTGATGTGGCTGAAGCTCATGCCAACTTCTCTTACTCTGCATTGCTGTGGAGAGTGACTATTCACTGCATTGGTGGTAAGCCTTCATATTTTTTTCTCCCTTTCTTCTGTTATATTTCTCTGCTAGTCCCCTACCCCATTTCCAGTATCCCTCAATCACTAAGGGTCTGAAAGTTTCTATAAGCTAAGGTTATAGATGGCAGTTTCCAGTAGTTTCTGTATGCATACCTACCCATGGAGAGTGGGAGTGTGTGCGTTTCAATGATATTTTTTCAGTCCCTCTTTGGTGCAGCTTCTAGCATTGAGCATGCTGGGCTCAGTGGCATTTTGTTTCTTTAATCTTTCTTCTCTTTAATGTGCTTGTTTACTTGTCTTTGACCACACTCTGATTATTCTTTGGAAGGCTAAGTGAGCTGAGGGTCATGAGTGCAACTCAAGCAGAGGAGGGCTTATTAATGCACTTTAGGCTATTAATTGAAATCAGTTCCTCAGCTGTTTATGGAGAAACACCTTCCCAATATCATGTTCTGTCCTACATACTGGACATGCCAAGTTGAGTAAGCATCGGTTTTAAGGAATTTATTGTTTAAATGGAGAGATTGATAAGCAAACAGAAAGTGAACATATGGTGCCAGAGTACAATAACAAAGGGTGGGTAACAAAGAGGATGCCCTGGAAATGTAAAGCGGAAATAACTCTGCCTGAGGGAAGTAAGTATGGCGTGTCAGTATCTTGGAGAAGGTTATGTCTAAGCTGGGTCTTCTAGTATTAGTAGGAGTCCATTCAACAGAGAAGTATAGATAGTTCAGTAAGAAGATATAGAATGTGCAAAGGCACAGAGGCATGAAAGATTATGATTTGTGTGGTATGTTTGGGAGGATGGCAGTGAGAGGAAATTGTTGGGAAAGTGAACCTGAACCAGACTTTGCACTTTTTATGGTCTAAGAAATATGCATTTGTTCCCATAAGCCAACCTTTCCTAATTTTTGGTCATATAATTTCCACTTTCACATATTTGTACAATATCTGTACCAATGTTTACTTAACACTTTAAAAAATCAACTTTAACTCACTTCACTTAAAATAGTTTATCAGGCAATATTGGATTATTTTTAAAAGGATGGATATCACATATATGAATCAGAATAGTAGAACGAATACTTGCAAACTCATTATTCAGTATAAGAAGTAGAACGTTATTATCCAACTTAAGAATGAAAACATTTCATTGCTTTATTTGTATGATTCTTCCCTGTGTCATCTCCTTGTCTCCCCTAAAAGGTTAGTACAATCCTATACTTTGTATTCATTGTTCCCTTGCTTTTTGAAGAATTGTCTTATTTCATATGAATATATCCACTAACAGCATATTGTTTAGCTTAGTTTGGTTTTGAATTTTAGATTTTGATTTGTGGCAGCCTTGTGGAAAAAAAGATGGGTACAGGAGCAAGCCTGGAGGAAGGGACACCTTGCAGATGATTGTCAGAATTAGAATCTAGAAAAGACTATGTTTTGAAGCATTTAGATTAAGGAGGGGAGAGCGATTAAGCAGGGAAAGTGAAGAATGGCTATGATCTATTTCAAAGGCAGAATTGCTGAAATCAAGGAATTATTTTAAAGTAATATATTTTATTTAGTAAGAGCTCCTTTAGAAACTGCCCTTTATAATGTTTCTTATGGCAGAAATATGAAAGTGTTTGTTTAGTTTATTGACACAAATAGTTTGTATTTTGACCTTTGTTGTGCTAGTGGTTCCCTGTGTTTTCCAGGGAACAAAGAAAAGCAACTCATAGGTCTTCATCCTAGAAGATCTGCACGGTGACTTTTAAAGACTAGTAGGTAAAAGCCATCTTGTGTACTTTTGAAGAGTATTCAAGGTGTGGTATTTTATGATCCAACTAGGCAGCTGAACCAATATGCAGATCTTGGTTTTTTAACTATAAAACAAGTCTTTCTCCCTAGGCCATGTCTTGAATTTGTTTTTTAAGCTCACCACACCCAGCTTTTCCCCATATTTAGTTTTAAACAAAAATCTCACCATATTTCTGTAATTAATCTGTACAATATTGCTACTGTTTTCAGAGTAACTTTGGAAAGCCCCAACACTTTGGGCAATATCTGCAAAATGCAGTTAATTTAATGCTATCTACATTAAGGGAGATTTTAAACTTTAAAACAAGAGACTGAATTAGCCAGTTTTATTGAGACTAGAGCAATTAACTTGTAATTTATGGTTGGCTCAAAAAGGTCACTCACTAGAAGTGGGTGTCTGGGTACTCCCCAAGTCCTCAAGCTGACCTGGATTGGGCAATTTGAGCAAAGCAGAATGGTTTGGAAGAAGCATTCTCCAGCCAAGAGGACACTCATGTTATTGCCAATTAGACTTGGAAACTGGTTCAACTTGCTGGGTCAAAAACAGCTAGACAGCAGGAGTTTAAAAAATACAAAATGATCACTTGTGAAAATGCAGGTGGAATACAATAAATGTCAGGTTAATTTAAGCCATCTTTGGAGAGTCAATACTCTTCTCACTTCCCAAAATCATTATTTAATTGAGCAATTTCTTTAGTTCAAACCAGACTGGTTGTTGAACAAACTGTCTTACAGACTAGGAAACCCAGTCGCTAGGAGATAAAATGTCTAGGATAAATTAGCATCATTCAGCAGTAGTGGGATTCAAACAGGCCCCAGTGGTTCTGCATATCATCACTTGGCTGTAGGCCTCTTAGACTATTTAATTCCATTAAACTAACATTTATTTAGTGCCTATTATGTAAAAGTTCTGTACTCAGCACCCTGATAATGCCACAATGCTTTCCTAAGGGACTGGGCAATTTGGGGAAATGTCAAACAGTTTATAACAGGGTCCTCTATCTATTCATCTCCCCCAAAGCTGAACTGATTGGAAAAAGGAGGGAGGGTGTGGGTCACTGTGATCAGAGAACTTGATGGTTGTGACTCCGTTGTCCCATTCTCCCCCGTGGAAATTTTCAAAAACTTGGGGTGGGGAGCCTAGTGAAGAAAGGGATTTGGTGGTTTGAAGGATTTTAAAAAATGAGATCTTAGCATCTATTATTTGATCCTAGATCTATGACCTAATCCTAACAAGACATAATGCATTCGGGATTTAGTGGCCACTTTTATGGGTTGGCACATATTTCTTCTGCATCCCTATTCACCCAGCCATTAATTTTATTTTAATATATACTTGTACTCTGGCATTTTCTCCTCTGAATATTTTATTTGTATTTTAAAATTTTTTAACCTCCCGATGATTGATGGGGAGGAGGGGAAGGACAAGACACGAAGCAGACAGATAAGCTGACAAAAATGACAAAAAAACCATTTTAATGTTTAAATCAGAACAGAAAGCTGTTTATGAGTTGTGATCTATTGTTTGGTACTGAAAAGTAACAGAGGCATAATTAAATCTTTTACCCAATGCTTTATCCAGAGAGATCTTTTCAGAAATTTGGGCAGTATTTATCTTATAAAAGCAACCCTGTTTTTTTTTTTTTATGGAAGTCATTTATATGACTTCTATGATTTATATGACTGGTCATTTATATGATTGTTTAGCTTAGTTTGGTTTTGAATTTTATTATAACCATGATATCTGGACCTAAGGTCCCAAATTGAACCTCTCAATATCCATGGCATTGCAAGCATGACTATGCATGCAGTGGGGAAAATAATATAATGTATTTGCATAGGTTTTTTTTTCCTTTTTAAAGCCCTTTCACATCTACTAGTACATGAAATTGTGCCACTTACTAAAATTCATTGTTAATTTCATTTTTCTAATGAATATTTGGCCACCATCCTGTAGACCAGGTTATAGATGCTTCACCTATTACCTGAGGGTTTTGTTTGTGTATTTGTTGAGCTAACTTTTTAACTAAAAATTTTAAGGTCAAAAAGTACATTTGGTGGTCTTTTTATTGGGAGCCCAGACTGTGAGAAACTCTTCTAGAGTCCTCTCTTAAAATCCAGATACTCTTTTGAAGGATTATGTAACTAAGTAATAGCTTAAAAGGTAATAGTTAATATCTTGGCATGTATTAGTTGGCAGTTGTTGAAAAGGAGAGGAATTTTAGGTGGTAAAGTAAATTACCTGGAAAGGGAGGATGCCTCTGGAGGAGGGGGAGCATTAACCACGACTACTAGGAACAAACTCCACCTCTCCAACTACAACTGTGACCTCATCTCTCACTAACCTTCCCCATAAAACTGCTTAGTCACCTCTGGTGGCAAATAAAATCTGTCTCTAGACTCTAAGTTATTTGGGGGGATGAACCCTTGTCCCTCACCATTGCTTTCCAGCCTGTCTTAGCATACAGTAGAGAATCAGGAAATATATGTAGAATAAATGAAAACTTTAATCCATAATTTGATGCCTAGTTGTAATATTTAAGCTTCTCTCTTGTGCTATCTTTGTTTTCAAAAGGAATAATGCTGGAGCATCCCAGAAATCGAAATGTTTATCTTTGTCTTAACCTCTAGAAAGGAATCCCATTTTTCTGTGGGATAATAAAAATAATAGACAACACTTACTGAATGCTTATTGTGTCCTGGGCACTGTCCCATCATTTTATACAGTCCCTCACTACCAGCCCATTTTACAAATAAAGAAAACATGGCAGATAATTTAAGTCTACTTGCTTATAAGTTTCCTCTCTTAGTGTTAAAAAAGACAAAGGTGCTGAATGGCGATGACAAAAAAAGTCCCTTCTATTTGTTTTTAATTAAACTTCATTGTAGACTCAACAAAAATTAAATGCAAACAGAAAGAGAAAAAAAGAGGAATTCATCCCTCAGAAGCCCATCACAGTGCCTAAGTTTATCAATGCATAACAGTCTATTTAGTTCATTCCTACGTGGATGTTTATGTTGGAGCTACATTCACAGTTAAATACGTCGTATTGTGGAGGAGTTAAGATAGCGCAAAACTATGTCCACCAGGTGGCACTCATCCCTCTAGATGAGGGGCAGAAGTTGAGGGGGAAACACTTCTGATTGTGTTGTCAGCACCCTTGGCAAAAAGATTCAAGTACTGACCTTTAGTTTCCTGGGCCTACAGCTTTTTATCCAGGGTGAGTTGAGGAGCTGTCAGACACCCACAAGTGCATCCTGCCTATTTTGCTATAAAGGAGAGGAAGTTCTCAGCTGCATAGCAGTACGGTGTAGTTGATGGATGTAGGGTTCTGTTTCAAATCCAAATTCAAATACAGGTTTCTTCAAATCCTAGGCCTACCAGTCACTAGTTGTATGACTTGGGCAAGTTACTTAACCTTTCTGTGCTCCAAGATCCTCATGTGTGAAATGGGGACAATCACTATACCTACTTCATTTTCAATTGCCTGGTTTAACAGTCCTCTCTGCTCACAGAGGGCCCAGATAAATGTTCTATGAAATGGAATTAATTATGTGACCCTTTAGTAGCTGGGCATTAAAATGCAATTAAAATTTTACTTGGCTCAGAATATATGATCAAAGAGATGAACTTGAGTTTCAGGCTTTTTTGTTGTTATTGTTTTTTTATTTTCTAGAGATGGGGGTCTCACTCTGTTACCTGGGCTAGACTGCAGTGGCACAATCATAGCTCACTGTAGCCTTGAACTCCTGGGCTCAAGTGATCCTCCCACCTCAGCCTCCCAAGTAGCCAGAACTATAAGCATGAACCACCACACATGGCTAATTTTTATTTTTTGTAGAGATGGGGTCTTGCTATGTTGCCCAGGCTGGTCTTGAACTCCTGGCCTCAAGTGATCTTCCCACCTCAGCCTCCCAAATTGCTGGGATTATAGGCATGAACCACTGCACCCTACCAAGTTTCAGTTTTAAATGGTAAAGTAAAGCTATGACTATTTACTAGATGTAGATTACTCATAAGAGCAAGAAATATTGATTTAGCCTCTCCAGTGAGCCAGTTTAGTCACTTCTCTAGGTGCTTTTGCTGCAAAGATGAGCAAGACAGGTCCTATCCCCACTCCCATTAAGCATATAATGTAGCAGGGAAGATAAATAAATAATGACATAAAAGTAAACAATTACAAATGTACAAAGGAATGTAAAGTAGATGGACCTAACCTAGTATGGGGGGTTAGGGAAGGCTTCCAAGAGGAAGTGGTTGTAGAGAATCAGGTAATGAAGCAAAAAGAAAGTGGGTAAGCATTCCAGGCAAAAGAACTGGCATTTGCACAGGTCTTAAAGTGGAAAAAAGCCTGCTAAAATCAAATACCTGAGAAAAGTCCAGTGTACCTGAAGGGGAGAAAAAGTGGGACAGAGAGGCTGGCAGATGGAGAGGTTACTTACTGGGCAGGAGGAAGTATTAAAGGGTTTTAAATGGAAAAGTGACATCAGATGCTGTTACTCTAAGAACTGCACTTTTCAAGAGGTCATTATGCAACTTGGGAGGCTGCGGTGGGAGTATAGCTTGAGGCCAGGAGTTCAAGACCAGCCTGGGCAACATGATGAGAACCTATCTCCACAATTTTTTTTTAAATTAGCTGGGTGTGGTGCCACATGCCTGTAGTCCCAGCTATTTGGGGTGGGGGGCTGAAGTGAGAGGATCGTTTGAGCCCAGATGTTTGAGGCTGCAATGAGTTATCGTCATGCCACTGCATTTCAGCCTGGGTGACAGAATGAGACCCTGTCTCTAAAAACATTAAAAGAAAAGATCATTATGACTGAAATGAGGAGATAAAGAGGCTAGTTTGGTGAGGTAAGACTGTATTGAGAGCGTCCAAGGCAAAACCTTTTGTATTATTTCAGCCTGATTATGATGGTAGCCTGAACCAGTGTGGCAGGAAGTAAATGGCTTTGAGAGACTCTTAAGGCATGTGGACTTGACAAGATTTGTTGATTAGATGTGTGGAAGGGAGGAATCTAGGTATCTGACTTAAACAAGAGTGTTGATGGTATTACCATTTCCCAAGACCCAGAGAACATTGGAGAAATAGCAGTTTTGGAAATTTAAGTTAATGTGCTCATTTCAGGATAGGATGAGTTTGAAGCCAAAGACATATTCAAGAGAAACTGTTAAGAAAGTACTTCTATGTATGGAGCTCGAAAGGAGACTGGGGTTGTTTCAGTAGATTTAGGAGTTGTCACCATAGCTATAAATTGAAGCATGATGAGACCTTCTAGGGAGAAAGTGAAGAGTGAGAAAAGAAGATGTCCTGGGTCACAACTCTAGGGAACCTCACCATTTTCTACATTAGTAGAGATGAGGGATCAATACTCAGTAATGAAAACAGAAAGAATAGTCAGAGGTGCAAGAGCAAAATCAGAAGGCTCAGTGCCCTCCCCCAAAAATAATAAAGAAAGAGGAAGTGGTCAATGGTATTGAAAGCTCCTGAAAAGTCAAAGATGATGAGAACTAAAACATATTCTTGGTCTTGGGGACAAGGAGGCCATTGGTGACCTTAGCAAGATCAGTTTCTACGGAACACTAAAGGCAGAAGCCAGATTGCAATGAGTTGAAAGGCTAAATGTAACGTGAGAAAATGATGATGATAAATGCTGAATATAGTTGGATTCATTCACTGACACATTTTTATTGTGTGTCTGCTCTGTGCCAGATGCTCTGCTACATACTGGATTTGATATGGTTAGGCTTTGTGTCCCCACCCAAATCTCATCTTAAATTGCAATCCCCAGGTGTTGAGGGAGAGACCTGGAGGGAGGTGATTGGATTGTGGGAGTGGTTTCCCCCATGCTGTTCTCGTGATAGTGAGGGAGTTCTCATGAGACCTGATGGTTTTATAAATGGCAATTTCCCCTGGGCTTTTCACTCCTCTCTCTCCTGCTGCCTTGTGAAGAAGGTGCCTGCTTCCCCTTCCGCCATGACTGTAGGTTTCCTGAGGCTTCCCCAGCCAGGTGGAACTGTGAGTCAATTAAACTTCTTTCCTTTATGAATTACCCAGTCTCGGGTAGTATCTTTTTAGCAATGTGAAAATGGATAATACAGAGTTCTTCTGGGTGGATGTCATAGAAACAATACTGGGACAAGGTAATTTCGGATATTAATGAGAGTGGTTTAAGTGATGGCCACAGGATCTTAGCTAGATAGAGAGAAAAGTGAAGGGATCAGGGACTGACGAGTATTAGACAATAGAGTGAGGAAGCTACTGGAGGTGTCAATAAACTTAAAGAACCAGAACTCCTGGAGTAATTGCTACAACCATGGAATAGGAGGTTGTGTCCAGAGACTAAGATTTCTGAGTTCTTGATGTGAAATGTTGATGTGGCTCTAAGAATGGGTGGCTGAAATGAAGGAGAAATGATGACGCGGCAACCAGTTATCTCTTAAAATGCAAGTCTGGATATGTCATGCTTACATATAAAACTTTCCAGTTGCTCTGTGGAAAAAGATTTTTTAAATCCTTAACATGGTCTATAACGCCTGCTCATTCCTTCTGGCCTCGCCTCATGATGCTTCTTTCCAGTCACTGGTCTTTTCAAGGGCTGTTTTCTTGGCCTAAAATACTAACGCCCTCACCTAGCACAAAAGCTTTATCAAGTTAACCCCTACTCAACCTTCAGTCTTTAGGTATCAGCTTAATGTCACTGCCTCAAAAAGAGCCTCCTTTTCCCTCAGAGTGGCTCCATGAACTTTTCCTTCACAGCAATCATTATAAGTTATTTGTGTTTGCGTGATTTTTAAAAAAATATTTTTGTGTTTCTCCCACAAATGTATAAGCCCCAGAAGAGTAGCAGTTATGTAGGTTTTGCTATTTGTTATTTTCCAACAACTAGCACTGTACCTAGCACATAGTAGGTGCCTAATAAATAATTGTTAAATGAATGGACAAATAAAGGGGTTAAGCAATTTGCCCAAAGTCATTAATTGAACCTACTAAAAGTAACATTAATATTTATATTAATATTTATAAAATATATTCATTAAACTTTATGCTTCTGTGACATTTTTCATGTATGTCATAATGGGTGAAGGACACGAACAGATACAACAGGTAGTGAAGAAGACAAAAATTTAAAGAGATGGTGATAGAAAACAGGAAGGAACACATCTTGGAGGTTTGGAGGTTTGCTACGCCCTGAAGTCTCCCCTGGGGTTTCTGCCACGGAATGAGTGTTGTGCCAGAGCCAGATGGCCTCTTCCACAATTACAAGAGGCCTTATTCTATTCCGGTCTCTCCTTCTGCCTGACCATTGTGGAAACTCTAACCACATGCAAGCCTGTACACAAGCAGTGAGTGCAGAGCAACCCCTGCACTTTCTGAGTATTGGCTGCCAGACTAAGTGAAGAGAAGGTCAGTTTCTCAGCAGGCCCGAGCCTGTCTCAAGTCTAGACCTGCCCATCTCTTCTGTGAGTATATTGAACATTCATTGGTATCAAGATGGCTTAACCTACTAGCTGAGGATTTTGTGTGTATTTTCTTGTAACCCTATGGCCTTTCTTCCATTTTGCAGCTAGACGATGGGCCATCCACTGGCTCAGAGAAAAAAAAGAAGTGTTTCTCTGACTTGAGTTCAAATATATAAAGCCTACAGGGAACAAGGCATTCTCAGGAGAAGTTAGTAGATTTGAGAGGATACGCAATGACGCAGGAACAAGATTTCCCACTGCAAAGGATCATTTGATGGGTCAAGAGTAGTAAGTGTCCCTGACTATCAGAGGGGAAATAAAAACCATGAGCTGCTGGTTTGTTTTGGCTGGGAGACAACAGTAATCTCAGGAGGGAAGTAGAGATTGCTGCCCCTAGTTGCACAGAGAGCTTGAAGAGGCTTCAAGATGTCAGAATAGAAATGGCTATGGGGTGTGGCTATGGAGTTTGTCTAGATGCATGGGCCTGAGGCTGCCTCACAGAGTGCCCCCAGCCCAACTTGATGTGCATCTAGGGAATGATTCCTGTATGCTCATGAAGAACACAGAATTGCTGAAGGCCCTTGGATAGCCCCTCAAACCCCACCCCAGGCCCAGTGACATGCTGGGGCCTCAGGAAGAACTTTGTCAGCAAGGACAGTCACTGGACCAGAAGGAGCCCTTTGGATGGGTGCAAGGCCCATCCAAGCAGCAGTCTGAGTAGTTCAATCCCTGCAGGCCAATGGGACAACAGATCTCAGTAGATGCCAACTTGGATACCTGTCTATTTTTCCTAGCATTTGATCCCCTCAAACTTAGGCCTGACACCATGGAAAAAGAGAGAGGGAGGTCTTTAAATTGCCTAGGATTACATTTCTGCCACTCAGATGAATCTAAACCTGATATGAATTGTAGACATTCACTATTTTCTGTATTAAAGAAATGCACCTTTTTAAAATTAGAAATGGACTCATATTTCTTGCCCACTTGAGTCTGTGGACAGAGATTAACATTCTACACACATATTGCTAGTTATTTTTTCCTGCATTCATGTCTGGTCTCCAGAGCTAGACTGCAAGATATTCAAGGCTCCAGAGTAGCCCTCTTTTCTTTCTACTAAGCACTTTGTACATAACAAGACACATTTTGAGAGAAATCCTATGGAATAGGATGTGAATAATTGTTTTGTTTATACATTATTAACTAGAACATCAGTTCAAGGGTTTCTCAGCTCTGATTTCATTTATAAGTTGTACAGTTTTCCCCAAGTATTCATTTTTCACATTAAGAAATAAATATTGTCAAGCACCACCACAGGCAAGGTCTTACTTCTACCTCTTCCTGGGGATGTAGTCCTTGTCCTCAGGGAACTTGTTATTGGAGATGTAGACAAGTTGTAGCTGATTGCATTGAACATGCATTGAGTTTAGGACAACACCTAGGAGGTTTTGTTGCCTGTTTTGAAATACATGGATAATCTGATTGCAAAAGTGATAAATGTTTAATTGAGAACACTTGCAAAATATAGAAGTAAACAATTGTACCCATAAACTCAGAACCTGTAAAATTAGAAATAATCAATGTTAACATTTTGGTGTATATCATTATATATGCCTCATAAAAGTGTATCATGATCTATTGGAATTTGTTATTTAAAGAAATCCCTGATATACTACAGTGAATGAGTGTGTGTGTGTCTGTGTGTGTGATTTTCATTTTCTCCTGAAAATGGGAAGATGTTATTATTAGAGTTTCACTGACCAAGTGTATACCATGACCAAATATAGTACACAGGTGAAATAAACTTGAAAATGTATTGCAATTAAAAAAGGTTGAAATTCAGGTTTCTGGCAGCTGGGTAGGGAGGGAAACCAAATAAAATATATACTTGAATCTGATCCGTGATATATCCATGAAAATAGTTCTGTTGATTAACTCAAATGTCACATCCTCACTGACGATCTCCTATAGTCCCTCAGGCAGAATTAGCCAGCTAGTCCTTCAGTGCTCCCAAATATTTGTGCTATCTGTATACAATAATATATTCATTATTTTAATAAAATAATATATATTATTATTTATATGTAATATTTAAGGGAAGAAGAGTAGTGTTATGATTAAGAACATAGATTTTGGATTTAAACAGCTGAAGTCTAATTCCAGCCCTGCCAGCCAGCTATGTGACCTTGGACAAATTATTTAGCCTTTCTGAACCCATTTCCTCATCTGTGAAACAGTAATAATAACACCTACTTTATGGAGTTGCTGTGAGAGCAAAGTAGGACAGTATTTGTAAAGTGCTGACCCACCCCAAGACAGAAAGTCAATAAATAATAAGTGTAATTACTATTATTACAGAACTTGCCATATTGCATTTCAATGACGGGTTTAGGAATGACTCCCTCTTTGGACTGTGAACACCTAGACAGCAGGCCCTGGATCCTGGCCTCTGTCTTTCCTAGCAGAGTAGCTCATAAACAGTAAGCAATCACAGGTGTTTGCTGGAAGATACAATAGCTATGGAAAGTGCCAGACCAAATGCTTCCCCCACCCCCAGAGTCTTGTATAATTACTGAGCTATCTAGAACAAATTCTAACAGCAAAATATTAATTCTTACAATCAACATTATAGAAGGTCATTTCTATTTTTAACACAAACTAATATTTACTGAGCACTTAATATGTGCCAGGTTTTGTTCCAGGGCTTTACGTTTTATTTAAACTACTTTATGAAGTGGATATTGCATCTTCTTTAACAGATTGGGATACTGAGGCCCAGAGAGGGTGCTGTGAACTCTGTGATTCCTGAGATTTTGTTAAGGTAAAGTCCTGGCTCTTTGTCCTTTCCTTTAACTACCGAGGCAGGAGGTGAGGTAGAAAAGCAACCATATATTTTTTTTTTTCTTTAGTAAAACATTTTGCAGAGCATCTCTCTTTTCTTTTCTGGAAAAACAAACAAAAGAAATTCTTGCTTCACTCATAATTTTACCCCTGCTGAGGGTTCCAAATGAGGTCCCTGGAAGGATTTCTCTCCTGCAGAGCCCTGTTCAAGGATGCAAATGAAGGTTACTGTACTCCACTGAGAGTCAGAACCATCCCAAGCAGTAACTATTTTTATTGAGAGGGATTTGAAATAGGCTTTTAATACAACATTAAAAATACATAATTCAAATCTCATCTGTGTGCATGAAAACAATGAAATCACCTGTGAAACCATAACATTATCAATAAGCTAAATAAAATTGAGAGTAGAGGACATTAAGAATTTAAAAACAAACTTGCTCTCAAAGAGAATATTTTATCCCATATGATCCATACTGCTATGTTCATGACATTTATCAATTATTGTCCATGTTGCCTACATGAGTGAAAGATATGTTTTTAAAATTAGAAAAGCCTTGGAATTACTTCAAGTAAGCTGATTGGAATCCTTCCAGATTCCACATGTGTTCCTATTGACCAGAAGTCTTCTGCCTTGGGAAAGTATTTTTATTTCCCTCTGCCGTTCTAGATGTCCTACAAAGACCTGTATTAGGATGGGAAGCATTTTCTGAATCCCAAAGGAGTCCCCCCATTTGCCTGAAAGAGACAGCTAAACCATGTGTTGAGAGAGGCCATTCAAGAAGATGATGTCTCAGAATAATTTTTTCAAACATTCTATGCATACTTTCTTCATTCAGAGTAACAGTTGCCATATGATAGATAAAATGTGGTTCTAAAGCGCATCATATCATTTTTCTTCTTCATACATCACAAAAGATGCAAAAAAATAAAAATGTCCCGTTTAAGAGAACAACTGCCTGGTACCTAGCCTATTTATTCTTTAAAATGTTTTCTTAAAGTTTACCTCCAGAATTAGACACAGAAACAGCAGAGGCCACTACACTGGCTTGAGATCAATTGCTACTCTTCTCTGGGAAAGTAAATTAATTAAAAGGAAGTGGGGAAAGACTAGGTCCTTGAAATATGAATTCTGCCTGATTTTCACTAACATTCCTGTAACAATAATAACCTAAAACACATTAAGTAGAAAAACTACTTCCATCTAGTGAAAGTATCTTCTGATGTACTAATAAGAATTATATGTGAACTATATGGTAAATTTTTAGGCCAATTAATCATAAAGGTAGTTGGTGCCTGCTCAGGAGTGCTTTCTGTAGTAAAACAGGCAGCCCTTCCCTGGAAAAATACTTTGAGAAATACTAACATTGTGGAACTTTGTTCTGGAACTGAGAACAGGATTTCTCCGGCTGCAACTTTTGGAGGGAGATGATGTTTGAAGGGACGAAATGAGAAGTGGAGTGCACTAAGAATGGCAGGTAATGCCTTCATTACACGCAAATAGTAGGCACTCATTAGATGTTTGATGAATTACATGTTGGAGAATGTTACTAGCGTTGTGTTTAGAGCCATTAGGGATACTCCAGAAGTAATGAGAATCATTTAATTCCCTTAGCTGTGAGTTTATCACTTCTTTCCTTCATTCATTTCATAAGTATTTATTGATGCTTACCATGTGCCAGGGTCCATCCCTGGGGCTGAGAATACACTATGAACGTCACGGACACTGGAGCTTATGGAGCCGACAGGCTAAAAGGTAGAGAGAAACAGGCCAGGCGTGGTGGCTCATGCCTGTAATCCCAGCAATTTGGGAGGCTGAGGCAGGTGGATCACTTGAGATCAGGAGTTCGAGACCAGCTCGGCCTATGTGGTGAAACCCTGTCTCTACCAAAAATATAAAAAATTAGCTGGGCGTGGTGGCAGGTGCCTGTAATCCCAGATACTCAGAAAGCTGAGGCAGGAGAATTGCTTGAACCTGGGAGGTGGAGGTTGCAGTAAGCCAAGATGGCGCCATGCACTCCACCCCGGGCAACACAGCAAGACTCCGTCTCAAAAAAAAAAAAAAAAAAAAAGGTAGAGAGGAGCAAAACAAAACAAAAAAGCACAATCATAAGCTAGTCAATAACCACAAGTAGTACAAATCTTCCTGGCTCTGGTCCTGTCTGCACTGAGATTAGGACCTGCACAATGTGAGAAGCAACAAAGAAGGCTTCTCTTGGGAGCTCTGCCCACCCTGTTCCCTGTCTTATGGGGCTGACCGGCCCAACCTTCAACATCTGAAGCACTCAGTTAAAAAATGAGATTTAGAAGAGGACCACAGCACTGGGTGCGGGAGGGGGGGGACCTGTCAGGATAATAAACACATGTTTTATGCTTCTGTTGAAAATACTCATTTAGGTGTATTAGGTTTTAGTTATACTTGGCCATATCTGCTATCAGAATAATCAGACAATTTAAAGTGAATTGGTTTCCTTGAGAACAATGGATTTATGACTGGTTCTGTAGAACAGTGATGATCATACAGTTCTCCTGACTTTCCTCTCTCCCCTCCTCCCCACCCTTTATCATCACTCTCCTCTGTTTTGCCTTATATAGTTTAGTGAAAAAACAAAGTCTGGAGTCGACATTTTCAATAAGCTTAGCCCATCTTATTCTCAGATATAGATAACTTCCACTTCATTTGTGGTTCTGTTAAAAGGGTGCCGTATTCCTCTAATTTTCTATGTTAAAGTGTAATAATTTGCTTTTGATATATAAGGTTTCTTTACCATGCAGAAGGAGGAAGCTTAAGTTTGGCTGCATCTATTCCCTGTGGTCCTGGTTAGGCATGCCCTTTGGGTATTATATATGTATGTTGAGGGAAGTCCCCGAGCAAGGGATTGCTTGAAACACTCTGAAGAGGTTTAAAATTAATTTTAACATTGCACCACATATTGGAGGACATAGGACATACTTTTTTTTTTTTTTTTTTGAGACAGGATCTCACTCTTTCACCCAGGCTGGAGTGCAGTGGCACCATCTCAGCTCACTGCAACCTCTGCCACCCCAAGATGATTAAAATCAGATGCCTAAAATCTGACTTTAGGCATTAGATTTTAAATGTCTGTGCTGTTGAACTGGAATTCACACTTAGGATTCAGATGTTTGGATATTATTGCACAGCCTGTGTTGAACCTATTTTGCAAGTGGATCCATTGTTGCATGTGTGAACCATTGTTACCTCTCCTATTAACCGGTGTGACCAGATCCTGAAGAACATGGGTATGGGATGGAGCCAATCTGGCAGCACTTGGGGATGGCTTGCTTATTCCTTGTTACTCCCCTGGGCAGGATCATGCAGAGTCGGATGATAGCAGAAAAGCCAGGCAGCTGTAGGAGAGCAATGCCAGGTGGCCCAGTTCCATGCCAGACAGGCGGAAGAAATGCTGTTGGAGCACACTAGGGTACAACTCCAGGCCACACAACGTAGGCGTGGCAGGCCGGAGAACACCAAGAGCAACAGACTTCTCAATTAGAAAGGAGGTGGCTCTTGTGAAAGAAATGTGTCTGTTTGTCTGTGAATTAATAATCAGGACAGAATGTCAGTTGTTACAATCAAAAGCTGTGGCTCAAATTAAAGAAAGGCCTTCACACAATGTAGAAAGAAGACTTTTGACACTTACTAAAGTGCATTGTTAACATGGCCCCTAGAATAAAATACCTCTGCTGGGCACAGTGGCTCATGCCTCTAATCCCAGCACTTTAGGAGGCCGAGGCAGGTGGATCACCTGAGGTCAGGATTTCGAGACCAGCCTGGCCAACATGGTGAAACCTCGTCTCTACTAAAAATACAAAAAAATTAGCTGGGCATGGTGAGAGGCGTCTGTAATCCCATCTACTCGGGAGGCTGAGGCAGGAGAACTGCTTGAACCTGGGAGGCGGAGGTTGCAGTGAGCCGAGATGGCACCATTGCACTCCGGGCTTGGGTGACAGAGTGAGACTCTGTCTCAAAACAAAACAAAATAAAAGAATAAAATGTCTATACACTCTGAAGAGATTTAAAATTAATTTTAACATTGCACCAAATATTGGAGGACATAAGATGTATTCACCTTTTTATAAAATTTTTTTGAGACAGGGTCTCACTTGTTTGCCCAGGCTGGAATGCAGTGGCACAATCTCAGCTCACTGCAACCTCTGCCTCCCTGGTTCAAGTTATCCTTCCACCTCAGCCCTGCAAGTAGCTAGGACCAAAGATGCTCACCACCATGCCTGGCTAATGTTTGTATATTTTGTAGAGATGGGGTTTCACCATGTTCCCCAGGCTGGTCTCGAGCTCCTGAGCTCAAGCGATCTGCCCACCTCAGCCTCCCAAAGTGCTGGGATTACACCGTGCCTGGCCATATTCACCTTTTAACTGCATATTCCTGTCATTTTTTAAAATTCCAGCGTTCTGTGATACAGTAGTTATCTAATGATTGTCTGGATGGTTCTGTCTCAGGGTCTCTCATGAGCCTGCATTTGAGCCCTGGACTGGGGGTGCAGTCATTTGAACGTTTGTCTGAATGCTTCTGAGATGGCTCACTTAACACGGCTGCTGGCAGGAGGCCTCAGTTCCGTACCACATGAACGTCTCCAAGGGTTGCCTTAGTATCTTCACAACATGGCGTCTGGTTTTTCCCAGAACAAGTGATCCAAAGAGCCAGAAGCCACCATGTGTTTTATTACTAATCATGAAGACACACACACACACCACCACTTCTGTCATATTTTAGAAGTGAGTCATTAGGCTAGCCCACACTTAAGTGATGGGTGGGAATTAGGTTCTATCTTTTGGAGGAAAAACTGTTGAAGAATTTGTGGACACATTTTAAAACCTCCACATATAGTATTCATCTAGGATGTCAGGAAATGTGGTGTAGTCAAGACTGGGTACAAGAATTATGAGACCCAGAGCAAAATAAAAACGCAGGACCCCTCTTTAAGAGTTTCCAGACAGTGGTAACAGAGCATTAATCCAAGTGTGGGTCTTTTGAGGCATTGGGCCCCGTGCTATGGCCCAGGTGCCACCCCAAGAAGCCAGCTCTAGCTATAGTGGTTAAGGGCATGAGCTTTGAAATTACGAGTTTGAGTCCCAGCATACAAATTTGAGTCCCACTGCATACAAATTATGTAACTCTTGGGAAATTAATCTAGCTGAAACTCAACTTCCATTTCTCTAAAAGGGGTATGATTAATTTATCTATCACTTCGGATTCTTGTGAGCATTAAATGAAGTCAGTATTGTGCCTGGCTTATTATTGTAGGCATTTAATAACTTGTCAATATTATAATGATTACCTTTAAGGAGCTTTAGTGGTAGAGAAGAAAAAAGGATTGAACTGATAACTCAGATTGGTGATTTAGCGGATTATCATAAACTCCTTAAAGTGGGAATAGCACCTTGTGCTCTCTGCAGTACCAACATCTCTTTGAATTAGCATGGATTCATGCATTCATGAATTTGAAAAATATGGCCTGCAAGCTACAACGAAAATGGCTAAGAAGATGTATTTCAGAAATGGCACATTTTCAGCATTCTAAAAGGTAGGACCAAAGCGACTATTTTAAGAAAATCCACATAAGAAGATCAATATTTCATTGGCTGTTGTAATATTAGGCATTTATCAGCACATTAGAAATGGTTGCCATGAACTACTTTCTATTAATAACTTGGTTGAGACTGAATATTAAACGGGAAACTTCTCATAGCAATATTCTCTTTGGGTGGCTCAAACAACAAAAACAAAAACTATTCCTGGATGAAGTCTTCATACTGGCAAAATTATTTCATGAAACACTTTATAGCTTCAGACAGGCCTCTGCTTCCTTTCTTATGCTGCTGAGCACAGCTCAGTAAAAGCCAGCAACAATCCTATGTCATTTGTACAAACTCCTCAGCCACAGCTCAGGTATGCCAGGGCGGGCGCTCTAGCAATCCCACTTTGAAGGTTCTATTTCAAACCAGATAACTGGCCTTTTAAAAGTTGATTGTTTTCATAAGGACTTTCTTCTATTAAGCTCTTAACCAAAGCATATTGCTGGGCCAAGACATCTTTAATCATCTGGCAAAATCCCATGCACCAGCCCATGAAGTAGAGTCCATGGAACCCAGGAAGTATAGTATGGGCTTTGAATTACTACTGACCTGCTGGGAGAGTTAATGCAGGTTCCAAAGGTGCTGCACCTGCCTCTTCTGAAAAGATGGTCTCATCAAAGATTTGAGTAAGGAAAGCAGGCAGAGGTGCTGGTTATTTATCTGGATGAGCAGCCAAACAGGAAACATTAAGAAATATAGCAAGAGTTGGGTTCTTTTCACAAACACATTAACATCAGAAAAATAAACAAGCCAACTTAAGTGTGATTAGAGGTTTTTTTCCCCCTTAACTCTAGGCGGCGTTGTGTTCTTAGCAATAGTCTTCTTTTTCTCAAAGAACTTTATTTATTCCCCAATCCAAAATTAGTTCCTTAATTTGAAACAGCCATAAACAAACATTACTAAAGAAATCCCTTGGGCTCTTTTCTCCCACACCCTATCCCCCCACACACATTTTTTCTGCTGCTTTGTTTGTTCTCAGTTCTTTTTCCCTTTGTGCTGAACAGAAGGGCCTGCAGTGATTTGGCTTTCTGAAATCCCTTCATAAGTTTCTTGAAAGATATTTAAATTCCATTTTGACAGGAGAGAATTAAATTCACATTAATTTCCATCAATAATGAATTCAATCTAAACAAACTTCAGTAACATCAAATTACGGATTTTAGTTCTCTACTGGTTCCTAAGGTTGCTTGCAGCTCTCTAATTCTTTTATCGGCCTATTCTAGCCTACTGCTGTTCCTGGAGTATGAATGGAGCCTCTAATCAGAGCAGCTGTCCCAGCAACCTTGGAGAGATTCCCTTGCACCTTTTCCTCCACTACTCCTCTTCTCATTTTCTTCTTTATTTTCAATCTTTGCCAACCCCCTTTTTCCTCCCTGTCTTTCTTTGTTTCACCTCCATTTCCCACTCCATATCAATGAAGAATCCCATAGTGATTTGGCTTTCCTCTTCAAACCCATCCCAACATCATCTTCATAAAAGGGAATGTGCTGGTGATGTCCCTGGTTGCTCTGGCCTTTCCCCTGCTCTGCTGTCTATCACAGGGGACTGCATTTTCCAGTTCCCTTGCCCTCTGGCTTCCACATAGGCTGAACCAAAGGGAAGCATAAACAGAAGACTGGAGAGTGGGAAGAGGGAGGAAGCCAGGGAATTTCACCTCCTCTCTGCCTGTTTTGATGGTGTCTCTGGCAGTGGCTGCTTCTCCTCTATGATTTTAGCTGCTGGCGAACAGCCCCTCCCTTCATTGTCTCAGCATCTGTCAGGAATGCCCCGCACTGTGCTTCTGACTTCTCCTATCTTCCAGGCTTTGGTAACACCATCTTCTCCCTGAGTTTCTCCAGCCCTGGGGGAGTTAGTGGCTTCTGACTGTTGTTATTCTTTCTGTTACCCCACTTCTTAATTCCTGGGTTCTGCTTCTTCCATCACAGGTATGACAAGTTCTTGGCCAGGCATGGTGGTTCATGCCTGTAATCCCAGCAATCTGGGAGGCTGAGGCGGGAGGATTGCTCGAGCCCAAGAGTTTGAGACCAGCCTACGCAACAAAGTGAGACCCTGTCTCTACAAAAAACTAAAAAATTATCCAGGTGTGGTGGCGTACATCTGTAGTCCCAGCTACTTGGGAGGCTGAGGTGGGAGGATTGCTTGGGCCAAGGAGGTTGAGGCTGCAGTGGGCTGTGATTGTGCCATTGCACTCCAGCCTGGGCAACAGAGCGAGACCCTGTTTCAAAACCAAACCAAACCAAACCAAACAAACCAAAAACACCAAAAAACAAGTTCCTGCATTAAACCCGTTTGAGACACCTACAGTGGTTTCTGTTTTCTTAATTGGGCCCTGACCAAAATAGGGGGTTCAAGATTACAAAAACATCTCAGATAACAGTTTTCTAGAGCGGAACGCTGGACAGCATTACTTTATTAATTTGCAAGTCACTTTCCCTTTCACTCCCATCTGAGTGGGCACGTCCTGTCTGCTTCGCACCAATGCTTCTGTACTCCAGTAATGTGTTTTTCATCATCACATGTCCAATAATTTTGAATCTCACCTGATAGCAGCATCCCCTGGCTTATAAATGTGGGAAATATTTGCTATGGAGGAGTGATTTGTAGCATTTTGTGAGTCAAAGGCCTTTTGGGAGAATCTAAGGGATGGTCAAAATGCTTTCCGCAGAGAAAAATGCACACGTACCATGATTGTGAGTGAGCCTGTGTACATCTATGTGTGTTTATGTGGTGCATACACACGCAACCACACACACTTTGGCATAAAGCTTGTCAATCCCAGATTCAGAACCCTACCCCTACCATGTATGGTCCTTGGCCATATAATATTCTTCTATCCTCATTCAGGATGCCCTGGGTGGTGCCTATTATGTAACTACAGTTTTATAAATAACTTAATTTCTTCTAGTTTACCTCCTTTTAAGTGATGAATTAAACTTCAAAACATGAAGTCTATCAGACACTATTTTTGTGTCAGACACTTTGGACTCACCCTAAGGAAGATAGTTCCATGTTTTACTTGTGTAAAAAGATGTCTCTATAGTGATATTGAAGGATTCTGTATGTGAAACTGTAATTTCCTCCTGCTGTTTTAAGATATTCCTCTTTCTTATTGGCACCACATGAGATAAAGTTCGGTGACTGGGGCAGAGATTTATGAAGTGTTATTGTTGAATATATGTGTATGTTGCTTTCCTGTGGTGAAAGACCCATAACCCAAGACTTCCATTTTGGGATTGATTTGGGGCCTAGTGTAACATGTATGCTGTAATAAGCCATGGCAGATGCTGTCTATTTACTTCCTGCTGTCCCATGTGGGTTTCAGAGTGGATAATTTTGCTCATTCTTTTGGCCTTTGCTGTGGCTTGTCAAAAACTGGACTCATGTTCATAACTCTGAGAAGTGCTCAGCTGTGAAATAAGTACTGAAAAGATGAAATACAATTGATCCTGAGTCATTGTGATCATTCAAGCCCATGTAAGCAAGAAATAAGTATTTAAAGTGTCCCAATAAATCTTCTCTTTGAGCTTAAACATTTAGAAATTTAGAATACTTATAGACTGATTTCTGCAGGAAAATTAAGAAAAACATATGTGTTGGCTCTGAAGTAGAGATAGAAGTTATTATGAAACATTAGTGATAAGTTGAGTGGGGTCAGCCTAGTGCATCTGTTTCTGCAGAAGTGGGAATTCTTTAGCATCAAGGTATGAGAGTGTATAGCAGAAGTACAGGAGATGTCAATTAATCACTGTCTAGAAATAAAAAATCAGCTTTATTTTAAACAGTGTAGCTATTTGTTATATTTTTGCTTTTTACAACTATTATGCAAAAATTATTGGGGTTTGCTATAAGAAGATGGGGCAATCTTTCAAAGTGAGTGATAACAGCTATGAAGGAGCCATGAAAGAAGATACTGGAAACACTTGGTATTCATTCATTTGTGCACACATGCATACATGCATGCATGCAACAAGCATTATTGAGTGCCCACTATATTCCAGGACTTAGGTTACACACAGCATTGGAAAATAAATAGACATGATTCTGCCCTCAAGTTTGTCTCAGTGTAGTGAAAGAGACTGATAATTGAATAGGTAGTTTGATCATGGTGTGATATACTCCATGATGTAGGCAACAGAATTTTATCAGAGCACTGAATAAGTGCTCTTTTCTTGTTTGGGGGATCAGAAGACCTTTTCAGAGGAGGTAATGTTTTCTGTCTCAACTAAAAATACAAAAAAAAAATTAGCTGGGTATGATGGTACACACCTGTAATCCCAGCTACTCAGGAGGCTGAGGCAGGAGAATCGCATGAACCCCGGAGGCGGAGGTTGCAGTGAGCCGAGATCATGCCACTGCACTCCAGCGTGGGTGACACAGAGAGACCCCATCTCAAAAATAAATAATAAATAAATAAATAAATAAGAAAGAAAAAGAAAAAGAAGGCAGTAGGATGCCAAGTGTCAGAGGAGTCAAATGCTACGAGGACCCAAAACTGCCTTTAAGATGTGGCAACTGGTGGGGCGCGGTGGCTCATACCTGTAATCCCAGCAGTTTGGGAGGCTGAAGTGGGAGGATCACTTGAGCCCAGGAGTTCAAGACCAGGCTGGGCATAGGGAGACTTCCTCCCTACAAAAAATAAAATTAGCCGCCAGATATGGTGGCGTGTGCCTGTAGTCCCAGCTACTTGGGAAGCTGAGGCGGGAGGATAGCTTGATTCTGGGGTTGTACCACTGCACTGTACACAAAAAGCCTTGGTGACAGAGTGAGACCTCATCTCAAGAAAAAAAGAGAAAAAGAAAAAAGAAACGATGTGGCAACTGACAGATGATCACTGCAGACCTTGGCAAAATCAGTTTTAATGTAGTCATAAGAGCAAAGGACTGGGGTGTGAAAGTGAAGTGAGAAAGTAGACAGAAACCATATACTAAACTTTAAAAAACTTGACTGCTGGGTAGAGAGCTGTTAAGATACAGGCTTCTTTTTCAATAAACATACAAATTTCACTTTGTCACCCCTAAATTCTGATCAGATAGAGCCCCCTTCTCCCAGAAGATCATAGCTCAAATTTCTGGATACTTCCACCTACCAAACTGATTTCTTAAAACTTTACTTATTTATATTATAAAAGCAATCTTTTTTTCCCAAAAATATATTTATCATATAGTATACTATAAAGCGTCATCCAATACTTAAGACTTTGATATGCCCATCACACACTGAGGTTACTAATGAAGATAGAGTTCACCTGGACATCTCAGTGATAGGGGTAGGAGGGGGTATAATCTTTAAGTTCCAGAATTTATTTCAAAGGCAAGAAGTTATGGATAAACTATTGAACAGAAACCAGGTAGAACTATGTTGTTTGCAATAGCAACTAGCTTAGGAAACAGCTGGTTTGGAGTTTGAAGATTTCATATGTATTGGTTTGGGCTGCTATAATCAAAATACCATAGGCGGGGTGACTTAAACAATGTTTATTTCTCATGGTTTTGGAGACTGAGAAGTCCAAGATTAAGTCATTGACAGATCTGGTGTCCAGTGAGGGCTTGCTTCCTGGTTGGTAGGCAGCCACCTTCTTGCTATATCCTCACGTGGCTGAGAGAGTGAACGTTGGTTTTTCTCTTCTTATAAGGAAACTACTCCCATAATGGGGGTTCTACCTAATCACCTCCCAAAAGTCCTACCTTCTAATACCATCCCACTGGGGGTTAGTGTTTCAACATATGAATTTTGAGAGGACATAAACATGCAGTCCATAACACCATATATAAATCCTCACATATATGTAGTGGGCCAGCCATTTTTGAAGGCTCTAGCAGATACATGCACCACCCCCTCCCCCATCTCTATCAGCTCTACCTAAAATCTTGACTTTATTCTCTTTTTTGCATTAAGGCAAGCTCATCAAACTGGCCCAAGGATCTTGGATGCATCGCCCTTGGCAGATTGTGTTTCTTCTTTGAAATTCTCCTTTGAAGTGGCCCTCATTGCCAACCACCAAGCCTGCAATGGGGAGACTTCCCCCAGTACTCCTACCGATGCCTCCCACCCTGCCTACTACCTTGGACACATGACTTCATGATATGGAAAGAAGAATCTCTTCTGGAAAAGAGTGCAATAAAGAAATCCAAGGACCTGCACTCAAAGCAAATGTTCTCCGTGGGTGATTAGTATAAACCCTCATTCAGCATAAGTTGGTTATTAGATTTGCCAGTCTCTAACATGACCTAACGGGAAAAATCACCAAGTACTGAAATGTTCTGATGGAAGGGTATTAGAAAAAACCACTCAAGCAATATTTATTTATTTATGTTTTCAGTTGGGCCAATTCAGAAAAACAAAAATTTGCAGGCCACATATTTTGTCCAAGATGAAAATAGCTTTATTATTTTTTCCTGATTATAAAAATAATACTCATTTATTATTACAAAACTTGAAAGTTATTTGTATGAAAAGAAGTAAATATAGCTTGAAATCTGAAAGTTCATAGTGGGCCACAGTTTAAAAGGCAATTCAAGTAGTTTCTTTTTTATTTGATTGGCTAGAAAAGTGTTGATGAGTGACTTTTAGTTACTAAATTTTGAATATTTGAAATTCAATATTTAAATGTTTGAAAAAGAGGACCATAAAGGCCGTTTTCTAATCTTTTACTCAGAATTGAAATCCTGGATTGTGCTGTAGCCCTTGAGCCCCAGGTTGCACATTACTGATTTAAAAACACTTGGAACGACACGAGAGGTCAAGAGGGCTGGTGAGGCCTGGGGGAGCCTGGAAGCAGCATCAGGGTCCTCGTTGCCTTGGGACTGGGGGGACGTTACAAAGGAACAGGGAGTATATCCAAGAAGACAAAGACCTGAAGCTAGACCCTACCTTCTAGGAAGTCACAGACCATGACCGTCATGTTTACCATCTTGTTGTAGTGACAGGGCTAGCACAGGACTAAATAGATACTCAGTAAATACTTCTTGATTTAGGACAAATTTTATCTACTTCACTCTTTGGCCCTGGGGTAGTGGTGCCTGATTACAAGTCACTAGAATGGAAGAAGTCCTCAGGAATACTCAGTAAATACTTCTTGATGTAGGACAAATTTCATCTACTTCACTCTTTGGCCCTGGGGTAGTGGTGCCTGATCACAAGTCACTAGAATGGAAGAAGTCCTCAGGGTTGAGACTGTTATATGTCTGATAATCTAGAACAATTACAACACCCATCAAAGTTACCCAGTGGGACTAAAAGTATTTAGGCACCAAGGAACTTATGTACCAAAAATAAAGAGATTCTTCTTCCCCTGCCCAGGGTAAACCTTCAGGGTGATAGCTGCTTTTGACTGATAAAGATTTATAAGGCAAACTATAAAATTATAAAACATGATTTTCAATTTAATGAAACTGTGGACTTGAAGAAACATGCAGGTCTTTGAAGGAACCCCTCAGGGAGTAGATAAGAGTTTTGAAGAGACTAGGAACGAATGACTTTTTGAAGCAATTTATAGACCCAATGGCCCTGAGGGGAAAACGTTTGGGGCCTATGTGCTGTGTCAAGATTATCTCAGGTCCAGACTCAAGATCTATGGGAACTTTGTAGCACTCCCAGTCACTGAGAGGGGGGCTGGGGACAGATGAGGTTGGGGCCTGGCAAGAGGGCCCATAAGAATGTAAGACAAGCTTCTGCTCTCTTCTCTTACTCATATTGGCATGAATGGGTTTCAGGAAAAATACCCAGAGTATAGCATGTGTCTAATGGGAAGGATTATGCAGGCATCTTTATTTAGCAAAGGCCATGCTTGTCTTGGGGAGTTGGGTTGCTTGTCAACACCCTGACCTCCATGGTATGAGTCTTCCTCTGCATGAGATGGGCTGTGCTTTGGTGCTACTCTCTATAAACTTTTTCCAGCTTTATTCAAAGTTTAAGAACATCATTCCTGCAACTCCATCAGCAAGAACTGCTTTTGTCCTACCTTGCGCTCTGGAAAGTCTTTAATGAGATATCTGAAATTCTTGGCAGAGATTATAGGCTAACTTGATTTACCTAACATAATAATAACTCATGAAATTAGTTCCTCAATCTAACACTATTGAGTACTTTCTATGTTCTTAGGCTCTGAGAACACAATAGTGAACCAAACTCCACCCTCATGGAGTTTCTCATGTCGTACAGATGTCAAGATTGAGAATGCAGCTGAAATAATGGGCAACTAACCTTTTGCTTATATTTCTAATTTAAATTTTGGTTTATTCTGTCAATGGTCCCTAAACCTAGAGTTATGCCATTTTGGTTGTTAATACAATAGGATATTTTTGAGTTACACACAATTATCTTTCTCTACAGCATTTTCATATGCTAACACCTGTGATGAATGTATGCACCAGATCAAATATATGGATTTAGTTTTAGGGACTGAAGCAGAAACAGACTATTACGTCATATGTTTGCTAAATTACTTTTCATTTGGTATAGGTGGCCAATATTTTTTTTCCTTTGCCATAATATTTGCTTTTCCTTGCAGTACTCCTAGGGTCTCCCCAGCAATGAGGTGACAGCTCCCCAGTTATCATTAGAAAAATGAAAATGATTTTTTAAAAAGATTGGGAAAAAGTCTAGCCATTTTTCAGATTGATTTATTGTTTCACAGCTAGGTTTTGCCATCATAGTACTAACCTGCTGTAGCATGAGAAGAAATAAGAGACAACTATTTTACTAGTTGAAATGACAGAATGCTAAATTATAAAATGTCAAGGGAAAAAATTTAGGCAATTTAAATTTCCTGGCAATGGGTCTATAATTTATTTGTGGCTCAGAGTACTCTGAGCTGTAGAGAAATGCATTTTGTGGAGAAAAATTATACTTTTTCACTGCCTGATTTTAGTGCTCAAATTACATTTTTTTAAAATAAAGAATTGTTTTTGATTTTCAAATAGTCTAGTACAGTACCTAAAAGGGACCCTATTTGTGAGCTTTTCAAATTACTCTTTTTATCCTCAAATAGCTTTAGTAAATTTTCTCCCTGCCTGGGATAAGTTCCATCGGTCTTTTTACCTTCAAATATTCTTGATGTAATTTATCTATAGTTTGTTAAATACTTAGAATAAGAGTTGTGTTTTTACCATTGAGTTTTGGACACCGACAATGCTATAGAAACATTTTTTTTTGTAATACCTAATCTGAATTTCAAATAATACTTTAAACATGAAGCACTTATTTTTAAAGCACTCTTTAAATATATTTTAAAATATTTTATTTTGTATGAAGCTATTTAAGAAATAGCTAACTCAGTGCTTACTGCATTTGGAGGACTATCCTAAACTAAGAGACATATGCTAAAGAAATAATACAGTACACTTGACCCTTGAACAACTTGGAGATTAGGGACGCTGACCCTCCATGTAGTCAAAAATTCACGTATAACTTTTGACTCCCCAAAATTTAACTAGTAATAGCCTACTGTTGACATATCAGCCTTATGGATAACATAAATGGTCTATTAACACATATTTTATATTGTATCATATATTGTATTCTTACAAAAAAAGTAAGTTAGAGAAAAAGGAAATGTTATTAAGAAAATCATAAGAGAAAATATATTTGCTACTCATTAAGTGGAAATGGATCATCAAAGTCTTCATCCTCATCCTCTTCATGCTGAGTAGGCTGAAGAGGAGGAGGAAAAGGAGGAGTGGGTCTTGCTGTCTCAGGGGTAGCAGAGGTGGAAGAGGTGGAGGAGGTGGAAAGGAGGCAGGAGAGGCAGCCACACTCAGCGTAAGTTGCCTGCCTCAGCTTCACCATCTCTAAAATGGGATTATAATATAACCTACCTCGTTGGGCTGCTGTGCAGCTTCAACGAGTTAACACATATGTAGAGCATTTAGAATATTTCCTAGGATAGTCAGCTCTCTAAAACTGATGTTATCTCAGTCCTGGTGTTTTCGAACTGATTGACTAGTTTTATCTCGAGGCCTACTATCTAGTTGGAGAAGTCAAACATCCAGAAGAGGATGAATAAAAAGATTTCATGACCTGGGGCAAATTAATAGGTACTGAGAGGATGTGGCATTCAGATGCTACCATACGAAAGAAAGCAGAATCTAATTCAAGATGATGGTCAGGAATAGGTGAAAACCGAATTTAGTTTGAAAGGATAAGTAATGCCTGGGAATAGTGACCCACACCTGTGATCCTAGTGCTTTGGGAGGCCAAGACAGGAGTATCACTTGAGGCCAGGGGCTCAAGGCCAGCCTGGGGAACAATAGTGGGACTCCTATCTCTACAAAAAATACAAAGAAATTAGTCGGGTATGGTAACATGCACCTGTAGTCCCGGCTGCTTGGGAAGCTGAGGCAGGAGGATTGTGGGAGGATTGTTTGAGTTCAAGAGTTCAAGGTTACAGTGAGCTGTGATTGTGCCACTGCACTCCAGCCTGGGTGACAGAGCGAGATCCTGTCTTTATTTTATTTTTTAAAAAAAGATAAGTAAAGCAGGTGAAAACTGTTTGGGTGGGTAGATGAGAGACAAAATATAGCAAAAACAAAGACTGAGAATTTTAAAGATAGAGTCTTTAACACATTCAACATGATGTAAAATACCTAAGGACAAACAGTATGAGCCGCTTCATAAACTTAGTTGAATGAAGACAGAGCCAGTGAGAAAATCTAAAAGTATGACTTCCAGTCCACTTTTATGTTTGCTACACCAAAAGGCAGTCATATGGTTCTTTCGTCAGTCTTCTTGTCAATGTTGAACTCCTTTTAATTTTCTTGAAAGGGCTCAAGTAAAACCAACTAAGAAAAAATAAGTCTTACATGCCTAGTGGTAATTACCTTCCTGGGATACATAGAGATATGCTTTTACTTCTGTATTTTCCACAAGGATGGCAAGATTTCAATTGAATGAATTTAAATTGTTGCATGTTTCCATTGAGGCAAAGCACACTTCTTGTATTCTTTTATTGCACTCTTGTAATTTGATAATTTATGTTTTTCACCCTAAATCTCAATAATAGTTTTCTACTTCTTTTTATTTCTTTCTGTTTCCTCCAAATAGATTGAGGAGAAAGTAAAAAATGCCTTTGTAGTTGATGGATTTATTATCTATTCTTTTTTTTTTTTTTTTTTGAGATGGACTCTCGCTCTGTCACCCAGGCTGGAGTACACTGGCGTGATCTTGGCTCACTGCAACCTCCACCTCCTGGGTTCAAGTGATTCTTCTGCCTCAGCCTCCTGAGTAGCTGGGACTACAGGAGCGTGCCACCACGCCTGGCTAATTTTTGTATTTTTAGTAGAGATGGGATTTCACCATATTGGCCAGGCTGGTCTCGAACTCCTGACGTCATGATCCGCCTGCCACAGCCTCCCAAAGTGCTGGGATTACAGGTGTGAGCCACTGCGCCCAGCCTATTATCTATTCTTGACAATTGTGGGAATAACTTTAATCTGCTTTTTATAATTTCAAAAGTTGTTGATTGATTGGTTTTTGAAAAAAATGGCCAGGAAGGTAAAAGTGTTTTAAAACCTGTATGTCCTCAGAAACTTGGGTTTTGAGATTTATGAAAACTAGGTAAACAGTATTTTTAAAAGAGAAGCATGATTTTTCTCTAGAAATATTTTTGGCTAATAACTTGGTTCATTTTCTTAGTGTTTATTAGGATAAGTTCTACAGTTTCTATTATTTTCTTTTTTGAACTTGCTAAAATCATGGAGAAAGTCTTAATTGTCCTCACTATGCGAGGTCCTTCTAGAGGCCGAACTGTTCTGACATAACTGTGTCCTATCCCTTTCTTGAGTCAGGAGTTTCAAAACTTTACTTCTAGTAGCTAGCTATTTTGATAGACCTACTCAGCACATAGTTGTCTCAAACCTACTTTTTCTAAAATCTGGCCACCTTCCAAGATCAAAAGTTTATAGAATTCCCCCACTCTTCAATTTGTATACATCTTATATTCATGAACCTGCCATCTGCATTTCTGCTATTTTTGAAAAGCTGAACTGGACAGTAGAGGTCAGAAGTTCCATGAACTGCCAAACTGCTATAAGCAGTCACTTGGGAACCTAAACTCAGACAAGCAAAATGGAGAAGTGAGTCTAACACACGTCACCAGGTAGCAGGTTCATATGTTGCCTATTGTGAAGGCTGGGATCTCCAGGGTTTTCATTATGCTAGGTTATCAAGGTCTGAGGTAGTGTGCTTGATAGTGAAGACTATAGAGTCAGACTATCTGGGTTCAAATTCCAGCTCTGTCACTGTTCTAGGTGTCTATTGCTATGTAACAACCACCCAGATGACAATCTTTTATTATTATCACTTACGTTTCCGGGGCCTGATTTGGCTCAGCTAGGTTTTCTCTCTAGGTCTCTCAGGCAGCGTGGTCAGTGACTGTGGCTGGAGTTCTTTCAAAAGCTCGCCAACTCACATGCTTGATATAAGTTGTACTGGCAGTAGACCAGGTCCTCAGCTGGCACCATCAGCCCAAACACCTACACATGGCCTTCCCTGTGGCTTGAGCTTCCTCACAATATGGCAGCTGGGTTCCAAGGGTGAGTGTCCCAAGGGAGAGCCAGGTGAAAACTTCATCTCCTTTTATGACCTAGGTTTGGAAGTCACATAGCATCACATCTGCTGTATTCTATTTGTTACAATCAAATCACTAAGTCCAGACCATATTCAAAAGGAGGGCAATTAATATCCACTCTCTAATGGGAGTCTTCAAACCACCATAGCCATGTATTCCCTGAAGACCTCTCTGTCCTTGGCTTTGCTGGTCTGTAAAACAAGGATAATGAGAGAAACTTACCTCAGAGCTTTTTGTGAGGATTAAACAAAGAACAGTCCCTGGTACCCAGTATGTGTTAGTTTCGCCCATTATCACACCACTTGTACATCTGAAGTGATGCTGATGGTGACATCAATGATGAGACAGTTCCCAGCAGATATAGTCTGTGAAGGTCCCACCTTTCCAAACTCTACTAGTGGCATTTAACAAATCCCAGCGCCTGTGGTTCTTATGCCAGTGGGAACAGTTACTATATATGGTCTGAATTCTTTGGTTCACCTCACTTTAGTGACAGTTTCCAGATACAGGTCAGTCCATTTAAACCTGGCCCATTTATGGCAATTTATTTCATTATAGGATAAAGTAGTTAGAACCATGAGTAATAATTACTGTGTCTACAGTGCTTTTAACACCTCAGCCAAGTAATCCTCATCTCACCCAGTGAGTAAGTTTGAATGCGCACCCTTCCCTGTGCGAGGATGAAGAAACCAGGACCTGGGTCAAGAGGATTGTTCTAAATTCTCCAATGAGGCAATAGGGCTTGAGTGAGAAGGTGTGTGTGTGTGTGTAGGGGGGGTGTCCTGATTCTCTGGCCCCTACATGCCTGTATAATATACCCCATCACTGATCATTACTCAGGACCTGTTAATACACTCTATTCAAATACGTATGGGTATTTGAAATTTCTTTTAAACTACCTCTCATGTATTTATAACACAAAGAATTGGCCAGTGTCTATTTCCCACAATGTGAGATTAAGTAATTTAAAAGATACTAAAAGTCTTGTAAATGAAGACACACCACACCACTCAGTATAATTTTTTTCTTTTTCTGTGAAACTAATATTTTCTGATATTCTCGGCATCCAAAAATTTTCATCTTGGGGAGGAGGAAAAATTGAGACTTACTCCCACTGTTTGCCGGAATGTGACCCCAGGCTGGCTTCGAGTTGTCAAATGTTGTATTTCTCATTTTATGTCAGTGAGTCTGGAAGCAAAAAAGGTAGAAAGACTGCCTTCCGTGGGGGCCGCGACGATCGCCCCTCCTTCCCTCAAGCCTCGTCCCATCCAGGCTCGCCCCGGGTGCGGAGGGTCGGGCCGCAAACCCGCAAGGCGCGGAGGCCGCCGCGACGCTCACCGGGGGGCGCTGTGAAGCCGGCACCGGGCGGACAGAGGTGAGTCGGCTCGGAGGCGGTGGCTCCCGTTCCTGCCCGCGCGCCGAGGGGCGAATCCCAGGCAGCGAGGTCGCCGCCCCCGCCCCTCGGCCGGCCCCTCCGCCAGCGGGCGAGAGGGGAGTGGCCGGGCTCCTCCCGCCGCCGCTGAGCACTCCGCAGCTGGGTGCGCACGGGAGCCTCAACCGCGGCGCGTGGAGGCAGTACCAGAGCGCGCGGCGCGCAGTCGGCCGGCAGCCGCGGGACAGCCTTGGCAGAACAGCCGCGGCGGGAGCCCCGCAGCCCCGGGCTGGGCCCGCGTCCCGGAGCGCCACCGGAGAGCGAGGACGACGTGGAGGCGGAGTGGCGCCCGGCGAGGTAGCGCCAGGCGAGGTAGCGCGAGCGCTTTCTCTCTCTCTCCCCTGCCCTTCCCTCTGCGTCCGTCGTCGGCCCCCGAGGCGCCTGCTCCGCGCCTTTGTGCCCGCGGTCCCTGGCCCCGTCGCACCCTGCGGGCGGGGGTCAGCGGGCTCTGCCGCTCTCTTGGGAGACGCGGCGCTGCGGCGGGAACGGCGCACGCTGTAGGTTGCGGAGGGTGGTCGTGACTCCGCAGTGGCTTCGGGGGTGGCGGGAGGGAAGAAGGGCTTGTAAACTAAGTTGCTCTTACTTTGCCCCATGCCTCTCGTACCTGTGGGCAGAGTCGAATCTCGGCTGTCCTCGTGTTCACCCACAGCCCCTCCATTCCTCTGGCCCACAGCTGTTTCCTGGCCCCCTGGAAAGACACGGTGTGGCTTCCTCCGGGCAGGAAAGCGGAGGGAGAACAATGGGGCGTCCTGGGGAGTGGGGTTCAGGTGCGGTGTGCCCCGGCGGCGGCGGGGGAGGAGGGGCCCGGGACGCTGTGGGCCTCCCTGCGCGTGCAGCTGCGCTCGCCTCCTTTGTTCCGCCGCAGCGGAGGGGGTTGCCCTGGGTCTCGTTTCCTGCCCGGGATGGGATTGATTCACGGTCCCAGAGAGGGAAGGGGAAGGGGGCGGGGCTGGAATGGAAACCAGATTAGAGACGGGAGCTACGAAGGGTGGTGGGGCCGGGAAGAGAGTTGGGGAGAGGGTTGGGAGAGGGTGATGAGAGCGCGCTGGAGAGGTAACTACAAACACACAACATTTTGTTCAAGGGCCATGTGAGTTTCTAGAGCTTATTTGTAGTGCTTTGTTCAGGCTTCGGCCCAGCGTTTATTGCTGCAACAAGTTGTGTGCTTCTTGAGTTTCTAGGCGTTCCCAATGTTAGATTGCTCAAAGCAAATCTTCTTAGTTACAGTGAAAGAAGCCCCCCCCCCTTTTTTTTTGAGATTTGAAAAAATTTTGCTATGAACTATGGTATTGGTGTGTATGTGTGTGCCTCTGGGTCTGTGTGTGTAGCTAGTGGATATTGGCTGGAATGGGTAGGAGACAAATTTTATAGAATCAATTTTGACGTAAAATTGTTTTATAGTATAATATAGTACAACAGTTTTCCAGGACTGTTTGAGGGCAGAAACCACCAGAAAATTAGACATTGCTATAAATAAATGAATCAGACTATGTAACACAATTGAAAAACCCTTTTACAGTCTGTCCCAGGAAACACACCACACACACCAGCGTTTGGGGTTTGAACTGAGGAGCCCTGGCATTGAAGTGTTCTGTGCTTTCACTCTCTGTGTGAGGATCGTTTAGAGGTGGTAGAATTAAATGTAATGTGTCAGACATTTGTTAAGTGACCTTTCCTAGATTGGAATCGAGACTCGCCAAAGGATTGGCTGACCTAGGGAGGGAGCTATGGGGGATTGAATGATGTGTGTTTTTTGAATGGGGTATTCCAAGCAAAACTGTTTTGGGAGGAGGCTGACATTTCCAGGCATTCATGGTTTGTGCCTGTGGGACACTGGTGGGAGGATTCCCAAAGTCGGACTGAAGGTTAGCATTACTGTGGTGATAATTTAGGAGACATTCTGTTGTAGTAGTCTGGCTGCAGACAGGGCTGGGAAGTGGCCCAGAGCTGCCTCTTTGACAAGCTGAGGGTCCGCCATTAAACCACCCCTTTGGCCATTTATTTTGAGATGAACCAAGTTTGAAAGCCTCTTAACCTTAGAAGGCTAATTAGGAGCTTGCTGTGGGGGAAAAAAATATCTCCTGCCCACTAAGTGGTAATGGAAAAGAGCTGTATAAGCTACTGCTGAGGGTTTGTCTTTTTCGTGGGGGATGTGGTCAAATTTTCAGGCCAGGCTGAAAAGCACTGGGAGTTGTCCTCAGGAGCCATTATGATGTGAAGTTGAAATGGGATGGTGTCCAACTGTCAAGCTGTTTGTCATTAGAACTAACACACTGCCTGGCAAAACGTTGTGCTAGGGCAGCTAACAGAGGGAGACTTTTTGTTGTTGTTGTCTTACCATTTTGGACTTTTCACTTATGCTGTGAATTGTTTTATAAAATACAACACGATTGAATTCCTCTCAAGTACTCATTGTTCTATACATTAACAAAATGTAAAGCATCTGAACATTGCTGCTACTGGAGATGTGGACAGATAGCAGAATCCTAAGTGGCTGGTCTCTGGTCTCTGGCCTCTGGCCGTTCTGGTGGATGCCTGATTGTGTGATAAGGCTGGCAACAGGCTGTATCCCCTTCCCAGGATGAATCATCACTTTGTCAAGCCTGGAGTTAAAGACTAACTTACCCTGATTGCTGCACAGTTATGCAAAGCAAGGAGGAACGTCTGACATCATGGGGAAGAAGAGGGAGTGAGGTGAGTGGGTGGTGTTTGGCTAAGAAGGGATCTTCAGCATGTAGCATCCATGTTTTTAGCATTTGTCCTCCTTTGGGTAAGATTGTCTTCTACCTCCCTTCTACTGTTTTCAATAGCTGAACATTTGGATTTTAATTAAATAGCCTAACAATAATTATAGCTATCATTTAGTATGTGTTCATTACATGCCAAGAATTTTACATACATTACTATATTCATCATCACAACAACTTGATAAAGTGGGTGTTATCTTCATTTTCCAGTGGAAACTGAGGCCTGGAGGAGTTAAGTAACTTGCCCCTTACACCGTACAGATGCTCCTAGATTTACAATGGGGTTATGTCCTGATAAACCCATCATAAGTTGAAAATATTGTAAGTTGAAAATGCATTTAATACACTTAATCTACCGAACCTTAAATGTGTCCAGAACAGTCACATTAGCCTACAGTTGGGCAAAATCGTCTGGTAACACAGTCCACTGTAGAGTATTGGTTGTTCATCCTTGTGATGGTGTAGCTGACTGGGAGCTGCGGCTCGCTGCCACTGCCCAGCATTGTGATGGGGTATCGTACTACATGTGGCTAGCCCCAGAAAACATCACAATTCAAAATTCTAAGTATGATTTCCACTGAATGCCTATCATTTTTGCACCATTATAGAGTAAAAAAATCCTAAGTTGAACCATTGTAAATTGAGGACCCTCTGTGCTTGTGTAGCTAACTACTAAGTGGTGGAAGTGCGATTGGGGATCCCAAAGTCCATACTCTTTAGGTATATACTGTATGGTATGATGTATTTTAATAATAACAACAGTTTGATTATCTAGTTGGTTAGCCCCTGGCAGATGTCAAATTACTTTCACGTCTATTATTGTAGTTGATTCTTCCAAAAACCACTGTGAGATAGGTTTGGAAGCCCAGGTTAGGACATTACAACTCTTAGAACTGTATTGCTAAAGAGCTGTATGTTATGGCCTGTATGAATAAGCTGTAAGTGAATGAAACTTTACTTTTAAAAAGTTAGGTTGCCAACATTTAAAAATAAGTTCTTTTTTCGAAACATTTAAAAGTGGTAGAACAGAGTAGATCTTATATTGCACTCAAGGCTTTTATGTTTATTGAAATCCATTTTAAGCCCTTTTTATCTTACAGCCTTTAATAGAACATTGCACTTTGCTTCTTAACTGAGACCCGATGCCAGAGTGTCTTTTTAAGAAGAGAAATAAGGAGGGAAGGAATGTGCTTATAAAGAGGAAGTGGGACATCAGAATTGGAAACACTCGCAGCAGCAGGCCATAGATTTTTCCCAGCACATGCTTTTTGTCCTGGCAGTAGCCTTTTACAGAAGGCATTCTTCCTTAGGGAAGTGTCAAGGGTCTTTCTTTACAGTATCCTCTGAGATCATCAAATTTCTGAGCTCTGTGGGAACACTCATTCCACATGATTTTTGTGCTCATCCCTTCCCCACAGGGGAAGTGAACTAGTTTAGGCATCTGCATGAAAAGGGAATAGCAGTGGTATCTGTCCTTAGGGTGGCACTGAGAGTGGCACTGGGCAAGAGGTACCAGACTTTGACACCAAGTACAGGAGCAGACTGGAGTTTAACACTTGGCATCATGGATTGTTTGTGGATTCCTCAGAATGCTCCTGGGCAAATGGAAAAGTCAATATTAGGTTTTTGTTGTTGTTGTTGTTTCTAAGATAAGAATTTGAAGACTGGAAGTTCTGCCTTGTTTATTTATTTCAAGCTAGGACACCATTTGGGGTCTTCAAGTTCTGTGGTATAGGTGAGAGTAACTTTAGTCTCCTCAGGCTATGAAATTCTCCTCCACTGGCTATTTTAGACTTTTGCCTCTGGAGGAGAGGCAGACACATGGTTTGCTAAACTCTAACAGGTGAGCACCTTCCAACTTACCATAAGCAGCATAGAGGAGGAAAAAGGATGCTTCCCAGCATTACACTCTTACAGCCTTTGGTAGGTCTTTGCAGTTGTCAGCCTCTTCCTCATCAGTTCATATTTTATTAAGCACACAGGTCATGCAAGACAATGCATTAGACCCATTTTAAAAGGAAGAAAGGAAATCCATTGTGCTTTCAGGGTCGTTGTAGCAGGGCAGGTGGATGCATCCCAAGAGTGGATGTTGGTGAAATGAAGAAAATGGCTATGACAGCTGTAGTGACCAAGACCAGGGGAACACTTGCTTTTGAGACAAAAGCTGAGAACAAACAGAAGCAAGAGAGTGGAAGAAAACTGAACACAGGTGCCAGCTTCTCTGACTTAGGTTTTATTTCCTCCAATCTCCAATGATGTGAAAGCGTTCAGGTTCAGAACCCTGACTGAGGTCCAAAAAATGATATATAAACTACCATTCTATGCGAGAAGGTTTGAATAGCAGTGTCTTCCCTGGTGCATGGCAGGTCCTTGGTACCTCCGCCAACTCTCTTCTCTACACACCTGCCAGCATCCCTTCCTCATCCTGTGTTCAATGTGGCTGTCAACTAAGGCTGTTAATAGACTTCAGGCATATTTGCATTTTAAAAGGCTCTTGTGGACAAGACATGCCAAATCTCCAAAGAATGAGTCATTCACATTGAGTTATATGATATTATTCATGCTACTGTTTATTAAGTATTGGGTGCTTGCTTTGTGCTAGGCCTCATGCTGGGTACTTTCTGTAGGTTGATTTCCTTCTCATCACTATCCCTTAGTAGGAGGTATTTGTAGATGAGGGAATTGAGTCACTAGCCCAGAGGTCAAGCCTCAAAGACCCCTTTGCTTTCCAGAACAACGAAGTGCCACCAGGTAGAGTGTACTGTGAAGCTTTGAATGAGTACTGTGGAGCTTTGGGCAAAAACTTTGATTCTTTGGGTGAGTACTTTGATGCTTTGGTCACTTTTAAGGAGTTCTTTTTAAGGAGTTAGAGGGAGAGCCCAGCTGTTGTCCCTCTCCTTCCTGGCTTGTTTCCTTTGTCACCTGAAGTCAGGATTCCTGTAGGTGTCCTTGGCTGGTCCAAAGCTAGGAGAATTGGTTGAACTGCTTCTCAGTTTATCCTTTTCTGGGTGTTTTGGCTTCCCAGTCCTGCGTCATTCTCCTTCCCCAGCTGAGGGAGACAAGATTCAGCCTGCTAGTGAGAGACTGAATAGCCAGTCCCTTTTCTTACCCCCTTGCTGGCCATGCCTTTATCTTCAGGAATAGATTGTCATCTGGGAGTTTCAGGGCGTTTGTCTGATCTCTGGTCTCCAGTCTGCCTGCGAGCAGCATGCCACAGGGCATCCAGTCCTGGAGCTCGCTCAGATCTTTGATGTGTGAGAATAAGCGGTGTGGATGCCATTGCAGAGCTGGGTTTTGGGAAGAGAGTTGGGGTGAAATTTGTACTCTTCCAAGATAGGCAGTTTTATAAATAGCAGAAAAGTAAAAATTGACATTCTTCTTTTGCTTATCAGATAAGCACCTGATAAGTTTCTGAAAATGCAAGGGGCCTGTCTTTCCTTGATAGCTTAAGAGAGGCTTAAGAGGAAACCAAATCTCTGCCTTCCGGGGACTTTCAGTCCAATTCTTCCTGGACTCAAGATGCTTTAAGATTGCACAGATGGCTTAAGTTCGCTGTGTTAAAATGAAAATATAGTAATGTATTTCAGAATTGTACATTACAGGTTTTTAAATTTGTTTAAAAAAAGAATGCAATATCTTTAAAGACTTTTTAGAAAATTGAATTGAAAGGACAGTGGAACAGATTATTAGTTATCGACATTATAATACATTTACACGTCATTTGCCTACTTAATTTTCACTGGTTACATGAAAGCATTTTCACATTGCAACCACAACAAAAAGCTCCCCCAAAATACACAAAGAATCTTAATTGCAAGATTCCTGCTGGTCCCACTTAACATTTTCCAGTGTACACCTTCTCTCTCCATCATTGCTGCTTTGCTTTACATTTTATATTAGATCCTGAATTGCTATTTGTGATGTTCAGATTGCAAATATACTAGCTTCCTAACTGATCATTTTTTCCCTTAAAAGTACTTCAGAGTGATTGGTCACTGTTTTATTCATTTTAGACCCACAGTCTAAATGCTTTAAGGAAAAGCTTAATTTTCATAGACATTGGGCCTATGCCAATTTGCATGGCTTGTTATTTTTGTGATCCTCATATTATCTGCTTCTAGTCATAATCGGTAGATCACAGTTTTGAGCTACCCCTGATATAGTGAGCCATCTATGAAAAAGTTCTCGCTTGCCTGAAATTTTCAAAGTGTTGAGAGCTATTCATAAAAATGTATGAACTGCCACGTTGGTCAGGTTCAGGGCTTATTTGCCGTAGTACTCTGCAGGTATTCTGTGACATTCAGGAAGGAAAATAGAGTTAGACTCCTGATGTCAGCTTTGTAAAGGTTCATAGATGTCTCTTGAGTATCTGTAATTACATGATCTCTTAAAAACCTCTTATCCATGTACTGAAATTCATCTTGAATTGTTTATTTTTATCCTGCATTCACACAATTCACACTTTAAAGATAGAACTTGATTATATTGGTATTTTTATTTCAAATTTTCAATTTTTGGAATGGCAGAATGTTGCTATTGAAAAGTGTCTTAAAGGTCACCACTGTAACCCCTTCATTGTGCTTGAGACCTGCTCAGCTCCTAAATTTAACAGGGGACGGATCTGAGAAACTGACTCCAAGTTGTAACCTCTTGCTTAGTTTTCTTTCTAGGGAGATATCCGTCTCTCCAAACCTGTCGAAATCTAAATTTATTACCTCTTACCTAATACTTGGTCCCCTGTGGACTTCACTTCACTGTTTGTGCTAATAGCCTTTTCATCACCATCTTGACTTTGGATTCTAGAGCATCACCTACTTCCCCATTTTCTGTGACCCTTACATTCCTCCTGTCAGTCACTATGTCTGATTTATTGTTCTCCCCTATCTTTTGCCCTTTGCAAATCCTCAAGCCCTCATTCTGGTTCAGACCTTTAAAAGGCTGAGTTACTGGAGTATAGTGTTACCCAAAGTGAGTTGTTCCATAAAAAATTAGTAAGTTGGAAAAAAAAACAAAAAACAAAAAAATACCCTACCCATAAAGTTGGTAAATGTTCCTGTAAAAAGGGTTCCTTGGCCAGGTACATGTTAGAATAGCTGGTTAAGTTTCTTTGCAGAAAGACTTCTCCTGGCCTTCATTTGTGACTGTGTACTGTGAATTCCCAAGAGAAAGATACAGTATTCACTTGTCCCAACTTATGTCACCATTGTACCACGTTTTGGGGGGATCATTTCGTAGATAACACTGCTATAGTCACTTCACTGTAGCTTTTTAGGTTCTGTCACTGCCTGGCTTCCTGTGGGAATGTGCATTCCATGTGAGCCGTACTTGGTTCACTCTCAACTGTGTCTTGTGCTTTTACCTTGTTGTTCTGGATCGTTCCTTCCCCCCAGAAGCCCCTCTCCCCTATCACACTGGCACATCTTTCAGTGCCCAGCTTTGTGCCTGTCTTCTCTGTCAGTTTTCCCAGACTCAGGTTGCGCTTGTTCTTCTGAACTTAACTGTTTCACAACTTAAAAAAAAAAAAGAAAATATTTGAAGCACAATGAAATGTTGAAAGTAACCTTACACATTCATATGGTTAAATTATTGGAATTCCCACAAAATTCCATTTTCCATATTTGCGTCAGTTGACACATCACATGCACATCACATTCTCCTCTGTTTCCCCCCACAGGTTAGCTTGCACATATGTTCAACAAGCTTGTTGCTTGTGGGGCTTTTTTCTTTAATTTTGTGTTACTGAAATTGTGTTGCATTTAAATAGAAATTCAGGGAGAATTGACATCTTTATGGTTTAATGGCTTCCCATCCACAAACCTCATAAGCTTCTTTAATAGTTCTTTTATGTCCTTCAATGAAATTTTTATCATTTTGTATGTAAAACTCTTTCATACCGCTTGTTAGATTTGTGCCAAGGTGCTTCATGGTTTCTGTGGTCATTTTGAATGAATGATTTAGTACATTTCTGGTTAGTGTTGCTGGTGTACAAGAAAGGGATTGATTTTGTATTTGTTTATAAATAGTTCTTGATTGATCAAGTTCACATCTAAACCTGTGTTTGCTGTGGGAGCCTGCAGTTGGGTGGCTTTTCCAATACAGCATAAAATAACTTAGCCTTTATTGAAAATGTCATAATTCACTTTATTTTTATTTATTTATTTATTTTTTGAGACAGAGTTTCGCTCTTGCTGCCCAGGCTGGAGTGCAGTGGCATAATCTTGGCTCACTGCAACCTCCACCTCCCAGGTTCAAGCAATTCTCCTGCCTCAGCCTCCCGAGTAGCTGGGATTACAGGCATGCAACCACCACGCCTGGCTAATTTTGTATTTTTGGCAGAGATGGGGTTTCTCCATGTTGAGACTGATCTCGAACTCCTGACCTCAGGTGATCCACCCACCTTGGCCTCCCAAAGTGCTAGGATTACAGGCGTGAGCCACCGCGCCCGGCCTCTTTTTTTTTTTTAGAGACAAGTCTGGCTCTGTTGCATAGGCTGGAATGCAATGGCATGATCGTAGCTCGGTGCAGCCTCATACTCCTGGACTCAAATGAGCCTCCCACCTCAGCTTCCCAAGTAACTAGGACTATTGGTGTGCGCCTCCATGCCCAACTAATTTTTAAATTTTTTGTAGAGGTGATGTCTCATTGGTCCCAGGCTCCTGGCCTCAATCAGTTCTCCTGCCTTGGTTTCCCAAGTGCTGGGATTACAGGTGTAAGTCACCACACCTGACCTAATTTAAAAATTATATGCAGTACTTTTAGAAGTAAGGAAGGGGTGACTTTTAGTTATTTAATGTGTTCATTTATTAACTCATCAAATGTTTAGGTGCCTAGTATGTTTCAGGCACCGTACTAGGTACTGTGTTTTTGTTTTTGTTTTTGTTTTAGAGACAGGGTCTCTCTTTGTTGCTCAGGCCGGAGTACAGTGGTGTGAACATAGCTCACTGCAGGATCGAACTCCTGGGCACAAGTGATCCTCCTGTCTCCACCTCCCAAGCAGCTAGGACTACAGGCAGCATCTCCACACCCCACTCATTTTTTACATTTTTTTGTGGAGACGGGGTCTTTCTATGTTGCCCAGGCTGGTCTTGAACTCCTGGCCTCAAGTGATCCTCCCTCCTCAGCCTCTTGAAGTGTTAGGATTACAGGTATGAGGCACTACACCCATCCTGTACTGAATCTTTAATGTTGAACAAAACAGATGTGGTTTCTGCTCTCATGAATGTGAAGGGGAAGAGACATTGTGGAAATGGACACGGATAAATATGTATTCGTGGATTAGCATCGATACTGTGAAGGAAAAGGACAGGGGGCTGTGAGAAACAGAAAGGCGGAGAGAGGGAAATTTAGATTGGGGTACAAGGAGAGCCTGACTTAGGAAATAAACATTCACACAGCTGCCTGAAGGATGAGTTGGTGTTAAAGAATGAGGAGGATGGAAGAACTTTGTAGGCAATAAAAAGAGGCTCAGAAGCCCCAAGGTGGGACTCTACTCTGAATGACACAAAGATGGGAATTTTAGTGACTGATGACTTAAATCAAGTTATTAATTCTTAGTAAATTATCATAATAGTGGTATTTAACAGTGTTTTACACACTATTATGACAAAGTGAAGGTATTTATTTTTTATCAGTATATCCTCATCCTGCCAAGTGAAGCTGGCTAGATTCAGAGAGCTGCCTCTATGGTGAGGCTTGAATGGGGCCACTGCCCACACCCCTACCCCCTCTGCATTTTGAGTATTGCCACTGCTGCTGCCATTGGGTCCTGGCATCTGCTGGACACGAGCGTCCTGCTCAGCAATTTTCTCCTGAGCTCTGCACTAATAGACGGGGTCCTTTAAGGTCAGGTCAGGTCAGGTCGGAAGAAGACTGCTCTGCCCTTCCTGGGAGGGGTGGTGAGCAGGGCCTTCTATGTTTTTTCCAGTGTCTCAGCCTTCTCCACTCTCCCTCCTTCACTGTCTCTTAAACACACACTGAGGGCTCAGGCATGACAATGGGATGGGATCCAAACTGAGTTACACACCTGCCTAGAATCTGTGCTCTGTTTGGTCATTGAAGCATTGCTCTGGGGCAGGCATGACTGAGCTTAGTTGAGATAAGTCCTCTGTATAGTGAAAAGCTATGTGGTGCAGTGGTTATGGGCTGGGCTCTGGAGACAATACTGGTTTTTGAAACTTGACTCTTCTCCTTAGTAGCCCCCGGACCCTGGGCTTGTAGCTTAAACGGTCTGCCTCCATTTTCTCATCTGCGCAATGTGGGTAATTTTGCAGAGCTGCCTTCTTTGGGTTATAGTAAGGATTAAATGAATCAACACATGTGCAGCTCCTAGAACAGTGTCAGGCACAGAGCAAGCACTTGGTGTAGATGTTAGTTACTACTATTCAGCCTTTCCTGCAATGCTTTCCTGGGGTTCCTCCTCCCCCACACCAGATATTTAAATCTGTTTGAATCCTAGCAGTGCACATAATTTAGGATTTCATACGAGGGACCCCTTTGGAAAATATGGGGAGAAAGATGGCAAAAAAAGAAACCAAAATGTTAAGTGATTGTGTTACGATAATAGATTGGGGTGACTTTTACTTTTAACTCTCTATTTTCTAAATCTTCTATAACCTGGTTATGTTACCTCTGTACTAATAATATAATAAAATTATTTGAAGAAAGAAAAGTCAGGCTGGCGGTCTCCAGTTGGTTTGCTAAAAAGGGACAGGAGAGAGTGAGAAGCCAGGGGTAGGCCTGCTCTAGTGGCATTCACAGGTGAAGTACCTTCCCATTTGTGCTTATAGTTGCAGAAACTAGGTAACGGTGTTGAATAGTCTTTAGCAGAAGTATCCCCAAAAGTTAGAAGATGGGGCTATTCCTTGTGAATCCCCCTTTTCTGTGAATTTTTTTTTTAATCTGTCATTATTTTCCCTTTTTGTTTGTTCTGTGCTCCCTTAGTGGTCCTCTTGCCATATGTCTCTCATTCAGTCCCCTCTTCCTCCCCCTTCCCCTTGAAAGTCTCTCCTTTTAATCCATCTTCTTTACCTACTGTCATGCAGAAATTATGCACCCATTTATTCAATTCAAAATAAAGCATCAGTTTTATTTTTATTGTCAAAATAAGTAAATATAACTTTTCACTCTCAGAAATCTAAATGAAGTTGCCCTTTACTTACTTACACCTAAATTAATTGATTAGTTAATTTATTTGCTGACAAATTAATGAACTCTGGGGGTCTGTGACCTCCTAAAAGCACCAGGAATCTTGGAAGATTGGGTGGCTGCAAGGAAGGGAAGATTGAGGGGATGTTGAAGTTAAATTTTTCCTCTTTGCCTATTTTGCATAGGGTTATCTGTGTTGCTGCCATTTTGGTATATGTCAGAATTTTTGAACTTTTCCAACAGAATTCTGGAAAATTACCAAAATACATTTTTACAAAGAAACCATGCCAAATCTGACAAATTTCTTCAAAAGCCCATTGATTTTAATCACTGAAAAGTTCAGCGAACTTTCCAGCTTTTCTTTCATGCTGCTCTTTTTATGTAATTGTGGGTGGAGAAATGGACTTTCCTGCAAAGTGTGTTTATCTACAGGAATTTATTCTTGGCAGTGGCATTTTATAAGTATCTTAAAAATAATGCTGACATAGATTTGAAAGAAGGTAGTGGGTTACAGTAATGTTACCTGCTATCAGCTGAAGAGCTGTTTACATGAGGAATATTGCTAATTTAATGATGCTACACAATTGAGTGTAAAATCTAGTGGAGGACATTTAAATAAACGGAAGTAAGGTGATGCCTTTCTGTACCTTATTCCACAATTTAGGTATTTTATCTTCAATGACAAATGCCTAATTTGAACATATCATAAATATTTATGATAGTTCTTTTTCTGCTTTAAGGAAGTCTGGGACAATTACAGTAAAATCTAGTTTTATAAAATGTGTATACCTAGACTTAGCATTGGTTTTTTCAAAAGAAGACATCATAGGAATTTTTTAAATTAGAACCAATATATGTATCGCTTAATGATGGGTATACATTCTGTGAAGTGTGTCATCGGGCAATTTTGTCATTGCGCAAACACCACAAAGTGGACTTAACACAAACTTAGATGGGACAGACAACCGTATACAGGTACAGCCAACACAAGTATAGCCAATTGCTCCTAGTCTACAAACCTGTACAGACGTGTTACCATACTGAATATTGTAGGCAATTATAACACAGTAGTATTTGTGTATCTAAACAAAGAGAAGGAATAGTAAAGATATGGTATAAAAGATAAAAAATGTTACACCTCTCTAGGGCACTTATGAATAGAGCTTGCAAGACCAGAAGTTGCTCTGGGGGAGTCAGTGAGTGATGGGTGAATGTGAGGGCCTAGGACGTTACTGTACACTGCTGTAGACTTTATAAACACTGTACACTTAGGCTACCCTAAATTTATAAAAACACAAAGTAATTGCATCATGACGTCACTAGTCGATAGGAATTTTTCAACTGCATTTTAAACTTATGGGACCTCCATTATATGTGTGGTCTGTTGTTGACAGAAACAGATGTGGTGTGTGACTATATCCCCTTTTTGAGTAGGGCAGCGGTTATAGCTGCTTATTTGCTTTTGTCACAGAGCTACATGATGTTGGCATGACCTTGTATCTCCACTTCATACACACTAATACTGTGGAGGAGGATCAAGTCGTTGGGTTTAGCCTAGGCATGCCAAGGGTATGGCATGAGCATGGAACACATAATGCTAGAACTGCCAGCCCAGTCTTAATACTTAGCACTGGTTGCCAGTTTAAAAAACAATACAAAGGTATAGGTAAAATGTTAAAGGAAACTTGTACTAATTTATGTCCTTTGAAGTGACCTTTTTGTGTCTCATGGACCCTGGGCTGTAGTACCTGACTATCTTCTGCAACTCGGATGGAGAAAATGCCCCTTCCTTACCTGGCAGGCAGTGAGCCAGGCTGGACATTAGATACATAGTCGACTTCACCTACTCTGTGATTTAGCTTCCAGCTTTACCGTTTGCTGTCTTGGCAGCAGCTTGTGCATGGTGAACTTTTCTGACTAGAACAGTTAATAACCCCCACAGATGTTGGGAGCCCAGTTTTGCAGCTGTTGATATGTCCAGTTGGATTTCTTGAAAGAATTAATCAATTTTGAAGATCTCATGCCGTGGGCTGCAAGCATAATAGGATTTAGGGGGAAACTTTATTTTATGGGAGTTTGAGTTGGTATTGCAACAGATGTAGCAGGAGGTTGAACAGCAGCTGAAGGGATGCAGGAAAATGGAGTTTAAAAAGATGTTTGTGGGCCTACCACTCTAAAAGTGTCAACTGTGGTCATTTCTGAATATTCTTTTCCAGGCTTTTTATGTGAATGTTTTAAAATGTGATCATAATCATAGAGTACATACATTTTCTATATTGCTACATAGTATTTGAAATAAATTTTATAGTTGTGTATTATTCCATTGAGTACCATCATTTTCTGCAGCATCCCTTTATTTTTGGGCATTTGTATTCCTTCTGCCACTTTGCTGTTGTGAATAATACTGTGATGAGCCTTTTTGTACCTATAACCTTTTCTATATTTTGAATGATTTTCTGACAGTAGATATTGAGAACGAGGTGATTGGGTCAAAGATTGCTGTGAACTCTTTGATGTAATCAGGTAATGGATGGAGTGACTTGGTTGGTGGGGCAGAAAGAGTTGGAGTCTGGGATAACTCCCTAGTTTCTGGCTTGTGTGATGTTGGGAATGGTTTGCATAGACAGGGCCACAAGTGAGGGGTTCATTTTGGGATGTGGGGCATTCAGGCAGTGAGGGAGCTTCAGGGACTGTTGAAATGCAAGGTCCGGAGCTTAGGGAAAAGCCAGGGCCTGGGGTTCAGATGAGGGGATCATGGGCAGCTACGTGTGGTGGAAGCTGTGGATAATGTTAGGATTGCTTAGAGGGTAGAGTGAGAAGAGGAAGGCGGAGGATAGAACTCTGGGAACATCATTCTGTGACAAGTAGAGAATGGAGAAGCACTAAGGAAAATAAGGAGTGTCCGGAGGTGGGATGTGGACAGCCAGGGTTTCCTTTCTTTTCAAGAGCTTACTTTGGTTAAAATAAGATTGAGTGGGTAGCTATCCCTGTAGAGCCTGGGGGCAGATTTATTTTGGAGGGTATAATATTACTTTTTTCCCAGATAGGCTTTTTTTTTTTTTGAATTAAAGCTATATAGAAGTTAAGGTTATTCTATTTGGTGCTGAGTGGGGAGCCTTATATGCATGGTACTGGGGTCAGGATTGACTTGTATGTATGTGTTATTTAAACTGTTTTGGTTGTTTTGGGCTTCTGGTGTGTATATGTTTACATAACATTGGTTGTTTTGGGGTTTCTGGTGTATATGTCTTTACACAGTGTTTTAGTAGTCTATTGAAATATATCAATATCATTTTTACACAAAAGAACATATTTTTTTTGAAGAGAGTGAATGTCAGATTTCTAAAAGTATGTCAATCATGAATGGATTTACCATTTAGCTACTTACAATAGAAGCACCCAGATTTTTCTGGGAGCCTTTGCTTTTTTCAAGAGAGTGATATTCCTTTTCAGAGAAACATTTGTCTGTGTTGACAATTTTAAAGAAGTATGTAATTTTAAATTATGAAACTCAAATTTAGTTTTTAATAGTAATTTCTGTGTTTATTCTTTCTATCTTTAAGAGCCAAGTTATAGAATGACATGTGACCTTGTACTCTTGACTCTATGTCTGGTTGTGGATTTGAAGTGTTATTTTTGTGCTTTCCTAAATGACTTAAGCACTTATGACTATATATTTGGATCAGAATAAATATGGTAGTTGGATATACTTTTGAAAAGCCAACCAGATTTTTAACCTGGTAATACCATAGTACTATTCATTCTTATGATTGTCCAGACTCACAGCTTTAGAAAACAGTCTAAGCTTTTATTGACTTCCAGACTTGCTGGATTTGTTGGTGTTCTCTTTTTCTCTGTAAAGTGGATCAGCCGATGCCATAGATACACTAATGCTCCAAGCTAGAGGGCTACCCTGTAGTGTGCTCTTGAGTTTCTTTTCCCACCAGTTGAGAAGAATGCTTCTCCAGACCTGACTGTGTTAATTCCCAGACCTGCGTGTGCCCGGTGTACTTATTATAGTTTAATACAATGATTTTAAACATGTGTGCCAAAAGAATTGTTGTTTCTATGAAAATTCATTTGAATTCTTTGGAAATCACCTGATAAGAATGAATTTCCATAAATGACTGCAGCTAATTTAGGAGTGGCTGAGATAAGTAAAAAATTTGGGGGATCATAAAATAAAAGTATCCTCACTGATATTATCAGTCATTCATGATTGGTGGGTTAAGTTGTGATTATGTAAAACTCGATAATCGTACTGGCTCAAAGCAGTAACCCATGTTCACACTGTGTGTCCGTTGTGGATCAGATGGGGACTCTGCTCCATTTGTCCTTAACCTTACTCCAGAACACAGTCTGATGGGGCAGTACCTTCTGGAACGTTGCTGGTCCCTGTGGCAGAGGGGACGCCTGCTGCAAAGGTCTTATTGGCTATATGCCTGAATTCAGCAAGGCGGGACGTAGAGAGGGGTATGGGGCATTTGTAAAGGGTAATGAGGTCTACCGCACTTCACTTTCCAGGGCTCTTTAGAACCTCACTGTTCTTTAAATAAATTGGACTTGGAGGATGATGCCTTGGGATGGTTTATAGAAGAAAGACCATTGAGTACAACAGTGGACATATACTCAAAGAAAAGGCTCCAGCACTATAACAAAAGATTGACAATAAATGTATATTTGTAGAGCTTCATTTAAAATGACTTGTTTAGGTATGTATCATTTTTTATGACTTCCAAATTTAACTGACTTAAAAAAAAATAAGCCAAATTGTCAATCCTTATGCATTTGGATAAGAGAACCTCTACTTTAGTCTTAAACGCTCCTGTCTCTCTTCCACCTCTGTCAAATTAGTTTCCCACCTTTTATGATAGACTCATCTGTGATTTCCCTTGGCACATCTCCTTTTCATTTCCATTAGCATTATCCTAATTCTTGTTCCTCAACTACTAGATTGGGGCCCCAGATGAATTCCTTGATATACTGTCTTGTATAGGGCCTGTATGCAGTGAGAAAAAGGCACTCTTTGGGGCAGACACAATCCCACAGGAGCTCAACTTTATTTTAGTCACCTTATTCTGCCGCCCCCCCTCCTCCCCAGCTGGCCCACTTTTATGCAGTACACAAACTGAACAACTGCACAGAGCAGTCCTCCTCCCTGCATTTAGTCGCTTTGCCAACAAATTCAGACTGCCCATCCTCTGCTTAAGCCTCCTTTAAATTTGTTGTCTCTATTGTGCTCAAAATCATTTTGGTGGCTCCCTGTCATCTGTATGTAGTGGCTGACCTCAGTTTTATCTTCCATGGGACCATCACCAGTGACTCTGAGCCTTAGTTGTTGCCATCTTGATGTGTGACATAAGTAATGACTGTAGCACAGATGCGCTGGTTAGGCTATGTAATGCTTCTCTCTCCCCGCCCACCCATTCCCACCACTCTAACACCTGTGAGCTCCTTAGGTCTGACTCCTAGTCTAGCCTTGGCTTACCTTTCATCCCAGCTTCATTGTTCATCAGGCTCCTATACCGGCCGTCCTCTGCTACCATTCTGCCAGGTCACCGTCTTCTGAATATGTTTTTTATTCTTGCTTTAAACTTCTTTTCTGCTTAATCACATCCAACTCACCTTTCATGGTCGAGTTTCACCTCTTCAGCTATCCTTCTGTGATTCTCCTGCTGTATGATAGTAGCTGTACCTCTAAACAGAAATGTTCATCTCTATATTCCTCCTTTTGAGGTGAATCGCCTGCCCTATATGAACATATTATACTGGTTATCTTACTCTTAAGTATTCTTTCCTCAGTTAGATTGCACATGCATGAGAAGCAGTAGATGTGTCTCTCATTCTTTCTTCTTTCATTGCCTGCTAAGTACTGTTTGTATACCAGTAGCATGGGTCAGAGTGGGAGGTTGTCAACAGAAGAGTCCAGCATGTATCCATGATGGACTCTCGATCAACTTTATATGATTAACTCATATAAAACAGCCCTGTATGGAAGCTGAGGCTGCCTCTTCCTAGCCACAGGATATTGACCTACTTTCCCCTTCTTATCTGCTTGCAAAATATTTGTTGTACTTAGTGTGTTCTCCCTGTCACAACGAATGTTTGTCTCTCTCTTTCATATGAACTGAAGGCTAAAGTGCTAGTTAAATCAGTGGAAAAAGCAATGGAGAAGAAAAGTTGGTAAGCAGTTTTAATTTCTAAACCAGAGGGGCCTTATAATTTTGTCATTTAAAAAGAACTCTAGTTTTTCTACCCACCTATTGAGAGACAGACGTAAGGGTAGAAATGTAAATTTTAAGTTTTGATGATTTATAATATAATAATGTATTTTGAAAGCCCCTTTTTTGATAAACTACTTGTAGAAGGAAGTTAACTTTTCTTAATCGGGTTTCTACAAGGTAGTTCACTATTGTATGTTTTATTTCTTACCAAAACTTTTCTTGGGAAAATTTGTTTTATTGCTCCATACGTGGTCAAGGTAATTAACTTTAAAAATGGATTTTCCTATAGCTTTACAGGTTATTAACATGTGCTGTATTCAAGGAGAAAAAACTGTGTGTGGGGGTGTTGTCAGTATGTCTCCTTATATAAATATATGAAGTAACTGCTGTATCCTGTAGAATATTTGGAAATTAGCAGAACTATTCAAATTTAGTTAACATTTATAAATGTGAATTTTATAAACAAAAATTTCAGTAAACATTTTATTTGTGACTTAAAAATGATTAGTTATGGCATGTCTTATAGGTTGATTTGTTTGTAGTGTCTTTTGTTCTTCATAAATACTTCAGAATGTATTTAAGGATATGTAAGAATTATGGTGCCTTTGATTTTAAAAGGAATGCTTCCAACATTAGAAAAACCAGAAATTGACCTAGAAAATGTTTCCAAATTCTAATATAATTGTTGATTTTAATCAGTGTAGGTGAAATAACCCACTGCAGCAGTTTAGCTATTTTCTTTAAAAATTATTTCTCAATTTACATTATCAGTGTCTTTTTTGGAACATCTTAGCTATTTTTGTTTGATCAATTCTCAACTAATAAACATTCATGAAATCCTAATGTAAATGTATAAATATCTCTGCCTTTGTTTACATAGTTTATTGGACTTTATTTTAGTGGATTACTGCTTGAGGAAGCTTCTGAATTTTTATTATTCTAAAAAACTTTTTTAAACCTTGAGTATGAAGGCATTACCAAAGCTTCACTGTTGAGTGATGCATATTTTTTCCCCTCCTTTACATGTAGATTACTTAATTTGTAATCTTTAGACTTTTTTTTTTTTGCTTTCCTAACTAGGTGAATTTTTAAAAGTAGCCAGTTCCATTTTGTAGCTAACCATGTATTGTAAACACACAGAAAACATGCTCAAATGTGCCTTGATGGCCTAACTTACCTGGTTATTCTGTGCATCTTTCTGTGCTGTGTATGGTTGCACTCTTAATATATTTTATTTTGGTTATGAGATCAGAATAAAGAGAGCTGCTTTCCTTTGCCTCTGAGTAATGTCACTGAGAGAGATTCTTGTGGTCTGGCATTTGCTGGCTTTTTGGTTTTTAACATTCTCTATAACCAGATCTAGGATGCATGCTCATCCCAGAATGAGCAAACTCAGTCTTTCCAGAGTTGAGCCTTGTTTTTTTTTGTTGAATCAACAGCGTTGGAAGCTGGGACAAGATCCTAGGAGATGATGTGTTATACGCTTTGTGAGGAAACTGAGGCTTGAAGGTGGCAGTGTGCCCAGTGTCTCACTGTGAGCTAGCTGCAGAGCTGGGCCTGCAACTTGGATCTTGTGGATGTTTTTTCCAGAACCACTGCAGTAGTCGTTGTAACCTATGATCTGTTGCAGAATGCCAAAGCTGTTGTTTTCTGGAGGGATAATTTTCTTCCTTAACCTACAAACAAGAATAGTGCACTAAATTCAGTACATTTCTCTCCATTGTCACTAAAAGAGCCTGAACGATGGGAAGGCCCCTGTTTTTTTTTTTTTTTTTTTAAAGAAGGCCATTCTGCCATAGTGTATCCCAGGCTGTTTTATGTGAGTGTCTTTGTTCAGAACCAATCCGGAGTGGCCTCCAAAACTAATGGGTAGAGGAAACCCTATGTGAGTGCCTACCAGGTGCAAATCACTGTATTTTTAATTATAATGAAGGTGTACCTTGAGTGATTGCATGATCCGATCAGGCATAAAGAGAACAGAGGAATGAATCTACAAGTGGTGTAAGACTTTGTTGAGGATCTTAGCACATGGAATGAGATTGAGACCCTCTGATTAATAAGCTGATTCATTTGGAAGGGAAGTTGGTTTTCCTCTGGTGGCTATATTCAATTCAGTAATCACCAGTCTTTCTTGGCGTCTGTGCACCCACCAGGAACAAATCAGAGTCGGGTGTGCCAGTTATATTTGAACAGTTTTACGTTCACTTAGGGGTTCCGGGGTCTCAGGTTTGCCAATCTAAACACATTGACTTCTTGGAATTTTTAAAATCTGCCTCGAAGGAACGCATTGAAAAGTCCGTGCGTTATAATTAGCATGTTCCCCTGTACAGCTGAGTTTGTGTTTCTGGATGTAACAGCGGTTTATAGTTTTTGGCTGCCTCGTCCCTCAGGAATTTGTAGCCTTTTTTCAGACGTTAGCTCATTAATTCTCCAGTCATTGTGAGCTGTATAGCATGACGACCGGTTCCCCTACAGCTGGGCTGCATGCTGCCCATTCTGGACCTTCTAGGGTTGTGGCAGGTGGGGGGTCCATGTTGAGGGGGTGGAGAGGGAGGCAGGGCATGACTTTCAGACCCAGCCTTGGAGTGGGGTGTGTGCTCTCTGAAGTTGACCTGCCCTTTGGCAGCCATTCCTGCCATGACTCTGTAGAGCTTCCTCCGGGAAATGACTGTAGGGACAGTGGTGTTGGCTGCATTTCCTCCTTAGGGTGTTAAACCTCATGTAAGATCAACTGCAAATGAGGTAACTCACTAGGTTAGTTACCTGGACACACCTGCTAGGAGACAGGACAGAAGAGTAGGTAAGCTCTTCAGGGTGAGAAGAAGAAAGGGGCATTGGAGAGGGAGAAATTCATCTAATGAGTTTGCTCTCTCAGTCAGGCTACATAACAGCCCTGTGGAATAGATATTGTCATCCCTGAGTTTTTAGATTAGAAATTTGAATTCCAGAGATGAATTCCTTTGGATTCCAGCCTGGGTCTGTGGCTCCACAGCCTGTGCCGTACCACAATGGGGTGGATCGAAAGGATCCTTGGTGGTAAACTATTGCTGCAAGCCTTCTGTAATATAGAAGCAAAAACTCTTTGAAAAATGGTGCAGTGTTGTGAAGAGCTTGGTGATTTAGGAATTAGACTGAAGGGTATATGTAATAGAATAGGTGTGAAAGACCATTTTCAGACCCGTCAGAAAAGCTTCATCCTCGCCCTGGCTCTTCTAGAAACCAGCTGGCTCCACCGCCTTCTTTTTTAAAGGAAGGTTTTGCCTGGGATTCTAAGGTCTCTCTCCTTGCTCTTTAATTATAAACAAAGGCACTTAGAAATTTTGCCCTTACGTCACAAGTGAGAGTTGGTAACTGGTAATCCAAAACCTTCCATGTTGTTATAGCAGCCGCTGTTATTTTTGACTCAATTTCTTCTAATTAGTCTAGATGGTATATTTTGTCATTCTCACTTTACACAGTTGGGAAAAAACTTTTTTCCCTCTCGTCAGTTTGCAAATTGTAAGGTTCTAGATGCTGTCTTTCAGTCCTTAATCACTGGCCTGTGCCTGGGATTGAGGGTGGTTGATTAAGGGTATCTCCTTGTTGATGACTTTTATTGATGTAAGGCCAGCTTTTCTATACTCAGACAGAAACAGACCTTGATCTTGGTGGTGCCTGTCCCTCTCTGCCTATGCAGAGACAAAACCTAGGGTGTTAACCCTTAGATAACCAGAATGTTGAATTAATAGCCCCTCCCACTCACAGCTTTTTAAGGTTGGAGTCAGGTATGGCAAATGGGCTTCCATTTGCTTTTATCCATTTGTTTGTTTTCACTTCCTGTTTAAATCTATTGGATTTCTTCATTGCCTGGTAATTTCATGTCCTTTGTATTAGCCAGAATTTGAACACAAGTCAACAACATACTATATGGAAATTGCCCAGTAGTTGTGCCTATTTCTTCCATAATCCAAGATTTTAACAAAAGCCCTCCTACTAGCATTCCATTAGACATTTTCAGCAGAAAGCTTTAGAGAAAATGAGGTGAGGGGTTTCTCAATATATAGTTGGCTTTCACAGTGAATTTAAGGATTGGAAAATGAGAGAATTATAATTGGTGAGGTAAATGCCATGAATAGACACACCTTATATAAATATCTTTAAGCAAGTGTGTAGGTAGGAATGAAAATCAGCCATCACCTAAGTCTTTCCACAAATGCATGTCGGGGCACTCACTTTCTCCAATGCTTTAGGGAGCCCTGCAGGGCACCCCGTGTGGTTCTGTGTGGCCCACCAGCCCCATCACCTTTGAGAATAATGCTGCTTGAGTAAATTGTCCTATAGAATCCAGTTTTCACCCAGTTTGCGTTTTTGGTTGGTAAATACTAAGGAAGTGTCTTGTCCTTTGGTTTCTAACTTTAATCCTTCATGAGGACATTCCTGGTGTGTCATCGAGGCTCTCTGATGGTCCTTTGCCAGTTATGACCTGGAGTGGAAGGGTAGCGATGATGGAAACCGTCCTGGACAGAAGAATGGGCTGTGCCTGTCTAATATGCATTTATTTATTCATTTTCTTTCTACACACCAGAGCCCTGTGTGTCAGCCACGCTGTTAGGCATGGGGCTTGTGCACATTGAGAACTTAAACCTCCCTTCTCCAGGGGAAGAGCAGACAAACAAACTCACAATTGTGAGGGAAGGGAAGTATTTTGGCATATTGGTCTGATTGAGCTGCTGTAACAAGATACCATGGACCGGGTGGCTTAAAGAACAGACATTTATTTCTCACAGTTCTGGAGGCTGCGGAGTGGGAGATCAAGTTGTTGGTAGATTCAGTTTCTGGTGAGGGTCCTCTTCCTGGCTTGCAGATGGCTGCCTTTTTGATGTGTCTTCACACTACAGAGAAAGAGCGAACCCTGGTTTCTTTTTTTCTTATAAGGACACCAATCTCTTCATGGGGGCCTCACCCTCCTGACTGCATCTAAACCAAATTACTTTCCAAAGGACCCACCTCCAAATATCATCATACTGGGGGCTAGGGCTTCAACATAATAGATTTTGGGAGGACGCAAGCATTCAGTCCGTAAGATTTGGCTTGCTCACAGCATGTCTCCTATGAGGAATGGTTATTGACACTGGTTTAAGTTGGGGGGTATTTATGTCTGACAAGAGGCTCAGTGGAACCTCTCGAGGGCCTACAGCTAGAACCACTCTGGGCAGCAAAGGCAGCTGTTCTGTCTGCCTGCCATGGTCTGTCACCATGCTTCATTCTTCTCTTCAGATAGGCTTCCTCTGGAGGAGTCTGGGAAGGTTCACCCGCATGATAGCTGTTCCCTGGATCTCTATGAGCTCCATGCTCTGCTGCCCACAGCCACCTGACTGTGGTGTCTGTGTCCTGCTGGCAGATCTTTGGAAGCTTTGTTTGGGCTGGTGTATACCCACCACTCAGTTAGCTGTGGTCTGGCTGAAGGTGCTGTGGCAGGCCTTGGCATCTTTGTGTGTGTGTAAGTGGGGACTGTGCAGGGGAGAGATTGGACTAAGGAGAAAGGCTGTGGAATCATGTGTTCTCTGCTAAGGAATTTCTTTTTTAACTTGGTAAAATATACATAACATAAAATCTACCATTTTAACCTTTTTTAAGTGTACAGTTTAGTCACATTAAGTGCACTCCCACTGCTGTGCCGCCATCACCACTATCTCTAGAGATTTTTCATTATCCCAAACTAAAACTGTAGCCGTTAAATAGCACCTCCTCATTACTCTCTCCTCCCAGCCCCTGGTAACCACCATTCTTTTTGTCTCTATGAATTTGACTTTTCTGTGTACCTTATATAAGTGGGATCGTATATTTCTACTCTTGGGACTGGCTTATTTCACATAACTTAGTGCCCTCAAGGTTCGTTGATGTAGCATGTATCAGGATTTCCTTCCTTTTTAAGGCTGAGTAATGTTCCATTTTGTGTATGTACCATATTTTGTTTATCCATTCATCCATTGATGGACACTTGGGTTACTTATACCCTTTGGCTGTTGTGAATGATGCTGCTATGAACATGGGTGTACCAACATCTGTTTGAGTGCCTTCTTTCACTTCTTTTAGGTATATACCCAGAGGTGGAATTTCTCGGTTACGTAGGGAGTCTGTGTTTAATTTGTTGGAGGCTCTGCTAAAGAATCATAATGCTGGCTGAAAGGCACTGGAGAGTTATTGAAGGGTTTGAAGCAGGTTATGCCTAATCAGATTGTGATTTGAAAAAGTAACTTGGGTGGTGTGGGCTGGGGAAAAGGAAAGGGCTGGCAAGGCTGTGGTGGCGAGACAAGGCAGAGAGACCCCTTAGAAAGCTCTTGAGGGGAAGGGATAGAAGTGAGCTTAATCAAGGTGATACAGTCAGTGAGACAGATTGGATATGTGGGAAGGAAGGAAGAGACAGGGAGAAGCCAAGGATGAGAACCTGGATGGATCAATTGTTATTTTGTGGAATTTAGAGGGAGTAAGATTTTTCTTGTTTTGTTTTTTATATTTTGGTGTGGGATGATTGATACAAATTTTGGAAATGTGTTGAGCTGTTAGACACAGCCAAGTGGTAGAGATGATTGGTAGGCAGGCTGTCGATAATATGGGTTGCTAATTTGGGGTAAAGGAGAAGGTAAGAATAAAGGAGCAGATGGCCATGCAATTTGGCTGAATTTAAAAGTGGTGGGGGCATTATGGATGCAGCGCCACAATTTCAGCTCCTGAGGAATGATGTCACATTCCTACCTTGAGACAACATATCAAAATTTACAAAACAAGGAAAGGTGGCCAATTCATTGGTTGTAAAAAGGAGCTTTCAAAAGGATTCTAATAAGTTCAAAAGGATTTAGACCGAAGCATAAGGATGTTGAATTTGGCTTATAGTCTTTTTGCTCATCTATATTTTCTAGTTTTTTTCTATAGTGAACATGTATTACTTTTAATTATTAAAAAGTTCCTTGAAAATTTCAAAAGTGGCCTATTTTCTTGACTTTTCTATTGGACCGTGAGTTCCTAGAGGGTGATGCAGGGAGGGGGAGGTACCACGATGTTCACTGTGTTCTTAGCACTTTACACCATGCCAGCAGCACAACAGGCCTCAATACTGTAAAAGCTGGTTGAACTGAATTGAATGGAAATTTAATCTAACCCCTCTCAGAGAGATGAGATTCGGTGCTATTTTAAAAGATCTAGGAAGGAAATTCCAGTTTTTCTGACTCCCTTAGCTCATTATATTAGGTACTGAACCACATCCTACAGACTTGGCTCCTCTTTTGCCTTTGTTTTGCCATCAGGATTTGCTGAGAGTTACTGTGTTCATGAAATCTTGCCACATTGGCTCCATTTTCTTACCTAAATATGTTTCTCATGCTATTCTTAAAAGCATTAGTGATCTTGTTGGGAGCCAAGTAGCTCAATTCTGTTTCCTGCCCTTTGTTGATAATATGTTTTTGGAGGAATGGATCAAAGTGGCTTGAAGCCACTGTCATTGTTTTGCCTTCTGGTCTGCTGTGACCAAACCAAAGGATGGCAGCTGTGAGGACGTGCATTGTTGTACGACTCAGTTGTCAATCGGAAATTTGCATACTTGTTTTCCCTTTGTATATCACTGAATGGCTACCATGTGCAAGAGGCTGTGCACTGTGCTTTCAGGAAATAAAGATGAATAAGGCATGATTCTTGACACCAAAGAGCTGATTTTCTAGAAAAGGTGCTGTCATGCATACATGACCACTATACAGGGAGGTTAATGAGTGGAACTGGAGTCAGATAAAACACACTTGTTACTATGCGAAGAAGAATCCCTGTAGGTGCTGTCTCTGGTGTATATTGCTAATGCTGTTATACTGCTAATGATGTTATAATATATGTGTTTTAAATGTCCTCATTTACAATTACCAAAGCAATAGATAACTGCTTTCACTAAGTTTTCCTGCAAGTAACTCTTTTGGCTTTGTTTTAAAAGTTCCTTTAGGCTGGGTGCAGTGGCTTATGCCTGCAATCCCAGCACTTTGGAACTTCAAGGCAGAAGGATCATTTGAAACCTGGAGCTTGAGACCAGCCTGGGCAACATAGCAAGATCTTCTTTCTATTTAAATCTAAAAAAAAAAAAGAAGTTCCTTCAAATTTAAAACCATGTTAGTGATTTAATATTCTTATTAATCATTGCAACCTCAGCTCTGATTTGTGAATATTCTTTCAAATTCTACGATAAAAGTGTTTCAACGTATACATTGTTCTTATCTGTGGTACTCTGAGAACTTCAAATTCAATGGAGGAGCACGAGATAAGATGAATTTTATTTTAACTTATCATCCATCTCCTCTTAGTTATTATTTAATTATTAATTTGGAATAACTCCTTTGTAGTACCATTTTGATATTGAATAGTGGAATTACCATGCTGGATGTGCTGTTTTGTGTAGCCATCTCTGTGTGTTGGGGGGCTATGTTGGTCTTGACATTCCCAAGTGCAGATGATGTTGACATATGGTAGGTGGCTTGCAATTTAAGGTTAGTGATTGGGTAGACTCATTAAGTTTACGTGGTAGGTCACAGATGGCCATTTTCAGATGCTATAGGTTGTTTATGCTGCATTCTCTTGGATTTTGAGGAACTTTTGAAATGCTGCTGTCAGTATTTTAAACGGTATTTTAACTTTGCAAAAGATACCAGTAAATGAATTAGTGTATGTTGAAATACAGGTAGTAATTTTGGAAGTTCTTGAGATGAGAGTAGATAGGGGAAGGAACAATTGCAATAATATATTTTGTTCTTCTTGGATGGACAGAGAGCTGAAAAGAACTGGCACAGCCTGTGGAGTTGCCTGGCACCAGTTGGCAGGCTTGTGGCTGGCCTAAATTGGTACCCTTAGATAGAGAGACTGCTTTTCTGGACTAGTAGCCCAAACTGAATATACTGCCAAGTCCCAAAGTTTTGAAACTAGAACATGGTCTGATAATTTCTTTCCTGGCCTTGGTACTTTGCAGATTGCCATAGTTCTTGGTAGTAGAATCCACCTGGGGCTAGTAAGAAGCGTAAGAAGCAGTAGAGTGAGGTGGCACCTCTCCTGGGCTACATCTGCATGGCAGAAGTGCTTATTTCTTTCTCAGGCCACAGAGGCAGAGGTGGTGCTTGGGATAGGTTACATCTCTATGTCTCCCACCTCCAGGCAGAGTGAGCCCTCTGAGCAGTGCCATATGTTTTCCTCTCTGGCCTTTCAGACAGTCCAGTTTCACAGCAAGCTTATCTTTTTCTTGTAAATCCTTAAGAAATAACCAACCCATACTCTGGCATCTTGAATTTTTTTCAAATTCTCTAATGCCACAGGCATAAAGGTCCAAGTCTCAAGATACCACGGGCCATGGTTTAGTCCACTATTTCACTATTAAATAGCGAAGATGATCATCTTGTCAGTCCAAGACAGCAGGTCCTCATGCCTGTGCCTTAGATCAGCCAGTTTTTGCTTTTTGGTGTATTATTTAGAACACTTCACTTCCTGGTACCAGTCTCTTACTAGGTAAAATGCTTTTTGTTGCAAATAATAGAAAATACAACTCAAACAGCTTAGACAATAAAGAGAACTAATTGGCTTACATCACTGAAAACTTGAGAGATGGGAGCAAGCTTCAAGTGCAGTTTGATCCAGAGGTTTGGGATGTCATCCAGGCTCCAGTACTAATAATTCTAGGTAATTTTCTTTTTCTCTTTTTTTCTTTTGAGACAGGGTCTCACTCTGTTGCCCAAGCTGGAGTGCAGTGGTGCAATCTCAGCTCACTGCAACCTCCACTTCCTGGGTTCAAGCAATTCTCCTGCCTCAACCTCCTCCTGAGTAGCTGGGATTACAGGGGTGTGCCACTACCGCCTGGCTAATTTTTGTATTTTTAGTAGAGACAGGGTTTCACCATGTTGGCCAGGCTGATCTCAAACTCCTGACCTCAAATGATCCACTTGCCTCGGCCTCCCAAAGTGTTGGGATTACAGGCGTGAGCCACCGCGCCTGGCCAATTCTAGGTAATTTTCTTGCCCTGTCCTCCTCCATGTGTCGTCTTCCTCTTCCTACCAACCCTCCTCATGAAAGTAGAGATGGCTGCAGTAGTTCCAAGTGTCACGTCTGCAAGTCACGCCATCCAGAGACAGAGAACCTTTGTCCTGGTATTTGAAGCCACAGTCTCAAGCTCAGTCACGTGTCCAGCCTTGAATCAGTTACACTGGCTAGAAGATGAGAATATGTTGATTGACTTAGCCTAGATCACATGTTCATTTTTGGTACCCAGAACAGCATGGATTCCTTGTGAGGGCTCTTGGAAGGGAGGAGGTAGATCTATAACAGTATGTGTCCAACAAAAAGTATCCCCAGTGCTCTACATACATTCTCATTTAATTCTCCCTAGAGCCCCATGCGAATTCTTCTAATGGTTTATGGAAATGTGGAGTTAGCAAGTGATTCTGAAACTTGTGCCCATGGTAAGCACATAGCTCCTTCAGAGAAAAAAACAAATGGATCCTTTTGGTGGAGCAAATACATGAACTAATTTCATTGACATGTCAAAGTGAACCAAACCAAGGCTAGAGATGGTGGTCACAATACCAGAAACCACCATAAGAAGATATGGAAATACCCCCACACCGTTTCCTTAGTGTCCTATTTTTACCTTGAGAATGAGGTAGGCTGTCACTGGATCTTCTCCCAGTGTCCCTAAATGCTAAAAAGATAAACAAAACAAAGCAAAACTGTTTGCATGATTCAATGACTCTTGGTGTCACCTTTTCACTGTGGCTTGCTTTATTGTATTTTGGTTTGCAAAATACAATATTCAGAGGTCTTCACTGTTTACCAGTTACCTGTAACTCAGCATTTCTTTTGCACTCTATTCCTCTTTGGATTAGAAAGTTGGGATGAGGTGTAAAAAATTAGATATAAATTCCACATTGGAAAAGATGGTGAAGCGGGTAATTACAGAGAAAGATTGGCTGCTTAATTATTGTTACCTGCAGGGAAGCTGTGTTGTCTTTCTGCAGCTGTTCCTATAAATAGACTATATACAGGAATCCACCCCAGGGCAGAGTTCCTCTTTGCTTAATTTAAATTGCTGGTTTGAGGTAGTTATTTTTGAAACCCTTCTCAGGTTGACTTCCCCCTTAATCCCTAAGCCTTCTTCCCTCATCTGCCAAATTATATGTAATGCATGGCAGCTAGAGTGCTTTTGGCATTACATGGAGCCTGAGAACTTGAACTTTGATTCAAATGTTAATTTATTGTGGACAAATTTATTGTGACAAATGGTCCTCTCCCTGTGCAAGTCCTTCTGTGGACTCTGGCTCTGGCTTCACCGTCTCTGTGGCTCCTGCTGCATTTCCATAGCATGGCACGTGCCTCCCACCCTCATCAGTTTTGTTCTGAAACAGAGCCCAGCCAACTTCAAAATATACAGAGCAGTTCTTTGGGCCGACGTTGTTGAGTTTTAGTGGTATCTGGGACTTTTCTTTCTTTCTTTTCTTTTTTTTTGAGACAGAGTCTCACTCTGTTGCCCAGGCTGGATTACAGTGGCGCAATCTCGGCTCACTGCAAGCTCTGCCTCCCAGGTTCAAGCAGTTCGCTGCCTCAGCCTCCTGAGTAGCTGGGATTACAGGCACTGCCACCATGCCCGGCTAATTTTTGTATTTTTAGTAGAGATGGGGTTTCACCATCTTGGCCAGGCTGGTCTTGAACTCCTGACCTCATGATCCACCTGCCTCAGCCTCCCAAAGTGCTGGGATTACAGGCATGAGCCACCGCACCTGGCCTATCTGGGACTTTTTGTTCCAGGTGTATTTGGCTTAAAATTATAAAAAACATACAGTAACAAAAAAGTTACTCTATTGTTTTTCTTTTTAGTGTTAAATACTTCCTTATTTTATTTATGGGAGAACCTCTCATAAATTCATCTTAGTCTCTCTTTTTTGGCTTTTCATAGCCAAAAACTTGTTTTAATAGGATCAGTAAAAAAGGATATGTTTGTGGGTTCATATAAATTGCTAGTAATTAATAATAATGAATTTCTTAATTACTAGCCCTTCCTAGTTCTCTTTAAACCAGACCAACTAAATGTAGTTTCTGCTGCTTCTACAAGACCTACTGGATGTTCTAGACTAGAAGTGGGGGACATTTGTTTAAGTTGCTGAGATTTCAGTAAGGACACCAACCTTTATAAGACATAGTGTGCCGAAGTGACTCCTTAATAGGAAGAATCAAATGTCCTTTCCACTCATTATCAGTGGCAGGTATATATGTAAGTATTTATTAGTATTCTGAAGTGTGATTGAGTATCAGCACACTGAAGTTATATAAAACTGGCTTCTACATTAGAAACATTTAGAGAGAATGGCCCAGATGAATTTAGTTTTACCATTTTACCATTTAGTTCTGGTAATATTAGGAAAAATAATACAGACACATGTGTGCATACACACATATCCCACACACTCCTATGCTCAGAAATTTGAAAGATTTTTAGTACTCTTGACAGTGATCAGATTGGAAGCCTTGGGGATTACCATTCTGCTGTTGGGTGGCACCATGCACATTAGTAGCAGGGTAGAATGCTGCCTTTGTAGCGTGCCTCTGTTTCCACTTGGTAGATTTTCACATTGAACCAAAGGGAAACTGTAGTATTTCTGGTCTGTTTACTGCGTGTTAATTTGATTCTGCTGTTATAGTGGCATGTCTGTTGGTACAAGAATTAAAAACGTAGAGGCCACTTTTATCAGGTTATGTTATACTGGTAGCCTGTGATTTACAAGTGGGTTGTGTTCTTTTCTTTATATGTCAGTATTGATTGTCTGGAATGAAATTTCCTCCCATAGATGCCATGTTAGACGTGGTAATTGAGTTCTTTCACATCAAATGCAAAACATTTTTAAGTAACCATAGCAAGTTTCATAATCTCTGAGCTTCAATTTTCTTATCTTAAAGTGGGAATGACAATACCTACCTCATAGAGTTATTGTGAGGGTTCAATTAATGTAAAGTTCTTGGTATAGTGTCTGATATGTGGCAAGTAAACAACAAATGTTAGCAGCATCATTTTTTATCATCTTCGAGGAAGCAGGTTCATATAGTCTGACATTGGTACACAAGGGCTGAGGGAAAGTAGGGGTGGGTTAGGTTTTTTTTCCTCCCCCTGGAGTTTTGCGACTCTCTGCTGAGGAGAAGACCATGGCTTTCTAGTGGCTTTTTCTGTAGGTGGACTTCACCAGGGAGGATGGACTGGGAAGGAGGTTCATTTGTGGCAGCAGGTTGGCAAATGGGGCAGCTGCAGCCAAGTCAGAGGCTCCTGATGTGGTTCATAGGGAGGAGAGGTTATGACATTTTTTAAGGCTAGTGAGAGTCATTTGGAGCTACCAGTGTTGGATTTCTGCAGTAGTGCCAAGAACCTATTTGAAATTATTTTGCTCGTTTAAATTGACCCCTTTCCCTCTCTTCTGCAGCTGGAGACCATGGCCAAAATGGAGGTGAAAACCTCACTTCTGGACAATATGATTGGAGTTGGGGATATGGTTCTTTTAGAACCTCTCAATGAGGAGACCTTCATCAACAACCTCAAGAAGCGCTTTGACCACAGTGAAATATACGTAAGTACACACGAAGGTCATCTGTAATGTTTAGACTTTGTATTTTGTGCCAGAGAGCTGTCTTTTCTTCCTCAGACTCTTCTTTCTTTTTTCTCTCTGTTTGAGTCCAGCAGTATTTGCTTTATACCCTCAGAAAGAGTTGAGTTTTTACTGATTTAGCCCATGAGTAATGTGGGTTAGACAAGTCAGTCTGCTTTCTGTGATCAACTGTGTGCAAGTATTGTAGTGGGTGTTGGGGGCATTCTAAAGCAAGCAGAATACTGCCCTCTGAGGAATTTAGAAGGAATTTTGAAATCCATAGGCATCTTCTTGGATACCTTCATAAGATTAACAAAGTCTAATCAGGGAGAAGCTACTCATTGAAATGCAAGGCAGTAAACTGTCAAAAAAGACATGAACTTTCTCGACATTTGTAGTTAGTAGGGACAGGAGCAGATTATCAGATAAAAATATGTAATTGGTCCCTGAAGATTTGGCTATAGTCATGTCCTACTGTACAAAAGTCTAATGCCATATACATAAACAGAAGCATAAATATGTATATGCTATAATAGGAGAAAATTTCCTGTTGTAAAAAGTCTTTATAAAGGATTTCACAGGGTCAAGTTCTCTAAATATTTTAAAAACATGAATAAAAAATACATTTATATGCAGCTTTTCTGGAGTTTGCATAAAGCATCTGCAGAAGTAAAGGTGTACTGTTAACTAAACCAAAGAAATGAGGCATTGATTCCCTGTACCTGCAGCTGAGAAGGAAACAGAATGTTTTGGATGGGAGTAGTTTTAGTGGACTCTGCCTCACTTCCTGAGTTCTCTTTCCTCCTTTTTAAAATGTGCATCTGTGCATGGAGAAGAACTGGATTATTGGGCATGCTTAATATTTTTCTGTTTATCATTCTAGGGAGGAAGTATAAATAAATAAAAGAGATAATACAGTGATACAAGTAGGATCAGTTATAACTTTTGTGGAACTAATATATTTTGTAAAATTATATGCAAATTATGAGCTATATTATTTTATATCATAGATAGCTCTCTTTTCTAGATAGCCAACTCTCTTTATCTGTTGGAGCTGCGATACCAAAATACCATAAACTAGGTGGCTTATAAACAACAGAAATTTGTTTCTCAACAGTTCTAGAGTCTGGGAAGTCCACGGTGAAGGGGCTGGCATATTCAGTGTCTGATGAGGACCTGCTTTCTGGCTCACAGATGGCGCCTTCTAACTGTGTCCTCACATGGTGGAAGAGGAATACTCCTTCATAAGGGCACTAATCCCATTCATGAGAGCTCTGTCCTTATGACCTAGTCACCTCTCAAAGCCCCACCTCCTAGAACCATCACATTGGTGACTAGCTTTCAATATATAAACTTTAGGGAGATAGAAACATTGAGACCACAGCACCAAACATGTTTCAAGGATGATTTTGAGTAATGTATTTATGAGATAGTAGTCATCCTCTAGGAATTGACCTTTTCATTCTTCTCACTTTGTATTGGTGGAGGTGGGGGAAGGTTGATGGTAACAAGAGGCCTGTGAATACTGCTTTTGGAGTCTTAATTGGATAACTGGATACTAAACTGAAATGTGTTTACAGTTCAGAGATGCGATTATTTAAAGTGCTGATCCAAATGGAAAAGGTATAAAACACTGCTGCAGAGCAGGGGGTGGCATTGTTTGGCTTGGCAGTACTGCCTGGTGTCACCTTCCCTCCAAGCGTAGCAGTTCTGCTTTCAGGTGGGAAAGCTGAGGGTTCTGCAGCTTTAATTGAAAGTATGCTCTGATATCAAATAAAAGACAGACTTTAAACATTGGTCTTTGAGATGGAGATAGGCAGAATCAATTATATTGTAACTAACGTTACCGATCATTTTTCTTTTTGGCTCTGAGAAGCACAATTCACTTTTAAATGAATTGAAAATAAGATGGAGAGTAGAACATTACGTGCATTCAAATACCTGATTTGTTGTGGCCACTAAAAATAAAACAATCACCTTTTTAACAAAATGCCAAGTGTTAACATTCATGAGTCTTTAGCAGACGAAATGTCTGGATTTCAGCTCTATGTAATTTTATTTTCTAAACGTCCTTTGTGTTTATAAAACAAAAGCAGAAAATTGATTTCAGCTTCCAGATATTCATATCAATTAATGTTTTTCATGATAATTCAGGGCTACTGTTTCCATGAGATGTGTGCCTTTGTTTTGTAACTTCAAACACCTCATGTTGGAGGGCTGGGCATTCTCTATTATAAGTGAAACAAGAGATTGTAAAGTAATGCGTATAGTATGATCCTTTTGTAAAAGATGTGTATGGGGGTTTACGAATATGTACATATGTTTGTATATATTTGTATGTACAGAGAGACAGGTATGTTACCTTCAGGTACCATAGTGGGGTGGGTTGGGATAGGGCATGGGGACAGGGAAGGTTACTCTTTTAGACCTCTGTATTGTAGGACTTAAGTCAATCATATATTGCTTTTGTAATTAAAAAAAAGCTGCATGATAAATTTGATTACCACACTCTCCAGCCCCACATGCCATGTATTCTTCCCTGGTGAAATCTATTTCTGGCTCTTATCCTGATAATACTCCTGCTTTGCCTTTGTTCATGGGTTGCTGCAAAGTTGTCTAGCTTGATGCCCAAGGCTAAGTTAATATGACATGGAACATTTTACTGTCTTCTGCTTCACTCTGTTTTTCAATTCTTTCCAAGAAAATGAAGATGCAGTTAAAAAAAAACATCTTTTAAGGTCTTATAGCTTCATTTTATATTATAAAAATGGGTGACTCTCTAGGGATGATCCATCATGTGAGCATATTGAACAGTAATTTGTATGTTTAGAGCTATGTCTGATAAGGGGGCCAGTGAACAGGAAGACCCTTGCCCCAGACTTTTGAACTCTGGATCTGGATACACCCATAGCCTCAGCAATCTCCTATGTGAACCAGCTCTAAATCGGGGGGTTCAGTTCTAACATCCTGCCATCCATCTCCTCTTCTCCTCCCTCCCCCAACATATTTAGAAATGAAAAATAGTCTGTATCTTCCCAGAGCTCTCGTGAGGGATTGCTTTGCCCCTGGGTATGAGTTACGACTCTCTAGAACATTCACAACCCCTAGTGATCCTCTGGATCTGTAGCAGCTGACGCTGGAAGCAGACTCCCTTGTCATCCTGTCGTACTAAACCTGAAGCTCTGGATAGAGCAAGGCATTCTGGAGTTAGTTGGAAATGTCAGGTAGTGTTAGAATGTGCTTTTTGCAAGTAGCCGTCACACCCACATTTATTCACCTGAAAATCCAGAAGTCATTCTGCTTTCACAATTGGTTTGATTTAGTGGCTCAGTGGTATCACTAAGGACTTTGTGACTTACTGTCTGCTTTGCCTTCCTTGGCTGTTTCTTTGTTCTGAGGCTTCATAGTAGCAAACCAGCTGCAGCATTCCAGGCTTTGCATTCCCGCATCGCGCTGGCTAGAAGAAGAGGCAGTGCTGCTTCTCTTCTGGCATTCCAAGTCAGAGTCCTGAGATTTACCTTGGTTAGGCTGCCGGAGTCACACTCCCTTCTCAAACCATTGACTGTGGCCCGGAGATGGCATGACCTGAGCGACTTAAGAAAGTGATGTTTAAGATTGGAGTTGAACCAGATTTTTCCAAAGTAGATAGGCTGTATGTGAGGGGGTGGGTTCCCAACCAAATATATCTATTCACACACTAAGAAGAGAAAAGGGGCAGTGGATGCCGAGGAGCCCACTCACTGTGAACTCCTCACCGGTTTGGTAGGGAGTTCTGTAATGAAGTGGCTTTTTTGATGTTGATGTCATGTTAAAGGATGTGTCCATGGGAAGAATTGGTCACTTGAGTTCTAGGCTTCAAGTGCGCCCAATGGCTTGCTTCTCAGACTTTTCTGCTGGTGAACTTCTAATGGCAGAGAAGAGTAAACAGCTTCCCCCAGGAACTCTGGAGCATGGTCGAAGTCCTGCTTCAGGGAAATTTTGCCGAAATGTTTACTTTCAAATGTAATTCAAAGCTTTATACTGTTCTCTAGTGCAGATGGGTTGTTTTGAACTAATATACCCCTTGTAACCCTTTGAGTAAGTTGCATGCTCCAGAAATATCTGTTCTTCACTTTGAGGTGGGTTGACACACTTGTTTAAATAGCACTGGATTGGTTCATAGCCATCTGTGGCCTGGTTGAGTCTCTAAATCTGGGACAGTGGCAGATATTGACGTGGTCTTCGCAGTTAGGGCTTGGGCTATTCAGTTGGAGATGGAGGAGGATCAGGTGAGATGAGATGGGGGAAATGCTGAAGTGATGCTGCAACACACAGGGTCAGAGACTCTATTTGCTTTTTATTCCTCCATCTTGGCGGAGTGTGGTTCAAGCTGGGCCCAGCTGCAGGACATGCTGTTTGGTCTGACAGGCTCCGTGGGGTCAATGGCTGGGAAATGCTGGTCGTGACGTTCCCGAGCACTGCTTTTCTGTTTGCTTTCTGTCCTTTGTCAGACCTTCTTCCGGCCTCCCCTCCCCGGCCCCCAGGCCAGATGGATGGTAGCAGGATTTCATGTGGACTTTTATTGTGATGTAGGAGATGGCAGAGCTGAGATCCGGCCAGACATGTTCTGTTTTTAGGGTGACTGGTCAGGACTGTGGTTCTATTCAGGAACAGGAAAGCTACAATTTAGGCAAGAACAAGGCCCAGTACAAATTTGGAAACCAGAGAACCAAGGTGTCTGTTCTCTGACGAGAAGTATATTTGGTGCTGACCAGTAAATTTAGTTTGTTTTCTATCTGAATTGTAAGATTGGGGATCATCTAGATATAGGGGCCTGAGTTAGTCTAATTTTTAGATCTTATGTTAAACTAATTGTAGTTGTAGGAGTGACTACTTTAAAAGTATAGGAAAAGTTGTCTTAAGTTATAGAAGTTAATACTAGAATTAGGATTCCCAGGATGAGATTAGATACTTTTATGAAAGATACTCAAGATATAGTACCATATATTTGATTTAAAATATTGTAAAGTTAATGAAAACAATACTGATTAACACATTTATTTGAAGTTTCAAAACCACTTTTCATTTATACACATGAAAATCCCACCTCATGGGTATAATCTCTGTTCCTGGGAATTTGGCGTAGATGGAGTAGTAGTTTTCTCTTGCTACAAAATAAAGTGCACAGACTTAGCAACTTAGAATAACATACGTATATTATCTTGCTATTCCTGGGGTCAGGAGTTGGGGCCTGGCTTAGCTGAGTCCTCTATTCAGGATTTTCCCAGCTGTAGTCAAGGTTTCAGCAGGGCTGCAATCTTATCTGAGGCTTGAACCTTTTGCAGGCTCATGGTGGTGGTGGTGGAGAGCAGGGCTGGAGTTCAGACAACCACCTGAGTGTTATTCCTGTTACTCAGCCCTGTTCTCCAAGTTTTATTCTTTATAAAATTTTCCTTTAAAGGTTTTTTAAATTACAAAATAACAAATGCTTTTGGGAAAAAAAAATTTCAAATAGTACAGCCAGACATATCATAAAAATGTAGTTTTCTCCCTTCAGTACCACAGGCCCATTCCCAGCGTGAACAGTAATTAATAGAATGATGTGTAATCTTCAAGATTATGTTGGGTGAAAAAACTAATTTTCTTGTTCTAGAGTTGGAAGTAGGAGGAGGTTCTCTTTTATCTAGACGGGCAGACCTTTACCCAGGTAATCCAGACCCAACAGAGTTTGCATGGAACAAGAGCAATCTTTAATGCCACCTCCAATCCCACTTAGATGAAGTAGGGAAGGAAGGAGGAGGGATCCCAGCCCTGTTAACATGAAATGCCTAGACTTGGTTGTATGTGAGTGGTTTACCATCAGTAGTGCTCAGCTTACTCTGATCGCTGCAAAGGTAGACCATTAAGGTAAACATTGAGAACAAATTGTGTGTGCCTTCCAGAGTGTAGCTTTGGTGTTTGAAACGGAGACACAGCTTTAGAAGCCTAGATAAAGCTGTTGAAAAACAGCAAATCATGAGGGTGAAGGGAAATGTCATGTCTAATTTCTGAGCACCATCTATCTCTTGGACAGTCATTTTTGCTAATAACTTGCCAGCTTCAACCCATGCAAACTTTCCTACAGCCTTTGGTGATTGGAAAATTTCTTCCTCTTAGAATTTTCAAAGTTGACACATATTTGTTGCTTACCAAACTTAGAGAGTTTTTTCATCATGGAGGCACTGTATAGGGCTTGAAATATTTGTATAATACTTACAGTGCATTAACTTAAATATTCTGGTTGAAGCTAAACCTAAGGTTTGATTTGAAGAAATTAAGGCCTGACATCAGATCTTTTGGAAGCAGTATGGTAGCACTAAGAAGCAAAAACTTGACGTCTAGTCCTGGCCCTGCCACTTAGTGAGACCTGGGACAAGTTAACTCCTTGGAGACTGTTTTCTTATTGGTTGGTAAAATGATAAATGATAACAAAGGACATTTTTGATTTCCTTATTGGTACCAGCTGCTGTTCTAAGCACTTTACATGTATTATTCATTTAATTTTCACTAGAGTCCTATGTACTATAGGTTTTTAAATTATCTTCATTTTACATATGAAGAAACCGAGGCTCATAAAGGCTAAGTAACTGTCCACGATCACACAGCAAGTAGGTGATGGAGCTGAAACTCACACCCAGGAAGTTCAGCTGCAGAGTCCATGCTCTTAATGATAGTCCTGCTGACTTTCCATGGTTGCTGTGAGCATCAAAGGATACTACTGATACAAAAGCCCTTTCAATTCTCAAAATAATTGGGTATGATATTGAAGAATGTGTAGGTTTGGAATGAGGCAATCTGAAAATGACCTGGACAAATAATCAAAATGATAATCAGTATTCCTGCCATGTGTTGAGCTGCTCAGCAGTGCAGTGACATGAACCAGCGTGACATAGAGCAAGGACATTCATTTCTAAAGTCATAGGTGATCATTACATGGTGCTCTCAATTCAAAGGAAAAGTGATAGCAGCCATGACAATGATTTTTTCCCCACTGTGGAAGGTGGGAGAAGATACTGGGAGGAAAGTATATTTCATCATGTTCACAGGATGACAGGTAACTGACAGCTGCACATGGCTCTTCACCTTTATGAGCACGAGAGAGGAGGAAGAGGAAGCAGTTCGGCACAGGGGACACGTGGCCAGTTAATTCTGTGGCCAGTTCAACTGTCCCCTCTACACATGCATCTGTGTCTGTTGTATATCCATAGTGCAGAAAAATTTTAATAATCCTAATTTCTAAAGAGAGGCTATTTTGTTGTTCAAATTCTGCTTTGGAAGGAGTGGAGGGTGAAATGACATGGCATACTGGGAAAGGTGTGAGCTTTTGGCTGACAGACCTGTTTGAACCTTGGTGACTTACAGTCACTGTGACCACTGTAAGGAATAGAGGTTCTCTCACCCATAAAATGGTCATCGTGGTACTTATCTTGTTGAGTTGTGGTGGGGATTAAGGGACATCTTAGTCCAGTGCCTATCACATGATGAAAGTGGAGTGCATGGTAGGTGCCCCGACTGTCTGAAAAACTTGGAAATCCAGAATCACTTTTTTTTTGAGGTTTCAGACATTGATGTTTTCTTTTTTTCGAGACAGAGTCTAGCTCTGTCCCCCAGGCTGGAGTACAGTGGCACCATCTTGGTTCATTACAACCTCTGCCTCCTGGGTTCAAACGGTTCTTCTGCCTCAGCCTCCTGAGTAGCTTGGATTACAGGCACATGCTGCCACACCTGGCTAATTTTTTGTACTTTTAGTACAAACAGCGTTTCACCATTTTGGCCAGGCTGGTCTTGAACTCCTGGCCTCAAGTGATCCACCAGCCTCGGCCTCCGAAAGTGCTGGGATTATAGGTGTAAGCCACCAAGCCTAGCCAAGACCCTGGTATTTTCATTAGTTAGATTCTTTCTCTTCTCCCCTTCCCTGCCTACTTCTTTCCCTCTTTCTGTATTCCTTTCATAGCAGTTCCTGTGTTTCATAGCAGATTCATTTTTGTTACATTACTACTTTCAATTAACCACAGAAATATTATTTTAAAGACATATTGTAAATATTATCCCTTTAATACAGGACCACAGGACCATGCTGTTAAGAGAGTTTTATTAAGTCTGGAGAATGGTATATATTTGGAAAATACTTGTCTCGTGACACAGTTTGTCTCAACGAAGATATGGCAGTATTGTATTATCCTGCTCTAAAATAAAGACGCCTGAGGTGATATTTTTAGCCAGTATTTCAGCGTGGCGTTGAACTCATATATAGTTCTTTAATTCATAGTCTGAAATGACTGGCTGCAGCCCAGGAACAAGAGTATAATATGATGGTAGTGTAGGCACGTCTTGGACTAGGCAGCAGAGACTGTGCCTGACAAACTTGCGGCCACCGTCGGCAGCCACGGTTTGCGGGACGTCCTGGCCTCTGAATGAGCTCCTGACCCAAGGCCAGTGATTTAAGGCACAACTTAGATAAAAAGATGAGCAAGGCTAGATTCTTTCCTCAAACTTTGAATTGAGAAATACTGAAAAAATAAAATATCAATGGGATCAAGATGCTGAGGGTGATGAAGTCGAGAGGAGTACATGATAGGCCACAGGCAAACAGAACCTATGAATAAGAGGCTTTGAAGTGGACAGCCGATGGAGTAGAAAGTGAGGGAACCAGCTTGCAGCAGGCATGAAAGAAACAAGGGGAGAAGCAGAGACATGGGCAGGGGCGAGGCTCATTGATACCAGAACTGGAGAGGAAATCTTCACAAACTTGGGTTGTGTTGGTTCATGAGCCGTCCTGGACCCATAGTCACCCTCAGGTCCCAGATTTGTTATAGCCTGGGATAGTTGTCAGGGGTTCCTAGGTGAGTTCATTAATACAGGAAATGGACCTGGATGCCAAGCAGCTGAAAGAGCCTGACCAAGTCACTGTTCTCCGTCCTATTGTCATAGTCTTTGATGCAGAGCTTTGGGATGAAACTCTGCTTCTGCCACTGATTTAGAAACCTTGGGCAAGTTATTTAAAACCTTCTAATGTTTCCAGTTCTATTCCCCTGTAAAATTAGGCTATTAGCATCAATTTTATATGTCTATTGCATATGCATCACAAATATGTTTCTGAGACTGGCGACATGAGATGCATACACTGAATTACATTTTTAAAAAATATAAGGCCCAGATAGACACCTAAGTCTGTTATTCACCTTATACTTGTAATTTTTACTTAGGCATTTTGCACAGTTTTGAACTATGTCTAAAAAACAACCAAAGTGTTTGGTAGACCATACTGTGTCTTTAAAAAAAAAAAAAAGACCGAGGCCCTCTGCAAGGAAATTTGGGAAATCTTACAGATGTCTAATTAAAAACACCGTGGCATATGACATCTTAATATCTTGTGATCAAATTCCCAGGGTCTCAGACCCAGGAAGGAAGTAGATTCCTCATATTGGAGTGAATAGCATGTTGTCATTTTTGAGGATTCCCACTGGTCTGTCTTGTATAGTCATTTTCTTAGTATCCTAGACTTTTAATATTAGTTTTATTAAGACATACCTTATGTGCTTATCTGAAAATTCATCAATTTCCTGTATACAAAGACCATTTTGGGTTGGGTGCCGTGGCTAATGCCTATAATCCCAGCACTTTGGGAGTCTGAGGCGGGCCGATTGCTTTAGTCGAGGAGTTCGAGACCAGCCTGGGCAACATGATGAAACCCCGTCTCTACCAAAAATACAAAACTTAGCCAGGATTGGTGGCATGTACCTGTAGTCCCAGGTATTCAGGAGGCTGAGGTGGGAGGATGGCTTGAACCTGGGATCGGGGCTGCAGTGAGCCAGGATCGCACCACTGCACTCCAACCTGGGTGACAGAGCTAGACCCTGTCTCAAAACACAAAACAAAACAAAACAGACCATTTTGTAAAAGTTTTTAAGACGCTGGTGTGGTAGGACTCATTAATGAATTTAGCCATGGTATTAACATATTTTATGTAGACTTTCAAGTCCTGATTTGGCTCTTTACAGTAGCCAATAGATTCCAGTAGAGCCCAGCTAAATTTATATAATTATAATAGGTAATATTTATGGAATGCTTGCTGTGGGTCAGGTGCTGTGTTTGATGTTTTGACACACAACCTCATTTAATCCTCAGAATTAGATGAGGGAGGAGCTAGTATGCTTCTTGTAAAGATGAGGAAACTCAGGCCAGGCGCGGTGGCTCACGCCTGCAATCCCAGCAAGTTGAGAGGCCGAGGTAGGCGGATCACCCGAGGTCAGGAATTCAAGACTAGCCTGGCCAACATGGTGAATCCACCTCTCTACTAAAAATACAAAAAAATTAGCTTGGCGTGGTGGCGGGCACCTGTAATCCCAGCTACTCGGGAGGCTGAGGCAGGAGAATTGCTTGAACCAGGGAGGTGGAGGTTGCAGTGAGCCAAGATCGCGCCATTGTACTCCAGCCTGGGCAACAAGAGTGAAACTCCGTCTCAAAAAAAAAAAAGGTGAGGAAACTGGGATGTGGAAAAGTTAAATAATGTGCCCACGTTCACACAAAACTAGAGAATTTTGCCAGCTAATTTGGAGCCAAGACTTACACAATATTTCAAATACATTGAAGAATTATTATTATGAAATGACATAGGTAGAATCTGAGTAAAGAGCTTAAATACTATACTTAGGTCAGAATGATGTGGGTTCAAATCCCATCAGTTTCATCATCTAAGCCCCTCATCCCCCACTGACTTTTCACTTCAAAACTGCTTTTGGACTCAAGCTCAGACTGCTTACGTGAAGTTCAAAGGCTCTCTACAGTTTGATCTCAGTCTTTTTTTTTTTTTTTTCCTGGCTTTAGCAAGAATTTTTTATTCCAGTCGTAACTACTCAGGGGATGTCTTTGTTTTAGGGAAGCTGTTCCATTCTCTGTCTTTGGTATGTGCTTGGGTAGGCCTTTGTGCCTCTGTCTGTGTTTTAATCTGTATTCTAGCATGTGTCAGAATTCCCTTCCTTTTTAAGGCTGAACAGTGTTCCATTGTACGTATCTACATTTTATTTATCTATTCATCTGTCGCTGGACACTTGGGTGACTTCCTCCTCTTGGGTATAGTGAATAATGCTGCTATAAACATGGGTGTGCAGATATCTGTTTGAGTCCCTGGCAAATTGTACTTAAAAAAATATATTTTGAAGAAGATAGCTTAGCTTAAAAAAAAAAAAAAGAAGAAAGAAAGGTGGTGGCTGGGCGGCATTCAGCTATCACCTGAAACCTAACGTCTTATGTCACTCTTTGGGGGGAACTTTGTCCAAATCATGCCCATCTTTTTAGACCGCTCAAGCTGTCTGTCTTCTCTGGAGCTTTCTCGGACCTCTGCAGTTCATAGTGACCTTTCTTTATATAACCCTGGAGCACTCATTAGACAGTAAAATAATCAGACTAATGGCTCATTTAGCCAGGAATCACATCCTGTTTCATCTGTTTTAATGTCTAGAGAAGTTAACTCTTAAATTTTATGTTTCTCTATCTAAAAGACTCACTTCCTAAGCTATATTATAAACTTCCCAGGCACACAGACACTGGGAGCTTTGTATTTTTCCTACCATGCCCAGCATGATGTTTTGCATAAAGTTAGCCCTTAATAAATTTGTTGCTTGCATGTAAAATGGTTTGTAGCCTAAAATCACTCTATCAGTCAGTGCGATTGTGCAGCCTTGTGATGGGTTATTCTTACCTGAATCCTGGCCCATCCTGGATTTGAACTATAGATTGGTGCAAAAGCAATTGTGATTTTTGCGTTGGAAGTAATGGCAAAAACTGCAATTACTTTTGCACCAGCCCAATACTTTAGAGGCAAAAGTAACATGACTTGGAGACCCTTGGAGATGCAGACGACTCCTATACCTTCTCTGATATTTCTTTGATGTTATTTTAGACTAATTCGTATTAAGATATTTAAATAAATATTGCCTTTTACATCACCACATTCCTGATTTATTTCTCTGAAGTTAAAGAATGATTACGATTGAATCTTTTCTGGTGAGAGCAAACATTTTCCCTATAACTAGAAGATCTTTTCCTTTTCTGTTTTGTTTATTCCTGGCGGTAGAAGGATTTCTCAGGTGGTAAAATGGGAGGCTTTTGCCTAACAGAGTAGCGCTTTATTACACAAAGGTTGAAGATGCTTTATATGGCATTGTGCAACACAAGTTTCCTCCGTTCTTCTTGCGTGCTTTTTACCAAAGCTTCCCAGGCCTAACAGACGGCATGGATTGTATGCTCTAATGAAAAGAGAACAGATTCTTGTCTCCTTGTCTTGATTTCACTTCTGCTAGCTAATGTGGTCGTATCACTTAACTTCTTTGTGCTCCTTTGTTATGGACATTAAGATAGAGAATTTGTATCTATCTCTTGGGGATTTGGGAGTAGTTTAGTAGAAAGGTGTGTATGTGTATATTCTATGCCAGCTGTTCAATAGGTTGAGGATGAGTTTTTAAGGAACTCCAGAGACATGTAAACAAATAACTGAAATTCATCCTGAAGAAAATAAGGAAGCAGGTAGGTAGACAGATTGGATGCCTAGTTAGAGCCCAGCAAACAGAGGCTTTAAAAATAGATTTTGAGAGAATTCGATATTTCAAAAAAAGCATCAAAGTACATGATGGCAAAAATAGGTCATTATGGGATTTTCTTACATGTATTTTATGGTGTAGTTATACATTTTAATATCATATGAGAAACTGAAATGTAAACCTTCAGGATTTAGGGCTTCTAAAGATCTCTATCTTACCCTGGGAAGAATTATGATATAAAAGATATTAAAACTATTCTGACTTTTTAGAAGAAGTTTTATATACAGACTTGGAAATATTCTGACTGTTCTGTGTATGTGTGCTAATGTTTCATTTATCTGCCTTTGCGAAGGAATGTTACACATTATTGAGACTTACATAATATTAAAGCTGTGCTAAAATATTTAACTTTTTGGTTAGATATCATTCTAAAATGTATTGCATATATCCTTGTCATCAAAAACAGAATACACTGATTTTGGCTGTTGATTATTACCCTACGTTCCCAATTAGTGCCATAATAAAGCAGTCAGGGCCGGCTAAGCCATGGGGCTCTTGGGTCTTACTATAAATATTTTTATACTTTGATAATTATCTTCATCACTTCTTACTTATTTTCTTTCTTTCTTTGTCCCTCCCTACTCTTCCTTTTCTATTAGTGGCCATTGTTTCTCTGCTTGCAGAGGGAGTCTTAACCTGGTATATCACATGTATGCAGACTTCAATGTGCATGTGTGTTTTTCCAAGGAGAAGAGTCATTGCTTCCGCTGGTGTCTCAAAGGGATCAACAATTGAAGAAAGGTTAAGGAGTGCTGTGTAGCACAATTTTTTAAACTGCAAGTTTCATATCATTAATTGCTCATGAAAATCATTTAGTGGGTTAGGGCCAACAGTTTTTAAACATTTTGTAAAAAATATTAGAATCGAACAAAAAATATCAATGTATCACATATAGTAAAGGGTACTTTTGGTTTTGTGAAGTTTTTATCTTGTATATGTGTGTGCACATAAATAGACATACATACACATACCTGGTTGTGATGAAAATTTTATTTCTTATATATGAGTTGTAATCAAACATTTCAAATTCACAGCTATAGTACGGCCCTTTTTGCCTCTTCCAATATACAGATGTTGCTGCAGTTTTTCTGTAGTCTATTGAGACTATGCCAAGTTTATTAGAAATGTGGCTAAAATGAGAGTGAGGCTAGAAGGACTTTTCTTTTGTTTCAGAACTAGTTCCATAGGAGTATTTAAAGGGGAAGGTGAAATAGAAGATAAGCCAACAGCAGCACTAGCAGGTTGTTGCAATTGAGAGTAAAACCTGGTCCTGTGAGTCTGGAAGGGAAGGGCTACAGACATTGGTTTTCAACCCTGGTTCCACATTAGTTTATGTTGGGTCTCTTTCAAAAAAGTACTGACCCCTGGCCGTTCCCTACATCATTGAAGTAGAATCTCTGAGGATTGGAGTTCTGAAAGAACTTTCTTATAGAATAAAACACGTGGCCTTTAGGTTATATTTTGACTACTCAAAGGCTTTTCGTTTGGCTTCTGAACAGTGGTCTGGGGAGTGGAGGTGGCTAGATTGAATGTCCTCCAGAAAAGACCTCTGTTTTCATGGTAATTATGCTAAGAACACTCAAGTATTATTTGATTATTTACAAGACATCTGTTTTGGAATGCTAGAGATACTTGAAATCTAGGAAGGTCGAGATGGTTTTGACTTAAGAATGTTTGTGCATTCTTGATTCAGTGTCTGCCCTTGAGAAATGAAATATAACCTTGCTATCTGTATGTGCCAATTATAGAAAGGTAGAGCTTGTTTTCTTCTCCCTCTTCCCTTTTTCTTCTCTTTCATTCTTGTTTGCTTCTCTTCCCTCCCACATCTCTTTCCTTTCTTTTCCCTTCCTGGGTGTCAGAGGCTGGCCCACTGAGCAGAGGCATAGAGGGAGCTTTCCATTGTCATATTAGTGGTGGCATGGACCTGAGGGCTTAGGGGAGCTGAGGTTCAGAAACGTGGAGGGGTGAGCCTAGAAATGCCTGGGCTGGTTACTTCATAATGAGTTGGTTTACCATCCTTTTTAGAGCGTGATGCAATAAGAAAATACCAACTGTAAATAGTATGCAGTTGTTTATTTAAAAAATGACATCTGATTCACAAGTCCAAATGTTAATCAATGTAAAAATGAACTGTCTGGTCACTATCATTCTGATCCTTGAAAAGGAGATTTAATCTGGTGCTGTAGTCACCTGAATGTAGAATTGGTAGCTACCTAAAACTAGAGTAGAAATGTTAAACCCCACCCAGCAATCAGCTGCTATCAGGAATGTCTTTCTGTGTCTCAGAGGAAGCAGAGTTGTGACTGTGAACATTTGAGTTATTCTACTGGCCCATGTAGGAATATTTAAACCTTTGGCTAATGCACATAGAACTTTGAGGAAGAAATCCATAAACAGAAAGGGCAGGTATAGGATGAACCTGTTAGGAGTTCAAGGTTAGAAGATAAAGAGGATATCTGAACTGTATAAAGTGGAATGGAGAGAGAAAGCATAGTTTCTTTTAGTGTTTGCTTATTTAGGTGGATAAAACTTGTCCTGCTTGGCACCATTTTTAGTTTCTTGAGTCATGTAGGTATTGATGAAAAGAGTCAAACTCTAAAATATTTAAAGAGATTTATTCTATGCCAAATATGAGTGAGCATAGCCCATAACACAGCCCTCCTTGGGAGATCCTGAGAACATGTGCCCAAGATGATTGGGACATTTTAGGCAGACATGAGACTTCAACCTAGAGAGGTAGAACAGCTCGAAGCAGTGAGGCTTCCAGGTTATAGGTAGATTTAAAATTTTTCTAACTGGCAATTGGTTAAAAGAGTTACCAATAGAAAGGAATGTGTGGATTGCTATAAGAGGTTGTGAAGACCAAAGTTTTATCACACAGATAAAACCTCCAGATACCCGGCTTCAGAGACAATAGATTGTAAATGTTTCTTATCAGACTTAAGGTCTGAGTCGATGTTAATGCTGGAGAGGTATAATGAGGCATGTTCGACCCCCACTTCCCATCATGGCCTGAACCAATCTTTCAGGTTAAATTTTAGAGTACCTTGGCCTAGGAGGAAGTCCATTCTGATGGTTGAGGGGCCTTAGGATTTTATTTTTGGTTTACATAGGTGTATCAGTTACTGTTGCCATGTAACAAACTACCTCTCAGAAATTAAAGGCTTACACCAACAGCCAATTATTTGCTCACGATTCTCTGGGATAGCAAGTTAGCCTGAGTTTAGCATTGTATATTTTCTGCTAGTCTCACCTGGAATCACTCATGTGGCCTTAGGCATCTGGTGTCCTTACTGGGGCTGGATGGTTTAAGATGGCCTCACTCATGTCTAATAGTTAGTGTAGCAGGCTGTAGGTCAGGATACCTTAGCTCTCCACAGGACCTCTCTGACAGGCTAGCTCAAGCTCATTCACATCATGGCTTCCAGCCACAGTCATAAAAAAGGAGACACATCCTAATACACAAATGCTTCTCAGGCTTCTACTTGTGTCTCATTTGCTAACTTCCCTTTGGTTAAATCAAGTCACAGGGAGAAATTCCAATTGAAGGAGTGGAGAAAAAAACTCTATCTTTAAAGTAACAAAGTCACATTTCAAATGGGAAGTGCATGCAGGGATGGAAAGAATTGTTCTGGCTGTTTTTACAGTCTACCAGAGTCAAACGACATTTAGGGATTTGTTAAATGGTAATGTTACCGGAAAGGAGTCCCAATCCAGACCACAAGAGAGGGTTCTTGGATCTCACGCAAGAAAGAATTTGGGGTGAGTTTATATGGTAAAGTGAAAGTAAGTTTATTTAAAAAGTAAAGGAATAAAGAATGGCTACTCCATATGCAGATCCATTTTTATGGTTATTTCTTGATTATATGCTCAATAAGGAGTGGATTATTCATGCCTCCCCTTTTCAGATCATATAGGGTACCTTCCTGATGTTGCCATGGCATTTGTAAACTGTCATGGCACTGGTGGGAGTGTAGCACTGAGGATTACCAGAAGTGTTCTCATCACCATCTTGGTTTTGGTGGATTTGAGTTGGTTTCTTTACTGCAACCTGTTTTATCAGCATCGTCTTTATGACCTGTATCTCATGCTGACCTCCTACCTCATCCTGTGATGTAGAATGCATAATCATCTGGGAATGCAGCTCAGTAGGTCTCAGCCTTATTTTACCCAGCCTCTATTCAAGATGGGGTTGCTCTGGTTCAAACACCTCTAACAGTAACACATGGCATATAGGCTGATTAAAATACTAAGCACTGAGTATAGTATATTTGATCTTATATTTCAATGCAAGAATAATTAGATGTGTTTCAGTGGCTTGTACCCTCCAATTAGTGATGAACATACCCCATGTGATTTGGTCATTTAGTTAACAAATATTTATTGTACATCATGGTGGGCCAGACACTGTTCTAGGTGATAGAGATGCAGCTGGGGGAAAACAAACACACATAATTCAGTATGTGTAACAGTCACAAGGAACAAAGAGAAACTTACAACTTATTACTGTGGCTTTTGATTTTGAATTTGAGGCAACAGAGTTTGTTCCCTGTGCAAGAATGCCACAGAGGCAGATTTTTATCAAGAATTTAGCCACTGTGAAGTTTGGTTTTAAAGAGCAACTCAGTAAGTGGTTTTTCTGCTAACAGCAAATCAATATATTTTAGAAACTATTGTATTCAAGAAAAAGGGAGAAGGATTCAAATAGTACTTTTCTACTTAAAGAAGGTTGATTTTTTTAACCAATAGATGTTAAAGAAATAACCAATGGCTATATTTTCATATTTACCAAGGCTACTAATTCTAATGTATTAGCTGGAAGCTATTCAGACAAGTATTCAGTGTCAGGCGTCTCCCATCTGATGTTTGCTTGTGACATTGTCCTTGGGAGACATCTCCCATCTCCTAGGTGGGTTGCAGTGTGAGGACAACCAGAAAACCTTGAGAAAGTTTTGTCATTGTTTGTGAGGCCAGATTAATTGGGTCCTAGTGATAGAATGTTAGAAATAAATGTGAAAAATTGCATGGGAACTGAGAGTTTTCTTTTACAACAGCAATCTTGTCCACCCTTGACAAGATAATATTTGTCCACCTTTGACAAGATAGTATTCTTACAGGATGAAAGTGTGTTTATATATATATATAACCTGTTCAGTTTTCCTAGTTGGGAGAAAGTCCTTCATAATTAATATCATTGTGACCCCTGTAAAAAGAAAAAAAAAAGTCAGCAGAACATTTCTACGTTCCTTCATTTTCTATTCTGTTTAATTTTCTAGAAATATCTGACAGTCTTTTTGAATCCCAGTGGTGGTAATACTGGAAAAACTTGTTGCTCTAAAAATGGTACCTTTTGTGGGATGACATTGGAAAGGTGGGAAGTTGGAGATCTTTTTTTCCCCTTGTTTCTTTCTTTCCTTTATGAACCTTTTTCTTTTTAAAAGTTATATCGCTCATCACTTTATCACTTAGTTTATCACTTTACCACTTTTGTTGGCACCTTTTTTCCCCCTCCTGTCTTTTATGATGTTGAAACTGAAGGGGAAAATGGAGCTGCCAAGATAAGTTACAGTTAAGTGACGTTTGCTTGTGGCATTGTCCTTGGCATTGCACAGAAGGAACTAAACCAGCACCACTGGTGCTGCCAGGAATTTAGGGTCGAAGTAGACAGGAAGAGAAATTGTGTTCTGGTTTAAAGTTCAGTGAGAAAAGTTTAGTACATGCTAAAATATAGCACTGATCCCTCAGAAAGTGCATTTAAATTTTACATTAAATGTAAATTTGACATTAAATTTAAATGTTGACATTAAATGTACTTTCTGGAAAGTACCTTTAAATTTGACACTAAAACTCTGATATTATGTTAGATATAATGAGATTATGTGGTTTGAATGTCCAAGAGATACCTGTAGCTCTGATACTGAATTGAACGTGATCTGAGCCCATTGTGGAAAGATTGACAGACTTGCAGAGGGCCAGTGCCAAAGGGAAGGCCCTATGAGGTGTGGGTAGGGAAGAGGGGAACACTGGGATACTGTTGACTAAAAAGGTGGAAAAAGATGAGAGAAGAAGGGGAACTATAGCTCTATCTAGAATCAGGGAGAGCATGGCTCTTGCTTACAGTTAGCAGTAGTTTGTGACAAAATTTGTGGAAAATATGACAGGGCTTTGGAGAACTCTTACCGAGAACCGTAAATTAGTTCAGAGATATACTTTGAAAGGATTTTAAATATATAAATGTATGCTTTCCATTTATCAACAAACTAAATAGACATTGTTGACCATCTGTCTTCAGAGATGCAAAGCATTCTTAAAATGTATACAATGAATGGTGAAGCAGAACTAGTGTTGATTTTAAAAGGTTGAAACCATACAACACTAAAGCTTAAGACGTTAAAATACATTTTGTGTACTAACTAATGGGCATGTTTTGTTCTTTCTTTTGCAGACATACATTGGAAGTGTGGTTATATCTGTTAACCCATACCGGTCTTTACCCATTTATTCACCAGAGAAAGTGGAAGAATACAGGAACAGAAATTTTTATGAACTGAGCCCTCACATGTAAGTACTGTACTAAAGCATTAAGTTTCTCTTTTACTCCAGAGATGTGTAGTTGACAGATGTGTGCAGCTGTCTCCTTTGAATTTCAGAATAATGTTTTTGTCAGTTTTTTTTAAAAAGTTTGATAAAAGTATGAAGACTTTAATTGTTATTATTTTAAATTAAAAAAAGGCAGAATACTTCATTTGACGTCAGACTTTTCTGAAATATTTGGATTCAGGATGTAAAATATTTTCTGTTCAAAATTCTTTGCAAGTAGCAGCTGCTGCTAATTATTTTTGCAAATAAAACAGGAATGTGCATTGTTTATTATTATAAAGAGCCTAAGCAGCTTTTTCATAGTGTTGTTGGGCCAAGAAAAATCCTGAGTGTTGGGTTGTGTGATGGTGTTTGGGTAAAAGGACCAAACAATACCTTCAGTTTGTAATTTTTGCAGACAATGTTCACCAGATGCGTGGGATAGGCCAGTGATTTCACTTACTCTGGAAAGTCACTTGTTTGATTTTTCTGAAGAAGGTCACTTGTTAGTGTAAATAATTCCTTCACAGTACCTGTAGATTCTGTTTGTCTGCTCCTTTAGAGTTCTTCGTTGACGTGCTTAAGAGATGCCGAAATGATTTGGCCACTTTATACCACTACAATTTTGTTTTCTAGTCTGAATGACTGAAACATAACACTGGAAAAGTTTGCCTGGATTTGGTAGATCCGTGGTAGAACCGGGTTATTCAACCCTAGAACTTTTATTCCTCCAAATAAAAATATCTGAAAAAGAAAGTTGGAGAGAGAATACCCAGAAATTATCACAAACAATACCTTAAACTTTTTATTTCTCAAAAAACTTTTTTATTTATTCTTATGTTACATTTACTGATTCAAGACAAATATGTTCACCATTTACATTCTCATGTCCACTACTGAGTTTAAAGGAAAGAGAAATATGCTAAGTTGGGCCAAGTCATGTAATGAGTTGAGAGCCTCAGACTTCTCCGCTTGTTGCTTAGGCAGAAACATTTCCTGCCTCCTCTCCTGTGGGCATGCAAGCATTTTTACCAGAATTCACGTACTTATGATTGTCAGTTGCTGCAAGGGGCCCACGGTGTCTTGCAGACGGGAGTTGGTTGATGCAGCATAACATCTTTTATGCAATAAACTGTTGAATGCAGATTTAGAATATTTGTGAACTGCTGCTGAACGTGGGCTGGGAATAACGTATGCAAAAGTGCCTTGGAAGGTGTCAAGCATTCTACAAAGTTATGTTGTTCGTTATTACCACCATTGCTATTACTTTTTCGCAGTAGCATCATCCTCTCTCTCTCAAAACAGATGATATGCTGAAAACAACCCCAAATTGTCATGAAATGCACATAAATACATGTGCATGTAGATATTGATGAGGAAATGTTCAGTAAATGTCTTGGTTGCGGAAAAGATTTATTGGTCATTGGCATATTGGTAGCGGGGCATTTGAAAATGGTTAAGCTGGCAATTTGGGTCACTTTAGAGTTGAGACATTTTCAGTCTTTTTACCGAAAGCAGTAGTACTCAAAATGGGGCAGTTTAAAACCCCAGGGGACAGTTGACAATGTCTGGAGACATTTTTGATTGTGAAACTGGGGGTAGGAGGGTGCTTGCTGCCAGTGGGTCAGGGATGCTGCTAAGCACCCTTCAAAGCATATGCAGCCCTTCACAGTAAAGCGTTGTCTGTTAGCCGTGTCCATAGTGCCAAGGTTGAGAAACCCTGAAATGAAGTGAAAGAACCTGCAGAAAGTCTCATTATGTCCTAGCAGAAAGGATTTTCTCTGTATGATTAAAGATTGGCTTTATTAATTTTGACAGAACATAAAATCTAATAATTAAGGAACATATATATACCACTGTCCAGATGCTTGTTTTAGTTTCTCTTGATAATGCAGCATGCAGCGATATATTTGGGCTGTTTGGAACTAAAGATTATTTATTATTTAAATGTATGAAAATGGTTATTAATGAATAAATCTGCTGGTATATTTTACCAGTCAAGCAAATTCTGATCATTTTGTTTTCTTCTAGAAGTAGATATTGCAAGTGTTCTTGTTTCATTTTGCCTTAAGACAAATAATATCTGAAATTTGTTTTATAAAGTTATCCTGATAGTTAAGCCCCTGTGATGAAATACTTTATTTGATACCTGAATATTTTAAATTCTAGTCCTCAAAGCCCCACTTCTCAAAGTATGGTGCTTGGACCAATTGTATCAGAATTCCCCCAGGGGCTTATGAAAAAATCTGGATTCCTAGGTCTTACTTCTCATAAGCCAGGAATCTACATTTTTCACAAGCTTTCTGGGTGATTCTTAGGCGCATGTAAGTCTGAGAACGTGTTGCTTTAGATCTATATTTAAGATGTTTTTCTTTCCTTTCTTAACTACTTACTGCAATTTGTGATCTTTAACAATAATAATAGTAATAATAAAAGTATTTATGGCTAATATTTTATTAAGTACTTACTATTCTGCTCTAAATACTTTATACGTTTTATAACTCATTTCATTCTGAAAATAATCTTGTGAGATAGGCACTATTACAAATGGGGAAATTGTCACAGAAAGATCAAGTAACTTATCCAAAGCCACACAGCTGGTGGGAGTGGAGCCGGGGTATTAACATTGGTTGCCCCTCTTAGCTGGAAATGGGCTTGCCATTTTCATGACAGGGCCTCTTCCTGTGCACTTCCACCCCACTACCTTTGGTTCGCCTGTGTTCCTACACCACAAACCCTCCAGGATAATCTTGACTGTGCCTCAGTTTACCCCCAGCAATTGTCCACATGCTCTTTTTGCATTTTCAGCTTTAATCTCCATTCTGGGAATGTTTAGATATATAATGTTTGGGTAGATAGAGAATGTTTAGAAGTCTATTCTAGGTCATAGAAGTTCATGCTCCAGAATATACATTTTTATCCTGGTGCCTGGAAGATTCCTGTAGGAGGCAGCATGGCACTGCTACTCTAGTTCACACCCCTCACCCCCAAGGAAAAGAACCACCACGAGCACTAAAATAAAATACATTCTCAATGTGCTTAGGATAAAGAAAATGACTTTTTACCATGGCCTACAAAGCACTACGTGGTGAGCAAAGTACAGTTTTACTAATGCATCTGAAGTTGCCAGATCCCTCTCATTCCCTCCCATCTTGCTTGTTCTGTCAGTCCTCACCCCACCCTCACCACATTCCCTCTCATGGGAGCATCCTTGCATAGAATTCTGTGCCTTCTGCCTGGAATGCTTTTCCCTCTTTCTCCAAAGCAACTCGTGTTCTTCCTTCAGACCTCAAATTGCAGAAGACCTCTTAGGGAGGAACCGTCCTCACTTGTTCCGTACTAAGGCTAGATCCGTTGCTTTTGCCACATTTACTATTTAATGTTTGTTTAAGGGATGATTTGTCTAAGAATTTGATGAGGGTTCAGTAAAAACATAGTGAACAGGACTTGGGTTCAAGTCCCAGGTCTTCCATTTACAAGCTATATAATCTTGAGCAAATTACTTGAAAAACTTCAACTCAGAGAAATTAAGTAATTAGCTTATTCAGTGGGAAAAGAATTATTAATTAACTCCTGGGATTTTTGTGAGGGCCAAATATGTAGTTGATATTTAGATAATGATCTAATACGTATAAGGTGCTTAGCATGGAATCTGCCATAACTCTGTGAGAAAGGAAAGCTATTTCTATTAACAATGAGAATTATAGCAATTGTTGTAATAATAAGGTATGTGGGACACATTTCCAACATTCTCACATGCTCTGTCTCACCACTTTCTGCATGGTGGGTCATTTTCCACTTCCTTTAGTGTATTTTCCTGCATTTTTCTTTGCAGATGTTCATCTTTGATGGTATTTTGAAACAGGGTCAATGCTAACTTGGTTCCCTACTAAAACAGCCTGGCATTCTCAAACAGGATGTTTGTGATGTAAGGGGGTAAGATGACCTTAGCTTTTGATGCATTCTAACTGTAAATATTTCATGAATTTAGTTCCAGTTTGAATAGAAAACAACTTAAGCAGCTGCTCAGACTACATACTTTGAAAACTTTGCCAATTAACTTACCCAATATTACATTTGAAATTTACTTGTCAATTTTTTTTTTTTTTTTTTGAGTCGGAGTCTCGCTCGCTCTGTCGCCCAGGCTGGAGTGCAATGGCGCGATCTCGGCTCACTGCAACCTCCACCTCCCAGGTTCAAGCAATTCTCCTGCCTCAGCCTCCCAAGTAGCTGGGACTACAGGTGCCCGCCACGACGTCTGGCTAATTTTTGTATTTTTAGTAGAGACAGGTTTTCACCATATTGGCCAGGCTGGTCTCGAACTCCTGACCTCATGATCTACCCTCCTCCGCCTCCCAAAGTGTTGGGATTACAGGTGTGACACTGTGCGCAGCCTTTTTTTTTTTTTTTTAAGAGATGAGGTCTTGCTATGTTGTCCAGGCTGGTTTCAACTTCTGGGCTCAAGAGATCTTCCTACCTCCTGAGTAGGTAGGTGGGACTATAGGCACATGTCACTGCACCTGGCTTACATTTGGAATTTAATTTGAGCTGTGTTCACTGTTAGTCTGCAAAAGCATCCAGATACTTTTGTAATTCATATGTTTTGAAGGTGTCTACAATTTATCTTTCTTTAAATTTTAGGTAATTAAAAAATAATTCCATTTTGTATAAGTATATGACTTTCAGATCGTGGAAATGTATAGATTGGTTTCCTACCTATTTTCCTTTCAAAAATAGCTTTCTGTTATCATTTGTGGGTCTGTTAGTCCCCCAAACATGGAACTCCTCAGCTGGACTCCTCCTCTGCGGCTCCTTTCCTTCTCTGAACTGTCCCCGTTACGTGTGAAGCCACATCTTTGAGCAGGGTATCACTGGGTGGCATCCCCAAGGAAATGTGGCTGTGCTGTGTGGCAGAGCCTATACCACCATTTGCTTTTCTAGTTAGGTAAGTGATGTCTTTCCAGTATGATTTTTAACTTCTTTGAAAATAAGGAAGGTAAAAAATGTATTCCAGGGAGGACATTTCAGAAACATTTCAGAAAACTCAGTAACTGGATTCATTGAGAACTGCCTCAGATTCCCAAACAGCATTGATAAGGAAAGGCTGAGAAGGGAGAGATGAGGGAAATAATCAAACTATAGGTTGAGCATCCCTAATCTGAAAATCCAAAATCTTAAATGATCCAAATCAGAAACTTTTTGATCACAACATGACACCACAAGTGGAAAACACCACTCCTGACCTCCAAATGCAGTCAAAATGCAGTCATGCAACATAGAATTGATTCCGTGTCCCTAAGAGAAAGGTAAAATTTCCTTCAGGCTATGTATATAAGGTGTATATTAAATATAAATGAATTTAATGTTTAGACTTGGGTCCTATACCCAAGATAATTTTGTATCTGCAAATATTCCCAAATCTGAAAAAATTTGAAATCTAAAACACTTCTACTCCCAAACATCTTGGTTAAGCGATACTCAGTCGATACTTAATCTCCTTCCACTTAGTTGCAATAGCACTGTGACAGTGCACCTTCAGATATTTTAGTTACCAAATCCACTGGCCTTTTGTGTTGGGTGATTGCCTTTTAACCTTGCAGCAGTTGATGCAGTTTATCACCAACAGATGGATCTTCTAAAATCAGATCATGTTACTCACCTTCCTAGAAACCTTCATGGGCTCCCTATTACTCCCAGTTCCTTTAGTGTAGTGTTCAAGGCCCTTTACAGTCCAGCTTTAGCTGTCCTCCCTGCTCTCCTCCAAACCCCACTACTCTCCTTTGTGGAATCTCCTCTTGAGCCAGAGCCATTCATGTCTTTTCCTTTCTACGTCTCATACCCTGTACCTTATCTCCACTGTTAAAATCCTGCCAGTCTTCTATGGTCTGTCTGAAAGACTTGGTCAGCCCCAGCATAATCCACAAGGGACTTGCACTGGCCCTGAGTTATCAGACCACTCGTGGTCGTCAACACACCTCTTCTTGCTATGGTTGATTAGGTTTTGGTGTCACCCTCTTGAATGAGATAGAAGCTTCTGTAGGTTAGAAACTTTATCCTGCACATCTCTGTGGCTGTCTCCAGTGCTTTTCTCTTCAGAGCTCAACAACTATAAAACAAAAGAGATTTTAGGTGATTTTTCATTACATTTTACCTGTGTTATGGCTGAGAGTTCAATGAAATCAAAATGTACTTGATAGGATACTTGTGGAGTTTATTCAAAATTTCATGCAGTATAATGAGAATTTTTTTCATTTTTTAAAAAAAGCAAAAATATTTTTATGGTGCTCTTCAACTCTTAAGTATTTGTTCAGCTTCGATTTGTTCATGTTGTCTGTATGTCTATTGGAAGGAACTTGCCACCAGAAGAAGAGTGTATTGTGGTACCTGGCAACAAGCCCTCTGGTGGTCATAGCCCAGGAGTGAGCTGAGATGTGTCCTTCTTAAGTTAGGATATAATGTGATGGCCATATTACCTTAGGCATTGCAGTCACAAGGTGAAGCAGTCTTTCCATGTTAGTAAATTACAAACTCAGCAACAAATGTTAAAACTTAGACAAGTGGCTTACAGCTTTGAATAATTTCTGGTTACCCTCATTTAAAAATGGGTAAGCAATTAGTGGGAGCACCTGGTATAGTGCTAATGTCAGTTGTCCAGAAGTGAGCCCTCCGTCTGTGGACTCTTTGACCCCTACTTTTGGGCCAGACTGGTTTTTCAGGATCACATACCGTTGCCCATGAGTGATGTTGCTATAATGCTTGTGTGTTTTGAGTCTTTGTTGATCCTGTTACCATTTTACTCCATTCAAGGTGAACCAAAGTAATTTTATAAAGAACATTTCTGACTATATCTCAAAATGTACCAGTGCTGTGGTTGAGTATACAGAGGTTAGGTTAAGATTCCAGGGCAGAAGACTCACACATTATTTCTTTTATGTAGTCAGTTTTTTTTTTCTGCAACGGAGTTGAAATTCTGTGAATTAAAGCTGTGTTTGAGAGCTCTTATTGCAAGTAGATTCTGAATTCTCCTGTAGAGGTTGCTTGTGCAACTGGATGTGAAAGTGCTTTCTGAAGGGTGTGTGTGCGTGTGTGTGTTGATGTGATGTTGCTGAGGCTGTTGTGTTATTTCTTTCATTTTACTTTTGGAATAGTTGAGCCCTTAAATTGATCCAGTACGTCTCCACAAATAAGTTGCAGAAAAGGGTTTTATGCTTTCCCATCTAGCATTCTTTTTATTTATTACTGTAGAAGAGATATTCATTTACTGAGCAAATATTTATTGAGAGCTTACCCTGTGCCAGGCAGTCTTTCAGGCACTGGGATACAGCAGTGAACAAAACAGATAAAATTCCTGTCTTCATGAGAGAGGCTAAACTCCAGCTTAAGTATTTAGAAGTCAAGATTGTACACACCATTGGTTAGAAGGGAAAAAGGGAAGAGCAGAGGAAGGGAAGCTTTCATGAAAAAAAAAAATTGAATCTTAAAGGATATTCTTATAAAACCCCCTTTGAGCCATATCTAAGGCAGTTTAAGTCAGTAGATGACAGATTGTGGTCTGCAAGGCTTTGCATCTGTCCAGGCCTCAGATCTACGCAAGTAGCTTGTACAGAAGGGGATTAGAGCTTTGTTTGCTCTCCAGTTTAGATGCCTTAAATAAACATCTCGTGTGTAATGACACCATCTTGAAAATAGCTAAAATTACCCTTTTCCTTTTATGCATGACTGTCATGGGTCAAAATAAGCAGAAGGCAGGCACTGTGTTTGTTGTCAGTCTTGGGGGATATTTGTTTGATTCTGGACAACAAGGATTAGAAAACTTCTTGACTTAGGCGAGTTTCATATCAGCAGTGCAATGTCCATGTGGTGGTCAAGCTCTGCTGTTGACTTGAAGCTTCCTGAGGCTGGGTCTGCAGTGGGAAACATCTCTGGGCGTCGCACCTAATTAGCTTCTGTAAATGCTCCACGAACTGAACTTGCTGCCTTTGACTTTCAAAGTTTTCTTCCCAGTATGTTGCTTTTTGTGGCTATTTTCAAAACAGCTTCTTTCAGCCGGGCACGTTGGCTCACGCCTGTAATCGCAGCACTTTGGGAAGCCAAGGTGAGTGGATCACCTGAGGTTGGGAGTTCGAGACTAGCCTGACCAACATGGAGAAACCCTGTCTCTAATAAATATACAAAATTAGCCTGGCGTAGTGGTGCATGCCTGTAGTCCCAGCTACTCGGGGGGCTGAGGCAGGAGAATTGCTTGAACCCAGGAGGCGGAGGTTGCAGTAATCAGAGATCATGCCATTGCACTCCAGCCTGGGCAACAAGAGCAAAACCCCATCTCAAAAAACAACAACAGCAACAACAACAACCCAGTTTCTTTCAGGATATGTACTCTTAGCAGAAAGAGACCTCAGCTAATTTTTCTTCCAGATCATGAAGCTTTTAAAACTCAAGTAGGAAGGTTGATTTGATGCCAGCCTAATGTTTTTATCATGAAAATTGTTATGATATAAGAATACATTTATTAATTGAAAAGTGTTTCTGGTACATCTGGGCAGTTTCAGAATCCTAATTTCTAGACCCTCAATTAGAGTTTATATCCCTTCTCACCAAATGCACATCTCAGACTCGAAAGAGTTTATTGTAAAAATGCTGTTTGTGAAGCCAAGCCTATGTTCACACCGGCATACACGATAATTTCAGTGATACAATCTTAAAGGGAAAAGTTTGGTTCTCAGCAAAACAGCTGCTAACTGCCAAGATGTGGCTGACCTTTGACAGACTCTGAGAAGTTCTGCAACATCCTGGAAAAGATCCATTTCATCTGGAGAAGCAGCACTGAGGCCTTGGCTGCTGAAGGATTAGTATAATTACTTCATCCCTGACAGAGAGAGCCACAGTTGGAACCCACCTGGGAAGCCTTGTCTAGGGAGGTGGGAGGGGTGCTGGCCCCACCCTTTGTTGTTGAAATTGGAATCTTTGCCACAATCTGTTGCTGGGACTGGTGTGGCAGGGTAAGTAGGGCCAAAGGAGCCCTGTGGGGATTTGTCTGAACAGGGGCTGACAAAAGCTGGTCCCCATCCAGCCAGCCCAGGGAAGTTAGCAAAGCCAGGGATAATGAAAGTGTTCAGCAGAGCGAATATGAGGCCCTAGTCGTGAGACTGCGGAACTGAGGGTGGTGATGGGGCCACCACAGGGGTAGAAACTCACGTAGAGGGGAACAGGCCCAGGCGTACCAGCCCCAGGTTCCAGTTCCAGCCTGTCCCAGGGATCCCAGATCCCCAAGTGCAAGTGATTGTTCATTCATCTGATAAACATGATTAAGCATCCACAACATGTTGAGGTGCTGGGAATACAAAGATGAATTTTCCCTTAAGGATTCACAGGCTGGCGTGGGAGACAGACTGATAAATAAATACCGAAGGGAGAAAGCAGCCATAAAAAAGGTGGGGCATGTCCTGGTTTGCCCTGGGTAGCCCTGGTGATTCCTTTTGTAGCAGCATAATTATTAATAGTGCTCTTGGAATTAACAGAAGAGTCTGAGAATGAGCAGTAAGTGGTGTGGTCCCCTGGGAAATGGGGTACAGCCCTGCCTGAGGAGCTAGGAGATGGGATGGAGGACCCTTAGGTGATGAGTTTGCCGCATGGATAAAGAATAGGACTCTAGGCTCAGGAGAGAATTTTCTAGTCAGAGGGAACAGTGTTGACTCAGTCATTCATCATACGTTATTTGGGTGCCCACCGTGAGCCATGTACTAGTGTACCTACTGGGGACACAATGGACAAAAATCTTGGCCTTTTTGTGCTTACATTCTAGCACAGAGAGAGACAAAACACAAGAGACGTTAATAAAACAAATGGCATTTTAAATGGTGACAAGTGCTGTGGAGAAACAACGTGGGGAAGGGGCATCAGGGCTGTGGGGGAGTCACGAGTGGTTTACTGGTTTAAATAGGGTAACCAGGGAGTGCTTTATTGAGATGTTATATTTCAGTATCATCGTCTAGGGGTAAGAGGGAGAGACGTGATGTGTTGAGAGAAGAATGTTCTAGGCAGAGGCAACAGCAGATGCAAAGGTCTGAAGGGGAGACAGACCGAGCTAGAACAGCATGGCACATCAGTGATCTAAGTTCGTGTGGTTTCCTAAGGTTGGAACCTAGGGTGCAAACTGAGGATGGGCAGATGAGGTAGAAGAGGAAGAGCAGACCCAGGTCACAAAGAACTTTTGTGCTAAGGATTTTTAAGCAGGTAGGAGGAGAGAGAATATGAGCCTTGGGATTTGAACTGCTGTGGGTGTACAGAAAAAGAGAAACTCAACGAGAGGTTTAGGTTTAGGGACGTGGTAGGCTTTTGCAGTAAGGGACAAGGACAGAAGGCTCATCTGAGGATGGGAGGGACACTTTAGAGGCAAATCCATAGGATGCAGTGGCTGAACAGAAAAGGTGAAGAGAGAGGGAGAAAGGGGGATCAGAGGGAGAAAGGGGGATCAGAGCCCAGTCACAATTCCTGGCTGGGATGGAGAGGTTCAGAGTCCCAGGCAACCCCTGGAATTGCAATAGCCTGGAGATAGTCTTGGGAAGCAGTAGTGGGTACCTAGAAAAGCATGGCTCCAGGTAATTGACAGCAGATAATTGTATGTTTCTAACATCATTTCTGATACCAGGTGTGTGACATTTTTCCCCCAGCACCAACCAGTTATCTGACACTAACTGGGTGTCCAACAGTTCAGTTTGTTTACTGGAAAGGGGTCCCCCAAGAGAGAGTTCTTGGATCTTGTGCAAGAAATAATTCGAGGTGAATCCACAGAGTAAAGTGAAAGCAAGTTTATTAAGAAAGTAAAGGAATAAAGAATGGTCATTTCATCCCATGAACAGAGCAGCCCTGAGGGCTGCTGGTTGCCCATTTTTATGGTTATTTCTTGATTATATGCTAAACAAGGTGTGGATTTTTCATGTGTTTTCCGGGAAAGGGATGGGCAATTCCTGGAACTGAGGGTTCCTTCTGTTTTTTTTTTTAGACCACGTAGAGTAACTTCCCAACATTGCCATGGCATTTGTAAACTGTCCTGGCGCTGCTGGTAGTGTCTTCTAGCATGCTAAAGCATTATAATTAGTGTATAATGAGCAGTGAGGGTGACCAGAGGGCAGCTTCCTCGCCATCTTGGTTTTGGTGTGTTTTAGCCAGCTTCTTTACCGCAACCTGTTTTATCAGCAAGGTCTTTATAACCTGTATCTTGGGCTGACCTTCTCTCTCACCCTGTGACTAAGAATGCCTAACCTTCTAGGAATGCAGCCCAGTAGATCTCAGCCTTATTTTATCGCGCCCCTATTCAAGATGGAGTTGCTCTGGTTCGAACACCTCCGACAAACTCAGTTCTGACACTAACTACACAGTTAGCACAGACCACACAGGTCAAAGGCTTAGTCCTACAAGAGTGCCCCACTTCAGACACCAGCCATGAATGGGGTACCCTGACTACTCACACTTCTGCTTAGTCAACCCCACACGTTTGGGGGTTTCCATGATCCTCAGGTTCAATAATTTGCTAGAACAACTCACAGAACTCAGGATGATACGTTTTTTAACATTTACTGGTTTATTATAAAGGATACAACACAGGAACAGTCCAGTGGAAGAGCTGCAGAGGGCACGGTGGGGGTGTGTATGCAGAGCCTCTGTGCACTCTGGGAATACCACCTTCCCAGCATGTCAGTCTGTTCACCAACCTAGATCCCTCCATCTCCCCAAAAAAACAGAATTGTGTTCAAATTTTTGTAACCCAATCTCCAGCTCCCCTCCCCTCCCTGGAGGTGGGGAGGTGGGGTTGAAAGATTCCCCCCCACTCTAATCACAGGCTTGGTCTTTCTGGTAAACATCCCTATCCTGATGCTACTGAGGGGCCCCACCTGAGTCCCCTCATTTGCATAACCTCAGGTATGGGCGAAAGGGACTTGTTATGAATAATACAAGATACTCCTGTTACCCAGGAAATTCCAAAGGCTTTAGGAGCCCTGTGTCAGGAACCTGAGACAAAGACCAGATACATTTGTTTTTATACCACAGATGTGGACATGTGTATTATACATTGTTCTTAAGAAGCCATAGAAAGCTTGTCCTGAAATACTCGAATCCTGGCTTCCTGAAGCCAGGTTATTGTTGGAGTTTCTGTATACAATTTTAGAAAGCTGAATTAGTAGGCCACCTTTTTCCAAGACATGTTTAAGGGTAGCAACAGTTCAACTCAATAAACATTTGAGTGTTGTGTGCCCAGGATCCCATTCAACCCCTCCAAGTCATTTCCCCTGTCTACTGCCTTATCTTTTTTCTTTCTTCTTCCATTCCCACCAACATAACATGCTGCAATGTTTCTCTTGATTTCACATCTCCTAGCTACCATGCCATTTGTTTCCTTTATTACCAAACTGTTTGAAAAGTTGGGTATGCTTATTGTCTCTAGTTCATCTCTTTTTCTTTTGTAAATCACTCTAATTGGGCTTTCATCTCCCACTCCACTAAAACTTCTTTTCAAGATCATTTGTGACCTCCATGTTATCAAATCCCATGGTCAGTTTTGAATCCTCTTCTTCCTTTATCAGCAACATTTGACAACATGACCAGCTCCTTCCTGGAACCCTTTTAAAATTTGGCTTTCTGGCCTCCACATTTTCCTGTCTTTCCCCCGCCTTGCTGGCTGCTCCATATCCAGCCTCCGCATTCCCGTGGCAAGTCCAGGGGCTCCACTCTGGGACCTTTGCTTTTTTCCTCTGTAGGCATTATTTAGATGAGCCTACGTGGGCTTCAAATACCCTCTGTGTGCTGATGATGCCTCCCGGATTTAGATCTTCAGCTGGATTTCTCGCCTGACCTGCAGGCGATCCAGCTATGTTGAGCTCTGCAGCATCTCTTTGGATAAGGGGCATCTCACACCTTAGCACGCTTCAAACCAGACTTAGGATTGCCCCACTCCCTCTTCTCTTTCTCACCTTGGTCAGTGGCAGCATCATCCTTTGGTTACTCGATGCAAAACTGTTTTTTTCCTTTTCTCCTATTGCACACTCAGTCCATCATCAGCCTGATCATCCTAACCACGTCCATAGCCACTTGTGCGTGTGCCAGGCCACTACCCTCCTTTGCTTGGATTATGTTGGTGGCCTCCTCACTGTGTCCCTGCTTCAACTCTCCTGTTGCCTCCGCCTGCCTCCCCTCAACCGCCAACTTTCTTATCTTCATGAATGTTATGGCCACTGCCTAGAGTGATCTTTTTTAAAGATCTCCATCAGATTGTTTTTCTTTGCTGCTCACAAAACCTGCAGCAACTCCCTTGTGGCCTGCATGGCTCCACTTGATCTGGGCTCTGGCCACCTCCCTGACTGCATTTGTTACTTCTCACCCTCTCTTCCCCAGCCACGCTGTCCTCCTTGCTGCTTCTTGAACATGCCACTGTCAGCATCACTCTTGTACCATAGAGGGGCTGACTTGTTCTCTTACTGCAATCAGGAATAGCAATCCCTGAAATAGCCAAGTCCTTCCCCAATCACCTGTTATTCTCTTAGGCTACTTTATTTTTCTTCAGAGCATTTGTGCTTACCTGACATCTTGCCATGGGCTCATTTTTTGTTACTTTATTGTCTTTTGCATTAGAATGTCATCTCCATGAGCACTTGCGCTTTATTTTACCATCCCTGTATCCATAGTAATTAGAACAATGCCTGGCGCAGAGCAGCCACTCCATAAATATTGGTGGAGTGAGTGAATGAATGAATAGATTGGTGGGGAGTGGGAGAGCTGCTGTTGGTTAGAAACTGTAGAAGACATGGTTTTGTCTTTAAGGATTGTCCATTCTAGTTGTGGGTTGGGGGTAGCTACATAAGCTGCATTTTAATGTAACAGTATACTTACAAGGAACAAGTTGGAAGTGCAGAAAAATTGGTGGGTTCAGAAATTCTGAAGATGCCACTTGTGTTGAGTCTTGAAGAAGAATTTTTTTTTTTAAGACAGAATCTTACACTCTCACCAAGTCTGGAGTGCAGTGGCGCAATCTTGGCTTGCTGCAGCCTCCACCTCCTGGGTTCAAGTGATTCTTGTGCCTCAGCCACCTGAGTAGCTGGGATTACGGGCATGTGCCACCACGCCTGGCTAATTTTTGTATTTTTAGTAGAGATGGGGTTTCACCATGTTGACCAGGCTGGTCTCGAACTCCTGACATCAAATGATCTGCCTGCCTCGGCCTCCCGAAGTGCTGGGATTACAGGCATGAGCCACCACGCCCGACCTGAAGAAGGAATTCTTGAAGTAGGTGGCTTTTGTAGTTTATAGAAGATAAGACAAAAGACCAGTTTTGGCTATGGCATAATGACCCTGAATGTTAGGAAAGGGAAACGGTATTAGAGTTGAGAATGTAGAGCTATTTTTCAATTTTAATAAAACATTCCAATACCAATCTGCTTGAATCATTGGGAAGACTGAAGGATTATGAAGGTTATTCCAAAGTAATAGGAGGAGAGTTTGGGATAAGGAAATTACTTAAAATTGCAAGCTATGTGTCTGGAAAAATTGCCATCTTGCATTTCAGTCATGAACTGGAAAAAATTTTCAGACTTGTTAAATATGCCTAAGTGTATATGTGTGTAAATGCAATTTTTTAATGAATGAGTGGTGAATGATTTAATGTTGAAATGATATAAGTGTAAACAGATGTTAATTCATTTGTTTTACAACAGAATTTCTAGTTGCTATTGGTGATGAGTCACAATGTAATTTAGGAAGGGGCAACATTTGATATGAAGAATACTGATTTTAACCTTTATTAACTCTTACGAAACCCTTTGAAGCCACCCCCTTAGTATATTAGTGTTCATTGGATGCATAGGTGATCAGCTTGAGATCCAAAAAGAATATCCTTGTATCCTCAGTTACAGTAGGAACTTCCTAAGCCTTATAGATGACTTAGCCTGCTTTCACATAAATTTAACAAGAGAGGAATAAGTTAGAGTATATACATTTTCTACTAATCTTTTTCCATCAGTCCACATCAACAGCCAAAACTTAGGCTGTTTTAGCACCTGGAGGGAGAGATGATTTGGATGGTTTTGCACCACAGACCTCTACCTTGGGAAAACACATGCAGGCATAATCATAGGTTACCTGCGGAAGGTCTTAGGTTACTGGCTTAAGACCGGAGGGTTTCATTTTTACTTTTATCCTCTATATTTTCATGAAGGATGGGTCACTAAGGGCCCTTGGATGTTTCTTTAGGAATTGCTAGTTTTTAAGCCGTTGCTTTGCCTTCGAAAGACATATTTTCACACTCATACACCCTACCTCACGTTTGGCCATGCAGTGTTGCTGCTGCTTCTATCTATATTTATAATTGGTTTGGCCGTTATTAATAGCAGAAGCTTATGCATATTTTTCTCATGTGAATAGCATTATGGATTAAAAAAGGGACATTCAAAATGGCAGACTCTCATCTAAGGTCAGGGAAATGTATTAAAGAAAAGTGTTACTGAAGTATAAAGATGTTAAAGGCATAAATTATAAAATGAACACATGTAGCTATTTAAGATTACATGATAGAGTGAGTCATGGCTATCTGGTTACTCATTACCTGGAATGTGGGTATAGGGAAGGAGGAAGTGTGGAAACATGTGCATGGGTGTTGGTCATTGTTCCTAAAACAAGTAGAAAATGATATATAACACTTTGAACATTTGCCTCCTTTCCGTAACTTAACATAACTTTTATTATAAGAATATTATATCTATGATTGATTGTTAATGTCATACTTTGTCTTACAGGCATAGCTTAGGTAGCATAGATGCATTTTAAATTTTGAAAATCTTTGTCCTTTTCTATATTTAGAGACTTTAACTTTCTTTGATGTTTACAAATATATTGCATTGATCTTTAATAGGACTCTTAAAATTAAAGCCAGCGCTAATTAAAAATTCTGGCTGTGAAAATAGAGAAATTGAGTTCGATAAATTTGTAGCTAGTGATCAGTTATACATTTTTTTTCACTTGGCCTCTTGTGGCCTACTGTTTCTGAAATCCCACTGTTTGCTTCATTTCTCCTCTTTCACAGACACTCTGGTCTATATTCTGTTTTACTCACTCCACATATTCAAATCCTGCTCATCTTTTGCGGTATATGGGAAACCACCTCCATTCTGAAGCCTCTTCTCTAAAGGCCACTTGGTGGTCCAAACACATATGGTCCATATTGTGCATTCTGTCACAACCATGACCTTTTATTTATATATGATTTTTATTAATCATATGACTTTTATTTATCTTATGTATCTCATTGATTGTTTCCTATTTAAGTATTAGACTTCTACAATAGTAAGCATCTTTGGAAGAGGGACTATACATGGATACTTTGTTGCTTCAAGATCAGTGGTCTTAAAATCTGCCTGTGTTTGGTTATTTATAGTTAACTTGTCAGGTAACACCATCCAATGTATTGTGTGTGTTATAAAACATACACAAGACTGGGAATTTTTAAAAAGTGATGAATACAGAAATATAAATAGAAGTTCTGATGTTTATATTTGTACTCCAGTGGCTCATCTTGGGCATGCCCTGGGATGCCCACACCTCACTTTGGAGACCTGGCATTAGGTTCATAGTAAGTATTCAGGAAATATTTATTTTTAGCCTTCAGCTATTCTGTGCTGCTTACTGACAAAATTCCCACCTATTGGAAATGAAACTTGAGTTTATAGTCTGAGTGTGTTTGAGACCTTGTAAGGGGGTATAAGGAACGATTAGTCAGAATAAGGTAGGTTATTTTTGAGTGGCAGGCCTTCCTAGCTCAAGGCATAACACAACAAAGGTTTGTTTCTCATGAAACACAATTTGATGGGGGTCTGTTGGGTTTTCTCAGAGGCTCTCCTAAAAATGGTTACTCAGATATCCAAGCTGCTTCTATATTGTAGTTATAATATCTGGCACACATGGCTTTTTTTTTTTTTTTTTTTTTTTTTTTTTTTTTTTGAGACGGAGTTTCACTCTTGTTGCCCAGGCTGGAGTGCAGTGGTGCGACCTCAGCTCACTGCAACGTCTGCCTCCCGGGTTCCAGGAATTCTCCTGCCTTAGCCTCCTGAGTAGCTGAGATTACAGGTGTCCGCCACCACGCCTGGCTAATTTTTTGTCTTCGTTTTTGTTTTTTGAGATGGAGTCTAGCTCTGTCGCCCAGGCTGGAGTGCAGTGGCACGATCTCGGCTCACTGCAAGCTCCGCCTCCCGGGTTCACACCATTCTCCTGCCTCAGCCTCCTGAGTAGCTGGGACTACAGGCGCCCGCCACCACACCCAGCTAATTTTTTGTATTTTTAGTAGAGACGGGCTTTCACCGTGTTAGCCAGGATGGTCTCGATCTCCTGACCTCGTGATCCACCCGCCTCGGCCCCCCAAAGTGCTGGGATTACAGGCGTGAGCCACTGCGCCCAGCAATTTTTTGTATTTTTAGTAGTGACGGGGTTTCACCATTTTGGTCAGGCTGGTCTTGAACTCCTGACCTCAGGTGATACACCAGCCTCAGCCTCCCAAAGTGCTGAGATTACAGATGTGATCCACTGTGCCAGGCCCACATGGCTTTTAAGATTGCTGTGGAAGGTGAAGAGAGAGCATGATAAGATCTTCATTGGCCAGTGCATAGTCACATGGGCCCAGCCTAACTGCGAAGGAAGCTGGGAAATACAGTCTCCTCTTGTGCCCGGGAAGGGAGAATGGAATGGGATTTAGTTAATTTATCACATGGTCTCTTGTCTGCTAGGATTATTTCAGTAAGGTTGTTGGCTGTTTGGTAATTTAACTTGTGGATACCATGTAAAGCAAGCTTCTGTGTGAATTTAAACATGAGTTCAGTAGTATAATTTAGAATGAAAGACCTCTTAACATATTTTCAATTTTTTAAAAAATAATAATTGTAATCATGGTGAATTTCCACATTTCCAGTTTAATTTTATTTGAATGCATTTCTACAGAAGTAAAACTGTTCATCCATTTTTCATGTTTCTGTTGTTACTTTTTTTCTTTCACACTATTGTTCAACAGACTTCAGTAGCTTTTTGGTTTATTATCAATAAAGACTTTTCTAATAGTGTTATAGTTGGTTGCTATTGCTTACAGAAATAGTTGATATGTGATTATTGGTGATTATTTGAAGATGTTTTAGTGCATTGGTAATTTATTGGAGTAGATCCATCTTTGTTCCAATTCTCATATTACTGATTTTCTTGGAACCAATATGTCTGTTGGAATTATTAGAAAATTAGATGTTGGTCTCTTCTATATTCATTCACATATTCATCCATTGGGAATTTCAGTAAAATGGTTCTAACCAGCTTTGAAACTTAAGCCAATGCAATGTTAATGTTTTTGGATTCAACTCTTCCCAGATGGGTGATGAATACATAAAAGTCAGTTTCCCCTATATTCAAGAACTTAAAGTTGTGTTTAAGGACAACTTTAATTAAGTTCGTTTTCCACATATGACTATAGTCAAAGATAGAAGGTGAAGAAATATGAAAATTTTAGAAAAGATTACAGAAGAATATTTTTGTTAAGAAAGGAGAAGAATATTGGGTTTTCGCAGGTGAGATGGGGAAGTTTCAGGTTATTGCGTAATGCATTAAGAGTTCCTATTTCCATAATATGAGTCAGGGCAATAGGCTTTCAAAGCTTCTCTTGACTCAGTGGTGCTATATTTTTAAATTGTAGATTTTTTATTCTGCTGAACCTGTGTGTGTCTGTTTGCATACTGAAGATTTTTCTAGATTTGGTAAGAGTTGCAAATGTTACAGGTGTAAGTGAATGAACAAAAATTATCTGGGCAAATTTTTAGCTCTTCTTATAAGGGTGGTTTGTATATTGTGAGGCAGATTCATCCACACCCCCACCCCTTATCCTCCCACCGTCCGTCCGTCCATCCATCCATCCATCCATCCATCCATCCATCCACCCATCCATCTTCCCATCCATCTTCCCCTCCTCCCTAAAAGCAAAGCTCTTCTTGTGTGCATATATTTTAGTCATACCAATTGCCTTTTTTAGTTTTTATGGTTCAGATACATGTGAAGATCAATGTGAATTAATTGTTATATTCCCCACTTTCAAAATTATCTTCCCTACTATTCAAAATAGTAAGCTGCACAGTAAGCTGACCAAAGGCAGCTTAGTATTTTATAGTCAATGTAATAAAATAAATAGCTTTCTAAAACTCAGAGCAAAGGAAACATAGAAAATAGATGAGACCCCAGTGAAAGTTAATACCATGACATCTTCTAAGCTTACTGAACTTGAACTTTTCATTTCCTGGTAGTCAAAGCAAAAAAGGGAAATGTGATCAGTTACATTATTTTTGCATATAAGACCAAAGTGCATTGCTCAAAAGAAGCAAAGTTTTCTTTGCCAATTAGATTTCAAAGAGATTTCTCCTGTGAGACTGACTATGTGAAGGGTGTCATCATGACAACACCTCCCAAAACTTAGTAATGCATTTTAGATAGCTAATTCTCATGTTACTAAGTGGAAGCAGCGGACATAACACCAAAGCACAGTTTAGGAAAAGCGAATCTATAAGGATTTAGATTTAGGAAAAGCAAATCTATAAGAGGTATAAGTAAGTGGCTGTCACCCTTGGCTGTCTGTTAGAACCAGTGCAGAATTCCCTTAGAATCTATAGGGTTGGGGAAGGGGAACAAGGTTTCGGCTCCGTAGGTGCCTAGTATACATCTAGGGATGAGAACCATAGGTACAAGTGCTGAGCTTATTGATGGTTTGACTCAATTAAAGAGTACAAGGAACAGATAGATTGCATATTTCCTTCAGGTGCCTTGTAGTTCTGTGAAAGTTTTTTGTGTTCATTTATTTGTTTTCTGTTTTCTCATAAATGGGCTTTGAATTAAAGGTGGTCTTCAGATAATTGGAGGTTTTATTCTCTGGTAAGGGCTTAGAGTACACAATTTCCACTGCCAATAAAAGATCCTTAATTTTAAAATTCATTAATAGATTGGTCTGCCTTCATTTTATGAAAATTTAGGAAGCAAACCTAGACTTGTTTGAATAGATGGCCCCTCATCTCTACAGAGATTTCTACAGAGATTAGGGGCCATAAGTCATATGATAAATAGAAAGTTCTCCAGACTGGAACTGATTTATGATAATGATTCCCAGTCTTTGGGCCTCGGGAGTTATTGTAGGGATTGCTGTTTTCTCAATCAGTAGGTATTTGAAGTACACATATTTGAAGAGAACAGTCATATGTGAGTGAGTGTGTGTGTGTGTATGTGTGTGTTTTAACCTTTAAGCAATAAAGCTAGAACTACTAGTCTAGAATAGTTTTAGAAATTGGCATTTCCTATTTGACAATTTATAAAAATTTTAGGGATGTCTTCCTTTAGCAGGTGTTTAGCACTAAAATCTTTGGAGACATGTGCCTTCATTCCAAATCTCTGTAGATTTTCTTCTCTGTCAGCAAGCCTACCATTGGCATATAGAAAGCTCCAGTGAGGGTCCTCTGGCATCATCCTAGGACTTGTCACTGAGTTGATTGGATGTGACAGCATGTCAGATTTCAGTGGCAAGAATGGCATGGAGGTGAGCAGAGGGTTGTCACTGTAGCTTTTCTAGGCAGTCTTCTAGCAATTTAATTTAGGAAGATTTAACGTGTGGAGTCTTTGAAGATGTATTCATTGATCCAGGAAAATTTTGAGTGCCGCACCTCTGCAGGTTTCGGTGATTTTGTTGGTGCAGAAAACTTGTTCTCAACATAAATTCGGAACACTGAAAGTAATCCTTCTTTGGAGGAGGACGTATTTGATTTGCGGAGGCCGAAGGGGACTGTGATAGGTAGCTCTTGGTAGCTTTAGCAAGCCATGATGGAGGGAGAGCCTTGGACTTGAGTATCTGGAGAGCAGGTGCAGCGTCGTTTTTATTTTTGCATCCTGTCCAATGCTGGGCACAGTTGTTGGCAGATTGTAGGCACTGGATACATCCGCTATAGAACTCAAGAAGGAAATGAGGATAAAAGTGATACTTGTTCAAAGGGGACCTAGAGAACTGACCAACAGTTTTTGGAGACGAAAGGGCATATCAGCTGGAGACTGTAAGCAAGGTAGGAGGGATAGGAGCAGCATATTCTCATTAGCCAGCTCTGAAGAAGGCTGTAATTGCCTTTGCTCCTTAGTTCAAGAACTAGCAAGGGCCTGCAATGTTACTAGTGCAAATGTAATCACACTTTTTTAAATTTTATTATTATTATACCTTAAGTTGTAGGGTACATGTGCACAACGTGCAGGTTTGTTACATATGTATACATGCACTATGTTGATGTGCTCCACCCATTAACTTGTCATTTAGCGTTAGGTATATCTCCTAATGCTGTCCCTCCCCCTTCCCTCCACCCCACATTTTGACTTTTAAAAGGAGATTTTAGGTGACTGTTTGCCTGTGTCTTCACATTGAATTTATACAGACCAGCATTAGAGAGAATTGCTGAATCCAAATAACCCAAATGAAAAATTTTAACTAGAGTATAAAATAGAGCCTCACTCCTCTTTAACTTAATTCTTCGAGTATTTTAAACCCACAGAGCTCTTTGTAAGCATATGAATGTGCACTTATATATGTCTACTGAAATAACATTTTATTTCATTTCCTCTTTGTTATTTGTAAATAGTTGGCAAGCAAACATAGACTTTGAAAATGCCATACATTAATTTTATTTCTTTTTTTGCATGAATATGAGAAAAGGTGATGTTAGGATTAATTACACCAGTTTTTTTCTGAGCATATACCATGTGTTGCACTGTGCTAGGCACTAGATGGTGAGTCTTAATTCCCACTCTCAAAAGAAACTGTAAACAAAAAAAGTCTCCCAAACTTAAAACACAACATATTACACACCATATTACAAGGCTGTAATAGATGTAGAAATAGGATTTTATAGGTGTACAGGCAAGGGACTCCTAGAGCGAGCTGAGAGGCAGGGAGTTCCAGGGAAATGAGCCAGGAAAAACAGCAGGGCCAGCTCTAGAGGAGGGCCTTGCTTGCTTTGTAATCTGTAGCACATCAGTGAGAAATCAAGCTTTTAGGATTTGATTCTGTATGAGTGTATCTTGCTTGGTTTTGACCTCTCTGGGTAACCAGAAATCAGTCTGAGTATATAGAAATGGAGCTTTCATATTGAAGGTACAAGCTTGTATCAAGCTTATATTTTGTAATAAAAATATGTGTACTATGTAGAGCTCCCAAGGACCTGATGCCTGTCTCCAGATTACCCTGAAGCAGTCTCTGTTCCGATCCAAGGTCTCTCGCTTCTACCCAGCTGTTCTGGGAGGATTGTCTCTAGTCTTTTATCAGATAACTTTAAGCCCCTGCAGATACGTAGTAATAAATACCAACTTCCTGCTTGCAGATCCAAGTGTTTGCTTCTCTCAAAAAATATATATGTAATCTGTGTGTGATATTTCAACATAGTCATTTTCTTGTAGCCACTTCTGAGATGTATTGACATGACTTAAAACACTTGAAGCAGTATTTGAGTGCTGTGCATTTGGATGTGTTCTGAAGCAGCACTGTCTGTGTGATGGAAGCATGCAAGAGTTGTTTGAAACCCTTTGTGTCAGGGCACTTTCTGTGTACCAATGTTAAATCTTCCTCTAGCAGTCACATAGCTTAAAGCATGGCTGTTTAGTCACTCCCTGCCTAAAGTCCAGGGCCAGGCTCTGACTGGATTGGTGGAGAGCATAGCAAGCTTGTAAACTGATGAGGGAGGGAGTGGCCTCTTTGCATTTTAGGCTAACTCCAGTAAGGAAGAGGAGGGCTGCAGGGAAGAGAGCCTGCAGGCCGAGTGGTATATGATATTTTTGCTTTACCCATTCTTGTGTGACTACTTTGAAGTCATTTTGTTATGCAGACACTTTAGCACTGAAAACACCATAAACATAAGCAATCTCAAATAATGTGCAGAACAGACTTGGCATCTTGAGCTTCCTTATTGTTGAAACCCTTTACTTAGAGTGGCAACCAGGACAGGGGTAAGGGAGGGAATGGGAGTGGAAACCATCTGGAAGACACACTCACATAAGCCCTACTATGTTGACCATACACAGTCCTCTCAGAGAAAGCTGTCAGTCACTCTAGGCCTGGAGCCTGCTCAGTCTCTGACGGGGCTTCTCTCTCCATGGTCTGAATCATCGTCCTCTGATGTCCTTTTGAGTCACTGATTTTCTTTTTAAAATTAAGACATGGATTTGGCTAAGTCATGATGGAACTTACTTGTTTTCTATTTGAAAGTCTAGAGGAAGGGTTTCCACATTTTATCTCTGTTACAAATTTGCAAACCTTGTTTGAATAGGTACATCATAAACCCTGGGTATGGCAGGATGTTGAGCCTCCGGACCACATTAGGATCATGTCAGTCAAGACTGCCCCCAAAATCCTTGGAACTGCTGCTAAGACATCTATCTCTCTGGTGCCTAAGCAAAATAAATGCATTATACTTATAATCAGAGTACTCCTTTGAACCATAGTTTTGGGGGACAGAACTGATACAATTTTGCTTTGAGTTCTAACAAATTTCTTACAGAAATGTTTAAATGTATGAAGTTAAATCTGGCTACAAGGGGGACAAGATTAGGAATGGAGAAGGAGTCATGGTAATGAAAAAAACTACATTTTTTGACAGCATTGTATCAAGATGGCTTGTGAAAATGTCTTGCTTAGATATAGAAATCCCCATTAAGAGGTTCCTGAAAGCCAAAAATGAGAGACTCCTCTAAGACAATGGCAAGCTGGTGATGGTAAGGAAAGGGTGACTTTGGAAGGTATTGGGTGGCTGGATGAAAGAAGAAAAGCAAAATTTTAATCACAAAAACTTTTTTCTGGTCTTAGTATTCCTCTCATGCTTTGGGGAAAGGTTTTGTTGTTGTTTTCAACAGGCAACACGGACCAGATGACTTGTCCTCACATCACTAAATTATTTTCTAGTTAGATAGTACATGATTTCTGTAAACTGAGCTCCTGAGGGTAGGGACAGTATCCTTTGTATGCCTCTGCCTGACACTCTCCTGACACATAAAATGTTTATTGAATTAAGGAGTACTGAATTATCTTAAAATTATTCCCAGAATGCTTCCTTCTTTACAGTATCATGATATGAATTTAGCTATTAACAAGGAAGACTCTTATTATTCTTATTTTTATTATTTTGCCAATTCACTTTTCTTTCTGCACAATAATATATGCAAGCTCAGACATTTCATGGTATATACACAGTGGTCTGTGTGTATGTATGTGCAAGTATCTGTCTATATTCAGGCATCTCATTAATATTGGTAGATTTAATTGAATTTTGCAGCCACTCCATGAAATGGCTACAGATTTGGTTTTCCTAAACATGAATAGATTGATGACCTTGATTCTGTAAGGCACACCCACAGATTCGGCCCCCACATACCTTTTAGTCTTGTATTGAGCACCTGCTGCATTTCAGACCAAGGGTACTTTATAGACATCCTCTGCACAGCCCTGTGAGGCTTCAAGCACAAACCAAAGCTTGAAGAAGTTGATAGCCTTTTACCGCTGCCCATTTTCTCTCCTTTATGCATTAAAAAAAAAAATCAGACAGTATGTACTTGGGGTTCCAGTTCAAATGGCATCTCTGCCTATTGCCTTCTGTGATAACCTGAGCCAGATCTCTGCACTTCCACAGTATATGGTGCTATTCAGGTCCCCAGCACAGTGCTTTCTAGGGCAGATGGGGCACTGGGGGCTGTCAGAGTTAGAGGAGAGTGTTTTACATTTGACTCTTGTAAACATGAAAGCTTCACTTAACCAAGCAGTCTAACTGTTTGGGATGTGGATATGACGTACTTTAGATCAGAATGTGTTTCTAAGTTAAAGAAAAAGTGGCATATGAGGTGCTGCTTTTTAAGGCTTTAAATCAGTAGGGAACATCTGTCTGTAAAAAATCAGCAGAAACCATTCTTTTTAATAAGTGCAACATTAAATTTAGCATTAAGTTGTAAAGGTGATTAGCAAGGTCTGTAGAGTAACTTCTCTTGGGATAGGTGTTTCCATGATTTATTTGCCTGTAACAAAGTCATAAAAATCGATCATGAAATTAATTGAAATAAGCCATTTTTGCCAAAAAGTTTGGAAACATTTGTGTTGGGAATTTGTTTAAAGTGAGCCAGAAAGTCTATTCTTGTAGACCATAGCTGTGTAATTCTTTTAAAAAGAGTTGGGTATTAAAAGGTGATTGTTAGAATTCTTTTGTTAAAAGAGATAGTAAAAATGCTTTAAGAGCTTATTGAATTTGAATTAAGATCCCCAATTGCATATTTGTTCTTTTCTCCAAATCAATGTGTTTGGTTAATTTCTGGACAGGGGAAATAGCATAATTTCCTCCCTGCTGTCTGCTTCCTCCCAGCCTCTTTCCTTGCATATGCGTTGGGGTTCAGATTTTGCAGCTTTCCATGACATGCGTCTCTCAGTAAAAGTCATCTTTTCCTTTTCTGAATATCTTTAGGAGTTTACAGATATGTTTATTACCTTCTCCTACCCCCTTTTTATGGGGGAACTTAGATGTCTTTCTTGTTAGATTTTAAGCTTCTAGATGACAGATTCTCTTAATCATCATCCTCAGAGCCCTCACAGTGAGTACAACGCCTCTTACCTCATGAGTATCCATGAAATCCTTTGGGAGCCCTGCTCTTCTGGATGACCTCACCCCTGCTTCCACATACTCTTCCATTTCAGTTATTAAGGGATTAAATCAAGGCAGTGGAAGCCATTCATGCTTCATTAATTTGTGAGATAACAGCCTGCAGTAGCAAGGGCAGATAAAGAAGTAGAATTAGCCTTTTTGCTTTTGACCTCTTGCCAAACCCCAACAGGATGCTCCGCTATGGGGAACTTTCCCCCCTGTGGTGGTTTCATGCCTAGGGCATTTCTAGGTACTGTTTTCTTTGAAGCAAGTTTCAGAAGGAAGTCCTCAGCAGCACAAGGGATTGCTACTAAATTCCAAAGAGCGGCTTCCAGGCCCTCAAGACAGATGTTTCCTTCTCTCTGCTTTTATATCTTAAGTTCAGTCCTTTTCCTTCCTGGGATAATTTAGTCTCTCTAAATCCCTTATCTGCTTCCTAATGTGTGTCTCCAATACCTGGCTTCTGCAATCCACCTTTGAAAAAGAGTCACTCTTTGGCCCAGTTCACATTCTTACCAGTCCAATAGAAGGAAAGGTGCTTATTTTGTTGAGTAACTCTTAGCAAGCTGGTCCTGGGCGGGGCAGACTTGAGGATGTCCATTATGATTTGATAATGGTCAGGCCTCCAGGCTAGAAAAAATTTTGGGGTGTCCCTAAGCTTCTTTGTCACAAGGATTACAAATAAGAGTTCTAAAATCTTGAAAGAAAACTACCCCTTGTGTTTTAGATTATTTTCTGTAACTAGGATGTGAACTCCTGAAATAATGAGCTTTGCTTATTTATTCTAATGCTGAAGTAGGAGAGTTTCTTGTCCAATTATGTGGGTGTTACAGGAAAGGGGTCCCAATCCAGACCCCAAGAGAGAGGGTTCTTGGATCTTGTGCAAGAAAGAATTTGGGGTGAGACCACAGAGTAAAGTGACAAACAAGTTTATTAGAGAATCAGAGGAACAAAAGAATGGCTACTCTATAGACAGAGAAGCCCCAAGGGCTGCTGGTTAGCTTTTTTCGTGGTTATTTCTTGATCATGTGCTAAACAAGGGGTGGATTATTCTTGAGTTTTCCAGGAAAGGGGTGGGCAAGTCCTGGAACTGAGGGTTCCTCCCCTTTTTAGGCCATGTAGGGTAACTTCCAGATGTTGCCATAGCATTTGTAGATTGTCATGGTGCTGGTGGGAGTAGCTTTTAGCATGCTAATGCATTATAATTAGTGTGTAATGAGCAGTAAGGAGGACCAGAGGTCTCTTTCATTGCCATCTTGGTTTTGGTGAGTTTTGGCTGGCTTTTTTTTAACCACATACTATTTTATCAGCAGGGTCTTTATGACTTGTATCTTGTGCTGACCTCTTATCTCATCCAGTGACTAAGAATGCCTGACCTCTTGGGAATGCAGCCCAATAGGTCCCAGCTTTATTTTACCCAGTCCCTATTCAAGATGGAGTTGCTCTGTTTTGAAGGTGTCTTACACAGGGATTTCTAGTTTTTAAAACATCGTAACACATGTGAACCATTTTATATACACATAACATTCAGATAGTATGATTTTCTTCCTTAGTGGTTACATTTGACTGCCAGGATTAAAGTATATTTTTGAGTGACCCATTTTAAAAAATGTGAAACGTGGTATATGTTGAGGCTGACCTAAGTAATCTATGAAATTTCACAAAAATATTGTGAGATCTGTGTTTTGAAAACAAGTATGATTCTAAAGGAAGAAGAAACTAAAATGCATATTCATCATATCTTATTTTAAAGCCTGACTTTCAAGCTTTATTTGATGGTTTACTGTTGTCATTCTAAAACAGATGTCATCTTCAAATGACTTATCTTGATGATATTATTTTTGTTTTGTAGCCAGTAAAAACAATCCTTTTCCGGTTATGTAGCCAAAGGAAAGCAACATGGCCACTTATGTTTAGGATATAAGAATGTAAATGAAATTAGAAAATTACATGTTGATAAAACAGTCTTGGAAAAAAAATGATTGTAGCTCATTTTCTAAGATAATTTTCACCTGCATTCTGCCATCTGTCATGCTATGGCATAGCATCTTTGTTATATTGGGATGGCAACTAGGGACTTCTTTGAGATTAGATGTATAAAAATAAAAGTGCAGTGCCTTAAAAAAAATAAGTTGTTGTTGTATGGTATGTCTTTTTCTATTTTATTTCCTTTCAACCTATCTATGATTTTATATTTTAAATGTCATTCCTGTAGGCACATATAGTTGACTCTTGTTTTTATATTCATTCTTACATTCTCTGCCTTTTAATTGCAGTATTTTGTCCACTGACATTTAATGTAATATTCGACATGGTTGGATTTAATTTGTCATTCAATTATTTATTTCTGTTTCTTCCCTCTTTTTTTTCTTTGTTTTTTGTTTCCCTATTCTTGGCTTCTTTTGGATTATTTGAATTTTTTATTCGTATAATTCCATTTACTTTTTAGTTATTTTGGCTATAGTTCTTCATGGGTTGTCCTAGGGATTATAATATACCTTAACTTTTTAGAATCCATATAGAGTTAACATTGTCCCACTTTATGTGAAATGTAGAAACCTTCCAACCATTTAGGTATATTTACCATCCATCTCCTCCCAGTCCCATCTGTTATGTTTGTTTTCACATTGTTTTCTTTTTACTGCATAGTGCACACTTTGCCCATTGTCATTTATTTTGAAAGGCTTTTCTACCTTTTCTTGCCCTGAAGCTTGGACTATTTAGGAATGTTTACCAGTGTTGTGGCTAGCAGGGGTAACTGTAATGTGTACATAAATTAAATTACCATGCTTATACTGGCATAGGACAAGACTGCAGTGAAGCCTTCCAGGATAAAGGTACAAATAACTATAAAGACTTATTTTCCCTAAAGTTTTACCTTAAGATGTGATAAGATGAATGTCTGGTGGAAGGGCATAACACTAACTTGACAATGATATCAAAATGTCAACTTGGGGATATTTTCCAATTGGGCAAATGTTTCTGAATTAAGAATATGAGACAATTATAGATATAAAGATATAAGGAAGGCCAACGTAGTGCCTCTCCTTAAGAAAACTCAAGGTTTCCATGCAAAACACACCATACATAATTCCCTTTCTCCTTTTCCTTCTCTTCCATGTCCTTGTGGACCACCTCAATCCTGATTGGGCTTAGCGTGAAGTTAGAATTGGGGAAGCACATGGAGGTTAGGCATTTTTAAAAAACACTTTTTTGGGGGTTAGTTTAGAAACACCCAGTTTTAGGACTAAACCAGAGCTAGTAAGGAAAAGAAATAGTGGAGACTTGTATATCTCAATTGTAGATGGGAATTTTGAGACTGAGCTATTTTGAGAGGTTTGAATTCCAAAGGAGAATTTCCTGGTGTTATTTGAAAGTACTCTAGGGCTCAAGATTAAATGAAAAGGAATAATACCATTTTGAGAGCTTTTGAAGAAAATGACTTGAAATAAGAAGGTAGAAACAGTTATCTAAGTTCAGGTAAGTTTCCTGAGACAAATTTAGTTCTGTTAAACACTTTGGCTAATGGAGAGGTCCAACTACCAGTTCTCAGAATGGATTAGATTGTCTTTGGAGAATGATTTCTCAAGCAACTCTATAGGGAAGAGCTGGAGAGGCTGAAACATGGGGCCATGTTTGAAAGAACATAAGCTTTGGATGTATTTCGGTGTCACAGACATCTTTTCTGCTTTGCACTTGAGGTGAAACAAACCTAGGAAGGAAATGGCAGGGTAGAGAACATGGAGCTTTGGGAAAAGAAGCCCTGCCATTGTGTCTGATGGCCATGAAAGCAGAACCACTCTGACGAACACTCTGAACAGAAATAAGATGGGAGAGGAACAAAAATACCAGCTAGACAATTGTGAACATGCAACCCAGCATTCCACCGTGACAGAAAATAACAGATGAGCCCCAAACCAAACTTCTAAAACCTAAAAGTGATAGATACAGCTGTCTGGAAACATACTTAGTGCTAGGGAAAGTTTGGCTCTCAAAGAACAGCCGTGTAGCTGATCTGGAAATGAAGGGGAGATGGCCTTTAAACATCGGGCTGACCCTATTCTTAGAGCTCAACTAGAGGACAGAAGAAGAGGATAAAACCATGCCCTTAATGTGGTAGGACTAAAACTGTGTTTACTCCCTTACGCTATCGTCATTATATTATAATTAACCATTCATTTCTCTGTGTGGTAAATAACAATGCTGACACGGTCACAAAATAATGTGAAGCATATGGGTCACAACCGTTTTTAACTAAAGACTTCTCTAAAGATTTATTTAGGTTCCTTAATTACAGAGTGGCTTGGAAGACTGGCATGTGGTTTCAGTTTATAGTTATAAATGTTGGAGCTGATGATGGGTACGTGCTCTTATTGCCAGAGAGGGAGAGGAACAAGATTGGGAGGGGGTTTGTGTTCTTTGGGGCCCTCCCTTTTGCCCCCACCCCTTGTTTTTTTAAAGAAATTGAAGATCTGTGTTTATAAGAAATAAGTCTGATGACATTTATACTGTCCTTGAGATGGGTATGCCAGTAGTTACAAGCAAATTTTTCCAGTGCTTAAGTACTTTAATTGGTAAATTTTCACGTCACTTTGAACTCAGTGGCTCTCTAGAATCCTGAAAGAATAAATCCCTTTTAGCCTTTGTCTTCTATTAAAATTATACTCTCTGTTAGATGAATGAGACCCTGTCTTTGAGGACAGCAGTTAAGTATTTCAGCCTGGATAGAGAAGAAAAAAATAAGTATTCAACTTAGGTTCTTTGAGTTAAAATGAACTCACAACAGGGTGATTTGGTGATCTTCCAAAGCCTTGTGTTTGTATATATGTGTGTGTGTGTGTGTGTGTGTGTGTGTGTGTGTGTGTGTGTGTGCGCGCGCCATATATGTTACTCATTTTTGAAGTAATTTTGCATTATTTTGGAACCAGTGGTAAATATAATGCAAAGTTGTAGCCCTAGGAGCATGGGAAAAAGGTCTGTATTCAACAATACATGAAGAATTCAGTGAGTACGTATTATATATTGGAAAACTTCTTTTGTATTTACTGTAATGTGTTTTCCTGCATTTCTTGCCAATGATGATAATGAAAGTGGCATCTCAAAATATTATCTGAACATTGGAGGAGCAGAAGGGGAGGAAGGCTCATAAAAAAATCTAAGCAATGCTTTCCTTTCCTACATGAAGGTCATAGAAGAAATGAATTTCCCATTGTTTATCATTCTTCATGGAGCTCACTCCAGTAGGGACTTTGCCACTGCTTCGAGAGCATCCACTCATTCATCCATCCCTTCATTTATGACTTGGTATTGGTTACATTTCATGTTTATGTCTCTGTGGCATAAACATGGCATAAAGATTAATTAGAAAGGCTCTGCCCTAGAGGAGTTTGTATTCTGGTAGGGAATAAGAAGGTGTGTACATAACTAATTATAACACACAAAGATTTTCTGACATTTATTCAGGGCTTTATAAATTTCAAAGTGCTTGTATGCACTTTTATTTGATCTTCTAAAGTATGTGGCTACATTCTCCATGTTGGAGATGAAGACACTGAAGTTCAGCCATGGTAATGACTTGCTTGAAGTCAAGTAGGTGTTGAGATACATCTATAGGGCCCAGGGAATTGCATCTGAGATGTTTTCTGCCTCTGTGTTCATTGTTTTCCACTATCCCCATTATGCAATGGTGCACAGACTGGGGAATCAGAATGTGAGAGAAGGCTAAGGCCACAAGCAGCTGTGAAGCTTGAGCAAGGCTTTGGTTGTGTAGAGAATGGTTGAAAGGCCTTTGAGAGACAGAGATCAGTGCACATTGTTCAAAGGAACAAGCTAGAACAAGCTGTTATTCAAAAAAGACCCTGGTGTCAGGATCTTTTTATTACTTTTTTTCTGTCTGTCGTTTTATTCATACATTCATTCAACAAATGCACTTAGAGTATACAGTACTTATTATATGCAAGGCAGCAGACTCACTGATATGAAGGTTACAAAATAAGACTAGGGGTGGCTATCCTTGAGGATCTCACAGTAGTTCAGCTGGAAGGTAAGATATGCTGGCAAATAATTGTAGGAGAACATGATGAGAGAGGGAAGAATGTGATTCACAGTATTTCTGGGTTCAAGTTATGACTCTTCTGAGAATGGGATCATGGGCTTCTCATGTCATCTCTTAAGACCATGTTTCTTTAAGGAGGCTAGCATTTAATTTGCAGGTCTGTGTTGAAGATTAAGTCCAATTGTGAATCCTAGGACACTTTACTGGGCTCCTGGCACATCAAAGGTGTTCAGTAAATTGTCATTATTTATGGTTCCGTATGCCTTTGGAAGAAAAGCCAAAGTCCTTGACTGGTGTGAACAGCTCTCTGTGATCTACTTGGCCAAATATACACTCTTCCTGTATCCCAGTCTTTCACCAGTCTCCTGGCTGCAGACTGGTTGCTCTCTGCACCCTTGTCACCCTGTGGTCTATGCAAAATGCAAAGGTGCTTTATCCCAGTGGTCAGTCGCAGGCGTTAGCTCTGGCCCTGCTGTGTCACACTGGCAGTGGACCTCAGCAAGTTATGCCTTTGCTTTGTGCTGGTCTTGTTGTGAGATTTAAAATGACTAAACGTAAAGAGCTTGGAGGCAGTTCTGGTACATGGTAAATTGGATATTATTAATTCCAATTACTGTCTTATCCATCCTGCACTGAAGCTTCCTATCAGCTCTTTTGTTTTTCATTTGGAACCTGCCTATCTCTCTCCGCAGCTCATCTCTTATCCTCTCTTCATTATGCTTTGCTTTGCCTTCCAGCTACATCGAACTGCACATAATCCTTCACCCCACCTCCATGATGTTTTGGCCTTTATTTTTGTCTAAAAGACATTTGTCTTGCTCATTCATTCTTTAGGACTGAGTTTTCCACCTCTTGAGTTTCTCTGAGTCCATTCTCCACCCCTTTGAGGTTTGTCTTGTTCTGCCATGTTTTGCACATACCTTTATCATTGGGCTTAATGTATTGGCTCCATTTTCTCTTTCTCTTTCTCTCCTCCTTTTGACGGAGAACTCCTGAAAGAAGGGGTCAAGCATTAATTGTCTCTACACTCCAGCTTTTTCTTGACACATAGTAGACTCTCAACAAATACTTGTTAATAAATGAAGTGAGGACTTTACCTATTTTAAATACATTGTCTTATTGTCAGAATCATTTTTTCAATTAGCTAGAAGGGGCAAAATTTACTTTAGTAAATTTTGAAGTGGGGAAGAGCAACAGGACCACTGCTCTGGCCTTACTTGATAGAGGCCCTTTGTCATCCTAAGGCAGGGTTAGAATTTTGGGAGGCTTGGGCTGGACAAAAACCCTGGCAAACCCAATTTTGCCTCTGATGGATCTTAGAGTTGCAGTCATTTGTTTGTAAAGGCAGTAGTTCTGTATTTAAGTTATTGTAGTAACATCAGCTATTTGGTATTTGATAATATTTTTCAAATGTTTGAAAAGATTTTTTTCCCTCATATTGAAACTTCAGTGTATGGTCCTGAAAAATCTCAACGTTATCCAATTTTAGACATGTGGTGTAACATTTTCTCCTTGTTTGTCTGAGTTACCTGGATTTTAGTTTAACAACCCATAAATGTAGCTTGCTGGGTTTATAAATAAATAAATTATTTATATAAATAATTTCATATAAATTTTATATAAATTTATTAAATAAATTTATATAAATTATTTATTTATATAAATAGTAAATATTATATAAAAAATAAAGCATATCATTAGAGTACAATAAAACAGTACTATTTTGGTTAATAGAGAATACATGGAAGAAGGTAACGTGTCACAATGGATGGGTTTATTTATTTATGGATTTTAAGAATTCAAAGGAAATAAAAGGTGATAGCTTGCTTTCCAAAAGCATATCACAGTGGCCCTTTAAGGAGCTTGTAGTTCCATCTGATAAACACATAATAATGATCTGAAGTCTAAGGAATTTTTTTCCATTATCCCCTGCAGCTTTGCCCTTTCGGATGAAGCATACAGATCCCTACGAGATCAAGATAAGGACCAATGTATTCTCATTACTGGGGAAAGTGGAGCAGGAAAAACAGGTAAGGCTCCTACCAAGCAACTCTGCAGAAGGTAAATGCTGCACAGAATGACAACAGCAAAGAGGACCAGTAGGGCCTCCTTAGCAAGATCTGTCGCAGGGCCACTGTGAGGGTGCTTCTGCAGGAGGATACTGGTTAGGAACACAGAATGTTCTCTGGACTCCCCAGAGAAACAAGATGCCTATCCAAGGGGATTCCAACCAATATGAAGTCTAGTGCCGGATTCTAGACCTTTTTAGCGTAGTCTCTGGATGGTGCAAGATCTTTTTACTTTTCTCCCAAGACATTAAACCTGTGTGCTGTTACAGATTCAAACTGCTTCCCCAAGAATGCCAATTTATTTAGGTTTTAAGAGGGTACAAACACACTCTACCTTTGCTAAAAAGTGAGGGAAGATACCAGAAAAATGCTAACATTTTACTCAAGAGTTTTCCTCTGAAGCCTGAAGAATTGAGATTTTTATATGTATTTTTTAGACCTGGCAAGCTTCGCATAAAAAAACCCTCCAAATGGAAGGGTTATGCTTTTTTCCCCTTGTGCTTTTAATAAATGCAATTCATATGATTGGTGGTCTTGAGTGAGAAAATAACTTTACAGATGGTGCCCAGCTACCTGGAAAAGATTCAGAAGAGCCACATTCTCTGAATTCAACCTTAGAAACGTTTAAAGCTGCTGTTATCAGTGGGTTTTTTTTGATGGAACTGATGAGTCTGTGGAGGAGGAAGATGGTGAGGGAGATGGTATTTTCGTAAAGTTTCATCTGTAAAATGCTTTTGTTTTATAGATAAGAATATGATAATTGGTCAATTATTTTAGTATTCAAAGGTGGAATTTTAAATGTTTCTATTCTACATGGCTGGTTAGTTGTAACATTTACACATTTTGAGTTCCCATTGATCAAGAGAAGAAAATCTGCCATAGGTGTTGAGTCAACTGACTGAATCCATTTTATTCACAAGCTCTTAGAAATATTTGTGCCTTGAAAGGCTCACTATCTACATCGAAATGGTTTTCCTTCTACACCTACTCTTTACTCCACTTGCCTTAGGCGTAACTCCTCCCTGCACCCCATGCAGCTGAAGAAAGAGTGGTTAGATGAATGTGTCCAGCCCCCTTTCTTGAGCTCTTTGGAGACACCGAGCACCATTGTTTTGCAGGGCTAGCCAAGTTCTAGGCTCTAGGTGGTCAGAAATGAAGGGAAAAGGACTGGCATGTAAGAGCCTTAGGTAACAGAAAACATGGTGTCATATTGTTGAAGGGATTTTAGTTATAAACCACCTGGTGTAGGCTCCTCCACATGGGACAGCCAAACTCCTTTTGAAGTGATGAAGTCTCACCACTTTGAATGGCACCCCCCTGGATTTGTTGTACAGGTTCAGCTAACAAAATTCTTCCTTACCTAGAGTTCAATTCTGCCTCTACCTATTTGTCTTCAGTCTGCTACCTGGAACTTTACCATATTTGTCTTCCTTCTCCTCTACAGGACAATCACTTAGTTATTTGAAGTCAACATTTTATCTTTCTAGGGCTAAAAATCCCTTTTCTTCAAATTTTCTCATTTTATACACATTGATTTAATTCATTCATCCAGAAAAAAAATTATTGAATACCAACTTAGTGAAAGGTACTATACTAGGGACTGTCCTTGCCCTTATCACATTTCGTTTAGTAGGGGAGATAAACAATAGCTCTTTACATAGACATATATGCACGTACCTATACATCCAAATTACATGCAAAACATAAGTGGAGTGAAGGAAAATCACATGGTGCTTATGAGAGCACATTACAGGAAGAATTGGATCTTACAAATCTCTCATTATCTTGGTCCTGTTGTTCTGGAAACATCCTAATTTGTCAATATGCTTCATGAAATTGCATACCAAAAAATAAACAGAATACTTGAGATTTGGTCCTGGTTGTAGTGGAACTCTTATCCTTTTTCTTTTTGAGACAGAGTCTCGCTCTTATAGCCCTGGCTGGAGTGCAATGGCGCGATCTTGGCTCACTGCAACCTCCACCCTCTGGGTTCAAGTGATTCTCCTGGCTCAGCCTCCCAAGTAGCTGGGATTACAGGTGCCCACCACCACGCCCGGCTAATTTTTGTATTTTTAGTAGAGATGGGGTTTCACCATGTTGGCCAGGCTGGTCTTGAGCTCCTGACCTCAGGTGATCCACCCACCTTGGCCTCCCAAAGTGCTGGGATTACAGGCGCGAGCCACCATGCCTGGCCTATTATCCCTCTTAATGTGGACTCTGAGCTTCTATTAATATAAAGCATGTATTGACTCATACTGGTCTTTAAACCAAGTAAGATATTATAGGATTTTTTTTTTTTTCACAGTAACTTCCATTAGGTCAGATCTGCTCAATCAACTATTGATGAACAAAATTATTTTAAACTTACATGCAGAATATTGTATTTATTTTTATTAATTTTGGTCCATTGTTACAACCTCTTGAGAAGCTGACAAATCCTGATGCTTTCCCTTCCCTTAGGATTGCTGTCATTTTGCTGGGTGATAATGATACTAGCTAACCCACGTTCAGCACTTATCACGTGCTGGGCGGTGTGCTTATTTACATGTATGAGATAAGTATTTTTGTTATTTCAGTTTTTATGATGGGAAAATAGGAACACGGAAACATTAAGCAATTTGCCAAAACTTATACAGTGAATAAGTGGCAGAGCTGGGATTTTGAATGCAGGTAGTGTAGTTATAGAGTCCCTGCTTTTATCCACTGTACTAAGCTGCATCTCTGTACCTTGAACATGGTACAGAGTAGTTCTTGAACATGATTCTTTCCGAGTGCCACACTACTTTGCCCATGTTGGTAAGTCTCCTTCAACTAGCCTCCCATGTCTTCTTAAGGGAGGGATTTTGTATTATGTTTCTACTACCTAATTTAATGGCTGCCATACAGTAGGTAGTCAGTACATATTTAAATAATTGAATGAACATCATGTACTAATCCAAGGAGCCAGCCTCCTGTCTTTATTTAAGTAATTGACAAAAACACTGAATAGGACTGGGCCAAAGACTGATCCATATGAAAATTGCCAGGTCTCATTTAAAATATGTCTATCTTACTAAAAATTAGTTGATTTGCTTAGTTCTGGGTATCTTTATCTTTCTCCATTTTTTTCCTTAGGCAGTCTCAACTATTTTCCAGTAACGTTAATGTGTTCTACATTTACACTGCTAGTGAAAATACCTCTTGGCTGATCTCCCAGCTATGTATTTACTGCCTGTCTGACATCTCTACTTGGGGTCTAACATGCATCTCAGACTAAGCATGTACAAAATGGAACTCTTGATTTCTCTCTTTACCCTCTTATAACCAATCTTTCTGATCTCAATAAATGAGACCACTAGTCAACCTAGTTATCACACTAGAAATGTTTGTTATCCTTGATTTCTTCCTTTCCTGTATTTCCCATATCAAATCCCTTTCCTAATTTTGTCAGTTCTGGCTCTAGAATATATCTCATACCAGGCTCTCTCTTCCTTTTCTTTTTGTCCACATGGAGACTCACAAGCCACCACCCATTATCTCTCATGAGGATTATTTGTAGCAGTGTCTAATGGGTTTCTCTCCTTTCTCTCTTGATTACCCCTAATTCCATTTTACAGACCCCAGTCTTTGCTTGTTCAAATCTCTCTCTCTCTCTTTATCTCTCTCTGTCTCTGCCTCTGTCTCTGTCTCTTAACCTGTGGGAAACTTTACAGGACATGGGCATCTTGAGAAAATGTTTTTACCCCTTCCATGTCACTAACCAGTTCTTTCAGGTGAAACAGAATTTAATTCTTAGAAGCAGTACAGCTTCTTGTTTGTCTCTAGGTTGACAAATGAAAATGGTGGCAAGGCAAGTTAGAAACTCTGTTCCTTGCTGAAGGCATCTGTACTGATGCTGTATCTACGCCCACCCCTCCCCCCATCCTATTTGACTCTATCTACAAGCACACATATTCACTTCATATTGCTTCATTTTTATTTTCACTTGGAAGAAGAAAAGAAAATATTCCTAAGCCTCTTTCATTCTTACATTCTTTAGCTTTTTAGTCAGCCTTCTTTGTGACTAACGGTTTTTTTTTTTTTAGGATATTCTAATTGTATCAATTCGTTCCTAAATGAGTCATCAGAAGTGGGTTGCGGTCATTGTTTTGATGGGTCTTGGCCAGTTCTTCATCTCCTCTGGAACATGTGTTCTGAGAAGACAGCACGTCCACTAATTAGCTATGTCAGTATGTGACATCCGCCTTCTCAGAGAGTTCTTAACACTACTACTTCCTCCTGGAGCCAGATTCCATCTCCTGATGGGCTCATGTATCTTCCTTACTGAAAAACTGAGTGGAGGTTGCTAGTGCTGTTTCAGAGGATTGGCATCCATTTTTCTTAGGAAAAAAAATAACTACCACCCTATTTCTCTGGTAGAACTCTAGTAGTAAAATGGAGTTCATTCTTCTTTTTTATAGTTTTCTCTTGTTATTTTTCTGCTTGACAATTTGTTCTATTGGTTTCAGTGCCCAAATCACCACTTGAAATCCTCTTCTCCTTGTCATCTTCCCTGGATTTAGTCCTTCTGGGGATCCTGTTGCCCTTTATCAGAAGCTGGAAAATGGACAGCGCTTCCCAGGGCTTGTCACCCTTTCCTCTGGTAGTGCCATTGTGTTTACAGCACATAGAATTAGGTGCTGCTTCAGGGAGGAGGCTGGAGGAGGGTCCAACAGAGACGCTAGAGCATTGCTTCTCAAATCTGTGGTGAAGCACCAGTTCCAAATCTCATGTTCATCATTACTAGAAAAATGAAATAATAGACAAAATAGAGCATTTAAACCTTAATTTTTTCTTTTAGTTTCAACAGGCAAAACAAGCAACCAAATTAGTACAGAAGCTTTTAAAAGCCTACTTGCATGTGTAGATCACTTAATAGTCTGTGGATTGACCAACTTGGAGTCGTGCTGGTCCTTGGACCATACTTCGAGTAACACTGCCTAGAAGTCACTCAAAGCATTTGTGTTGTTTTTGAGCTACTGTGCTTCTTGGACCCTGTGATGAACTATCGTCTTGGGTGCTTCAGCTGTCTGTTATCACTAAGACGCCTGGAGCCGGGAGGTGGATACCGCTCCTGAGAGTGGTTCATTTTGAATACCCACTTAGCTACATGCTTGGTAGCACCTAGCCCTTGAGTCCTTTTCACTTATGGAACCCAACAGCTTCTCCTACCTCTCAGTCCACTGTAGACATACAGTGGTTTGCTGACTTACTCTATTTTCTTTCTTTTTTAAAGCAGTGGTACAAAAACTGCTTAATATTTTATGACGGTTTTAATTGTCTTTAGTCTATCAAATTGAGTAAAGCCAAGAATATTGTGTGTTGTTTAAAGTCTCTGTTTTATGGAGATTACTTACAGGAAAATAAAATGATGGAAGATAATATAGAAATTTCAGTATATAGTTGTACAAGGAATTTGGAGTGGGGGTTTCATCTCAGTTTTGAGCAGAAGAGGGATGCCAGGCCATTTTGAAATGTCATATCATCTTATGCACTAAAATTGTTTTTGTGTACATGTGTTCATTAAAAATTTTGATTTAGTAAATAAATGAAAGAAGATGATTAACATTTATTGAAGGCCTGGAATGTGCTGTGTGCTTGACATATAATATCTCCTTTCAATAAAAGTCTTTACTTAATAGTTTGTATAGAACCACCATGTAGTATTAGAGGGCTTATTTTATAAGAAGTAATTAACTTAACTGGGTCATAAACCCTCCTTGGCAGATGATGATGTTATTGGTCTTAAACATTGGAGACACTCTTAAGCTGCGGAGTTATGTAACATGGGCACTTAGGGAGAGGCGTGAACTCTTTTGAGTCCTTTGGGGTGCTATTTAATTCATTACTGCTGTGCTAAATGAAAAATTCATCAGACCTCATAAAAGTGCCCATGTATTTTTAGGCATTGAACTCACAACTCACTCCCATGAATACAGATGGTTTGTGGAGAACCTTTCAAGCACTGATGGGGGCAGGGGGGCAGAATATGAGGGAACCATCAAAACTACATTTTTCCAAGGACATCAGAGTAAATCTCTGGGCCTGAGAAGATGATCCCAACGTTAGGAAACATAATTATTTGGTTTCTAATTTTACAGTTACATCAGTTTCTAGGAACTCTTCAGCCATCTGCTAGAAGAGTTATGAAGCCTGCCTTGCTCATTAAGACCTTTGGTTCTAAACCCCAAATGACCTTATGTATCTGCAGTGGTTCTCCAACTGGACAGTGACAGAGATGCCACTGACTTACTGTAGCCTAAACATTGGCGAGCATTTCACAGTGTTGAAAATACCCACACTGAAGCAGAATAGATAAGTGAAGTCAAGGCCAAAATGTAGTGAGCTTTTGTTTTGTTTTTCCCCTGTGTGAGAAAGACCCCTCTCCATCCGTGTGTTTAATATAAATTATCAGAGATTTTGTGGCCCTCTTTCAGAAGAGGATGACATACAGGCTTATTTCAATAAAAACATCACCAGTTGTGACTTCCCTTGTAACAAAGGCTGCGTCTCTCATTGCAGGGCCCATGCATTTAGTACTCTGGAACACTTCACTGCTGCCTGTTAGATCCATTTGGATGTGCGGGAGCTGGGTTATTTTGCAGCACAGTAGACTCCAGACTGCTAAAAGGTGGTTTCTCCAAGCTGTAGAGTGCTTGTTTTGTTGAACACAAACATGGCCTCATTGATTTAGGCATTCACTCTTTAGCCCTAAACTCTGGTCTAGGGCTCTGAACCACCAGACCTACAAAAGCTCAATTCCTAGAAAAACTTTGGTGTCTTAACTAGAGAGATAGAGAGGTAAAGAAGGAGATAAATAAATGTGTACGAATAAATGTATGGCCCTCTCTATATGCCATATGACCTGTAGATCAATATGCGACATACATGATATTGCCTATATCTATGAATTTATCCATAGAGACCTGTTACTCCTGGATAAATTTATTAGAAGCTCTGTGAAAAAAGTGCACAATAATCCTTGCCTATTCTCAAGCCTTTTTTCCCCCAATGCAGTGATTGAATCCATGTGGAGCCTGCTCCATTAACATAGATAGGTTTAGGTATCTTAGGCATGAGATTCCCATCCTTTTGTCATCATGACAATTGTCTTTCCTTGAATTGTTTTCCCTTCCTCATTCACCTTCCGCTACTTCACAATGCTTTATTTCATTAAAAAGATTATTATATATGAATTTATATAATTCTATGTTGTGTGATAATTACATGATAATACATATTATTCACAGTACAGTGCAAGGTGTCAGAGAATACAGAATTCAATTAGTTATTCTTACCCTTACAGGACTTTAAAATCCTCACACATTTAAACTGTCATCTGTACTTCCTTTCCATTGTTTGTAGAAATTAATTCTGATCTAGATATTCTGATCCAGAAGTATTTTGTAACAGGCCCTTTGTCCATTAGTGAGGAATATGTGTTAACCCTAAATGTTCTGCCATTTTCTGATGAGAAGAGATTTTGACCCCAGAGGCTTCATATATTTTGTTAGTCCAGCTGTTGATGAATTTTAAGATTCAAGTTACATTCAAACATATATATATATATGTACGTAAGTTTACATATATAAAGTATCTATGAGTTAGAGAAAGTGATGAACCAAGAATTGATTCTAAACAATGCTGTTACATTTTGTCTATTTTAAATGACAATATTCTTATATTTAACAGTCAACATAATTCAAAAACCAGACTTTGAAATATGGTGGATGATACTCCATTTTTGATTCTCCTCAGAAATGCAGTTTTTCATTATAGAGGTTATTATGTAAAGGTTTGATTTGTATAAGTATATAAATATTTGAATACAGATCCAAATTTATTTGAACTTTAGCACCAAAGAGTCAAAAGGAAATGAAGCACAAAGTCTCATGAGGTAACTATTATTTCCAGTTTCCAGCGTGGTGAAATATTATGAAAACAGTTCCTTAAAGTATGTTGGACCTTGTAATTCATCCTTACTGGTTTATTAATTTCTCTAAAGTAGTGCCTGTGTAATGAAGTACTTGAGTTAAAGGTCAAGTATATGTCAGGAAAAAAAAAATTATAAGAGTTGTCTCTTTTAAATAGTGTGATTTTTTTTTTTGGAGAAAATACTAATACCAGCTTCCAAAAATGACTTATTAAGATGAGCCCAGTAGTAGAATTCTTGAAAATAGTTAAGAATCTGAAGATATTTTTAACAACTTGGAAATAAATTATTAAAACAGCTTGAACTTTATTCTCAAACTATATTTTAAAATTTTATTTGAATTGCTTAAATAGGTTTTAAAGTTAATAAAGTGATTCTTAATTTCAGTTTAAATGAATCCATCTTTATATGCCAGGAGATATTATGGGTTTATATATACTTTAACAGCCAAGTGATGTAAGCCTGACCCAAATTCCAGGAGATCTGCTCCTGGTGCCATTTTCAAACACATTTGACCCTGAGAGAACTTGATCCCATCTTGTTCTGGCCATTAAAAAGGTCTCTGAGAGGTCAAATCAATTCTAGTAGCCACCAAAAGATTCTCATTCTTGGTTGATTTTCCCCCCACCACCACCCTGCTAAAGCAGTTGTCCTCTAAGTTCATCCTGGACCAGAACAGGTTTTCAGAGGACTCAATGTAGCCGTGAATCTGAATTTTGAGGTTTTGAAGTTTGGCCACAGTAAGGTCCATAATTACCAGAATAACAAAAGAGCCTGACCTAAACTTTATATATTTTTGGTCAGTTTACCTAAAAGAAAACTTACCTTTTCATCTAAAATGTGTGAGTGTGTATTTGTGTGTGTGTGCATTAGTATGTTTGTATATTTGCCACTGTCTAAGACAGTTATTTTGCTGATAAATGTTTTCAGTCTCCTAGTATTACGATGGATAGATAGGCCAGAAATTTATGTCAAGAAAGAAACATATACATAATATATGTGAGAGTTCAGGTGGGGATGGGGAACAAAGAATGCCACTGAGAAAGCAGAAACATGAGAAAGCAGGCCTGGAGGGGATTGCTTCCAAGGCCAGACTACAGAGTTGGATGCCTGGGTGATTGAAGAGAGCTGCCCCAGTGCTGGAGACTAGATAGCACCGGATGTTAGGAACCTGCTAGGAGGGCAGCCTCACCTGAATTGAAATTGAAAGGCAGAGAGCCTAGAAAGTATCCTGAAGTGAGCAGGGAAGAGCTATACCTTGGACTAGAGGGTAGAGGGCAATGTGGCCCCCAGGAGTGAAATGAAATATAATAGTATATAAAGTCTTTGTCTGTAAGTGATGGCTCAGGACAGCCTGAATGGTGTAACAGGATTATCTATGTATAATTCACCAGCTTTTTTCTAGATAAACCATGAGAATAATGGAAAATGTAGTTGAGGAACTTTAAATGTTGGTGGTTGTGTTATGTGGACAGTAAGTGCCCTGTAAAAGAACGGTATTGCAAAGGTGGAAAGATGGTTGTTTCTCAGTTACAGTCTTTAAAGGGAGACAGCAGAAATCAACCACACAGATGACCAGACAACCTATTTGGATTCCTTTTCATTACCCAGAAAGCAAATTGGAGAGAGTTACCTCCAACCATTGAAGAAGCACCTAATGTCCCACCATAGTTCTGTGCTCCATGAGATTGTTTACTTCCCCCTTAATGTATTTGCCAGTACTCCAGAAACAGACATCTTAGGACTTGAGAGCTTTATGTGACCTGCATAGATTCTTGGTCTTCAGTGGCTCCTATTGGTTGATGCTTTTAGGTTGCGCAAAAGCCCTCAGGAATACGTTGGGCAGTGTGCTCAAAGTGGCATTCCAATTTTTCACGTATTATTTTCCCAATGGTGGGAGATGGGACTGGAATCCACCTGCAGGTCTCCTGTGAGACAGTTAAGATTGCCTCATTATACCTGTAGGCAGAGAGACCCTCCAACTTGGAGGAGGCTCACCTGCCCACTGACAGTGGCAGTAGAGCAAAGACTTGAGACAAAGCAGGATGTGGAGAGACTGGTTTCCTTACCTTAACTACCCAGACCAGGGAATATGTTTTCTTCTGCCAACATAAAATAGTCAAGCATTTTCTGGGTCCCAGTTACGGAACATTAGAACAACTAATTAGGACAGCCCAATCAATGGAAAACAGATTCCATAGAAAATAAATTAGGGAAACAGCATTCTAGATCCTTTTTTAGAGTTCAGCAGTGCACGCGATCATATTAAAAGCTCTGAGAAGCCTTTTGATAATGAAAGTGGTTTCACTGCATCTGACTCACTGTAGCTCCACATCCACTTTGGACCTTATTTTCCTTAAATATCTATTAACATTTCTTGAAACTTAGTGTTAAAAGAATCAGAAGCTAGGAGGCAGATGCCGAGAGAGGGGACACGGACTGATAGGGAAGGGATAAAACCACCAAAGACATGTTTAGTCCCCAGTTTGAGCTAAAAAATTTTTAGGTGGTTTTATCCTTTGCCTCATGTGGCCTATTCTTTAGCAGCTTTAGTAACGGGGTTACTAGTGAAGCCTATTAAGACTACCATGTCTGGAAAAGGCTGCGTTTTTTTGTTATTAAATCCTTACATTGGCTGCTTAGTTTTTGAATTAAGTTGAAGAATAATGAATTTGGTCTAATTATGAGCAAACCAGTTTTTTGGTTTTTGGTGTTTTTTTTTTTGAGACAGAGTCTTGCTCTGTTGCCAAGGCTGGAGTGCAGTGGTGCGATCTCAGCTCACTGCAACCTCCACCTCCCGGGTTCAAGCACTCCTTCTGCCTCAGCCTCCCAAGTAGTTGGGACTACAGGCACGTGCCACCATGCCCGGCTTATTTTTGTATTTTAGAAGAGACAGGGTTTCACCATATCAGCCAGGCTGGTCTCAACCTCGTGACCTCATGATCCGCCCACCTCAGCCTCCCAAAGTTGCTGGGATTACAGGCGGGAGCCACTGTGCCTGGCCGAGCAAACGACTTGGAACTTGTGATTTGGAACATATCTTTGAAGAAGAGCAGTCTTTTAAACTTTAAAAATACGTTTGGTAAAGATACCCAGGTTATCAAGTTATTTGTGGCTTATCAGTATATAATATAATAATTATATATAAATGATTGCTTTAAGAAGATAATTCTGATATTTTGTTGGTCATGTTACTAAGCAGTTTTTTTAACAGCCCAGTGATAAACTTTAAGCACAGTTTTTATTATGTCTGAATTAATGACATGTCACTGAATAGAAAGCACAAATATTTTAGAAAGGTATCCAAAACATTATTTACTCCTCTAGGAATAAAGACATTTGAAAATGCCGTTAGTGGGTCTTCTCCCACATTTCCTCCTCCCCAAAAAGATTTTTTAAATTTCTGTGTTATTGATTAATATGGCTTATTTTCATCCACAGAGGCCAGTAAGCTTGTCATGTCCTATGTGGCAGCTGTTTGTGGAAAAGGAGCAGAAGTTAATCAAGTTAAAGAACAGCTTTTACAGTCCAACCCGGTCCTGGAAGGTAGGATGTGTTATGTTCATTAAGTCGGTGTGACTCAAACAGTAGATTGAGTTATGTGGGTGCTTTGAGTACCTGGTCTGCTGGGAGGTATTCTGGGAGGGAAGAGGAAGGAAGAGATTCAGGCCAAGACCTGCTGAGCAAATAAGCCGTGTTCTAGAACCTCTTGGCCTAAGTGTTTAGCAGAATAGTTTACTAATGTAAAATGGGCTTCCTCACTTAACAGTCACTTTTCCCCACTCAATTTTTATTTGAATTCTTTAAATTTTGATTAAAAATAATCAACTGATCATTTGCATATGATGGTGCAGTGCTGTTTTATTATTCAGGATAACACCTGTGGCTGATTATTTTTGTTGTTAGAGAAATGAGGGCTCACCCCGAGAAACACTTAAGGACTCATTTTTTCCAGAGTCATAGAAAGCCTAAACCTGACTGGAGAGTGCTCAAATTCTCTATTTAGTTCTCTGTCTTAGCTTGGGCTGCCATAACAAAGTACACAGACTAGGTGGCTTCAACAACAGAAACTTATTTTCTCAAACCTCTAGAGGCTAGAAGTTCAAGATCAAGCTGTTGTCCAGGTAGATTTTATTCTGAGGCCTCTTTTCTTGGCTTGTAGGTGGCTGCCATCTTGCTGTATGCTCACTTGACCTTTTCACTGTGCTTGAGTGGGGAGAGGTGAGAGCAAGCTCTCTGGAATCTCTTCTCATAAGACCACCAGTTCCATCTTGAGGGCCTCACCCGTCATGACCACATCTCACCTTGATTCCTTCCCACAAGCCCCACCTCCTAATACTAGCTTTTTGAGGGTTAGGGCTTCAACATATGAATTTTGCAGGGAGATAAGCATTCAGCCCATAACATCATCAGAAAACAAAACCAGAAATGAGTTTCCTTAATGCCATGGAGAATGGCATACAACATCAGTATGAACTACCTTGGCATTGGAAACAGTATATCAAAGTCTTTCCCTACTGATGGCAAGCTATTAAACTGCTTTATGGCTGGGCACAGTGGCTCACACCTGTAATCCCAGCTCTTTGGGAGGCCAAGGCGGGTGGATCACTTGAGGCCAGGAGTTCGAGACCAGCCTTGCCAACGTGATGAAACCCCTTCTCTACTAAAAATACAAAAATTAGCTGGGCGTGGTGGCACATGCCTGTAATCCCAGCTACTTGGGAGGTTGAAACATGAGAATCGCTTGAGTCTGGGAGGTGGAGTTTGCAGTGAGCCAAGGTCACACCACTGCACTCCAGCCTGGGCAACAGAGGAAGACTCTGTCTCAAACAAACAAAGAAAAAAAACTTGTTTTATATTGTAAGCGACAGAGGGAGACTCTGTCTCAAAAAAAAAAATGCTTTATATTGTAAGCATGTCTTTACTGTCACTTAACATATTTGTTATGGTGGAGTAAGGTTTCTCAGCCTCAGCAGTGTTGGACTGCTTACATGTTGCTGTGGAAGGGTGTCCTGTGCATTGTAGGATGGCCTGTCCTGTGCATCTCTGACCTCTGTTAGCTGCCAGTTGCACCCCTGCCCCTAGTTGTTACAGTTGAAAGTATCTCCAGACATTGTCAGATGTCCCCTAGGGAGTCAGAACCACCCTTGATTAGAATCTCTAGGCTAGATAGGTAGTTTGGTGGAAACTTTTGGTTCAAGTCATAGAAGTAAAGTCATGGAAGGATGAGATTCAACACGGATTAAAGCAGAACTGCTTTGGGGTAGTTTTTTCCCAGTATGAAGGGTTAAAACCCTGCCCTGTTGTCGTTTGTACTCAGGCTCAGCCTCTCCTGCCCTTTCAGAGAGGCTCCCGAACACTGAGTATTCACTGTGACCCCAAGACACACTTCCCATGCTTCAGTTTCACCATTACAAGGACACACCATGCATCTGTATCCCCAGTTAGTAGCATAAGAGAGAAATGAAGGCAAATCATCTATTATGCTGTTTTTGATCTTTCCTCCATTGCAATATCTTAATAACGAAGCTATTATGGAAAGCGATATCTCTCAATTTTATTGTTCCAATATTTGACTTTTTGTTTATTGTCTTTTGCTTTTAAGTTGGGGTGCTATACATTTGCTGTATTTCTGCATATGTTTATTTTAAGAGTGCTGTGATGTAAAGGAGAAATGCTGAGGAATGCTGTAGCCTGCATCTGTGACTGGAATCTGGCTCTTTATTCAGTGGTATTTGGAACTAGGCTCCAGTGCAGGAAATAGAAGAAATGTCTACTGTGGGCATGCATTATCTTTTATGGGAATGCTTTACTTTTTAGCTGGAGCTGCTACTGTAAATGAACATTTAGAACAATGAACTTTAAAAAAACCAATTGAGGAATGTGTCTCAAGTGTTCTATAATGGAACACTTGCTTTTTATTCTGTGGCTCACAATAAAAGGCTTTAGTGTTTAGGGTTGTGTTTAGTAATGTGCAACTCAGATTTGTTTGATGAAAAGATGGTTTATGGCTTGCAAATAGCACCCTGAATAAAGTTTCTTTGAAGCAATTCCTTCACTTGCCCCTGACCTTCAAGCCACAATAAACTGTCCTTTATGCATCAACATCTCTAGTCGGACTTGGGGCTGTGCAAGTTAGCTAACTTGGCAGCCCTGCATGTTCACACCCACCACAAAAGACTAGCCTGTGAAAACACAAGAAATGTCATCGTCTTCATGATAACTAGGTCAATACACACCATTATCAAGGTTACATTCATGAAAGCCTTTTAACTGGTGGTGGACATGAGATAAGAATGGGAACCTCTCCAGCAAGCATCCTTTTTTGAATATTTTTAGGTGCAAATTTCTTCATTCTGTATAGCATTTCAGCTCATCTTCTGTTGAAGACAGAATTTGCTGCCAGGGACCTACCAAACCATACTCAGCCCAAGCAGCATCTCTAAGGCAAAGAACTTTGCCTGTGTTGACTTTGTAAATGTTGTCTTAACCAAGCTTGGGCAACTATCTTTTTAAGAATCAAAAACACAGCCGGGCGTGGTGGCTCACGCCTGTAATCCCAGCACTTTGGGAGGCCGAGGGGGGTGGATCACGAGGTCAGGAGATCGAGACCATCCCGGCTAAAACGGTGAAACCCCGTCTCTACTAAAAATACAAAAAATTAGCCGGGCGTAGTGGCGGGCGCCTGTAGTCCCAGCTACTTGGGAGGCTGAGGCAGGAGAATGGCGTGAACCCGGGAGGCGGAGCTTGCAGTGAGCCGAGATCCCGCCGCTGCACTCCAGCCTGGGCGACAGAGCGAGACTCCGTCTCAAAAAAAAAAAAAAAAAAAAAAGAATCAAAAACACGAAAAAGCCACTCCACACAAAATATAATGCATCAAGTGTGGCTGCTGAATTACCGGAGTTAACATAGGTAAGCACACACCCTCTCTCCTTGATCAGAGACTTCTGACTGCTTTCAAAAGTCAGACCAGATTTTAGCCCGTAGTTCTCATTTGAACACTCAGTAGTCTAATCTGCTCCCTGTTTAATTTGAAGAAGTTATGGAGACCTCTAGAGATTTGATGCCTAGCCTCTGATTCCAGAAGTTTATTTCTGTTCACCACATTATTCATTCTAGCTGCCGTGTGGCCCCTGGATCCCAGTAACAGACTGGGCAGGTGGGAGGCTTGGTAGAAACGGAGGATCTCATGCCTCTTCCCAGACCCATTGAACCTGAGTCTGCACTTTATCCTCATGTAGTTAGTTTGCACATTAAAGTTTGAAATGGTAAAGATGGGCGGGGTGGGGCTTCCAGAGTGTCAAACAGGGATCGCCTCTACTTATACAACTTATGTTTAGGCTACTTAATCTTCTACTACCATGGCCCAGGTTAACTTGCTCCTATCTTATGCACAGGCTTGGTGAAACAATCCTTTTACCCTATGACTCCGTGCTGTTCCCTGTGTTAAACAAGAGCACTGTGTGTCTGGACCAGCGTCAACCATGGGGTTCTTAAACGCTCTCATTTAAAAGGGAGTCCTGTGAGGGATTTGTCTCCAGGAAACAGCTAAGATTGGAACATTTGTATTTTGCATTATGGGCCAAATTGTTTTTCTTTGTTGTCTGGAAAGTTTCACCTAGGTCTGATGTGCATAAACTGATGAAACCATGTAGCACTTGTAGCCTATTGGAAATGACTGTTGTTTCCAAATCTCTTATTCTTCCTGTATTCCAGAGCTATATAATTAATAATATTTAAATAGCTTTATTTTAAAATTAATTAAACAATTTAAAGGTTCACATGCCATTCCCCATGATCTGGAAACTTCAAGTTCCATAAAGCCTTTGATAATAAGTAATCTCTGAAATAACCTTATTCAGTGATGATAATCCTAGAAGAGCATGAAGCTTTGCTTCCTGGTCACTCAATTGACTACTCTCTAGAAGTGTTAAAAGGTGTTGAATTAGGTAAGATTAAGTTTACAGTAATACTTGAAAAAATTCCATGAGTCATAGGAATGATTCTCTTTTTCTATGAACTTGTAAGACATGGAAGCTTTAGCAACTTACTAAGACTTCTGTTAAGTATATTTCTATGGAAGTTTTGGACAGAAATATCATTGCTACAAGTTGTATTTTCCAGAAATCATAGATTTCAAATACTGTATTTGCTTTATCTTTCTGCTTGAGATTATTATTATTTTTTTAACCATACATCTGTTTCTTTCCTACTAGCTTTTGGAAATGCCAAAACTGTAAGGAATGACAACTCCTCTAGATTTGTAAGTATTTGTATAAGCATAAGTGTTAACACTAATATTTAGCTCATGTATGTTTAAACAACCAGTAGATGTTTAATATTTCTTAATACACACATTTTTAAAATAAGAGGAACATCATCTCTATTGAAACACAAAGTTCTATAAGGACTCTTGATTTCTGGAATTTTCCTTTTGAATTCTTTTTGGAGTAACAAGCAATTTTTATCATGTTTTCTTGACATCTTCTATCATAAAATCCCATAAGCAATTTAAATGAGGCTATTTAGAGTAACACTTTGCTTATCTGAGTTTGGTATTTAGAAATCAAGAATCAGAAATTAAGAGAAAGATAAACTGGGTCTCAAGTTTAGGGTTAGGGTGCACCGTAACCCTTGTCCCTTATTCAGTGGGTCCAGAAAGGATGGGATGTATTTTAAAATTAATAGAGGTAAAGTCCATAGGCTTGGCAACAAAAGCAAGCATGTGGGGTGAGCGTGGGGCTGTAGAGTAGAACTGAATAATAAAAACCAAATCTATTTGGTGTTTTGAGCTTGATTGAGTTGGAAAATGCTACTTCTCCCTACAGGGTCCATCTTTCCAGCCTCATCCCCCACTACTCCCTGGCCTGTGCCTTGCATGTTGACGCAGTGGGCTCCTCCAGGCGGGCCATGCTCTTGGGTGCCTCTACCCTTTACAGAGACACAGCTGCCTGGATGCAGCTGCAGGAAATATTGAGTCTGATGGTGGTGTTTTGAAATTGATGTATACATTTTTATAATAAAAGATCATTTGTTTAATGAACCGTCTTCTCACATACCTTACTGATTGCCACCAGGGACAATTTTGATGATCTTTTATGCCTCCTTATGTGAGACCCTTCCTGACCTTTCTCCACCTTCTTCTTTTAGATCCCGTTTGGCTCTTTCCTCCTTAAGGTTATTTTGTGCTTAAGGCAGGACAGTGACTTCAAGGGAGATAGTTTTGATAGTTTAGAAAATGGCAGGCTAAATAAGGTTCCTAATTCCAAGGCTGTGAATTTTTTCCATCAGATTAGCCCCTTAAGTTGTTATAACTGATTTGATCTGTGCCTTTTCCTGTTGTGGTAACATGGCTAATCTCATTACATAAATAGAATTAGAAGTGAAGTGTGGGCGATAGAAGTAATTCTAATGACCAAGCTTCTTTATGTGATAGAGATTTTATTTTTGCTGTTTGCAAATTACATACACACACAGTATTTAATATTTGCAAATATATTTAGTCTATAGATCACAAAAATGTAAAAACCCATATTGCTTAAAAGGCTATTACTACTCAGTGATATTTGAAATCTAGTGAAAGGCTTGGCAGGTGATTTGGCTTATTAAGTAACTTCAGAGAAATCCTATTATAACACGGGTATTAGGATATGAGATTAATACCTGATTATGGGCTAAATCATTTCATGCCCAGTTTTTAGCAGTTTCTCTGCTTTGTGGTCTGTGACTTGACTAGTAATATACCCATGTTTTAATTTTATAGGAGGACTCTACTGTATTTAAAGTTACTACTGTACCTAACAGTGGTTTATGTACTTGTACTCCGGGGAAATTGCAATGTCTTCGACTTGCAAACCAGTCTGTGTTGGTCTGGTTAACCTGGAATGAATTCCTTGACCTCTTCACTGAGTAGTCTGATAGACCCTGCTATGTTGTAGTTAATGCTTGCTCATCGTAGCTCACATTTTGAACCAGTATTCCCATGGAGATGCCTCACAGTGTCCGCTCCCCACCACAGCAGCTGTAGTTTGACATATTGAGCTACGAGTTATTTCTGAGTGGACTAGTGACATGATCAGAACCCAGCTTTTGGCGAGTAATCAGGAAGTGGCTTAGTGGGAATAGTGTCATTCCACTATCAACTGAATTCTCAGGGCTGGCCACTCATTGGTTTATCCCTGGTTGTCTTCCTTTTCCATTCTCTCCAGTGTTTATTCTACTCTCCTCAAACATCCTATTTTTTTACTCTCAGCTCATGATGTTACGCCTACTTCACAGAAATCACCATCATCATCATACAGGCCTTCAAACTGAGTTAATCCTGCTTCCTGGTGCCTGACCTATATGTATGTCTATGTACACTCCTTTTACCTAGGCTCTAGATTCTGTCGCCTCCTGTGGCCAGGGACCACCTTCTGTCAAAAGGATCCCCTCTTACATGGTCAACCTCTGACTCCTTTGACAGAGTAACCATTCTTTCCCTCCTTTGTAGCTGCTTCACCTCCTTGGTCCCCCACCTTCTTGGAGGTCCTCCCTGTACACTGAGTGGCCTGGGCCACATGACTGGACTTTTTTTTTTCCTCTCTCATCTCCTGCATCCAACCTGGGCCTGTTCCTGTGACTCTCCGGGTAGCTCTCAATTCTGTTTACTTTTTCTCTTTGACTACTTCTACTTAAAGCCACCAACATTTCTCCACTAATCACTGTAGCCACCTCCTGTCAGCTACATCTTCTCTTGCTTCTTTCCTGTTCATTCCATGCTAGCCAGGGAAATCTTGTAAATAGGCAGGTTTGATCATGGCATCCTTGTTTAGGAGCCTTTAAGGACATGGCTTTGGTGTGACGAGAATATCTCAAAGTAATCATGTGCTCCAACTTCCCTCTCCAGCCTTGTTTCCCACTCATCCTCACGGTTGCCAATTCTTATGCCTACTCCTTCCTGGTCTCCCACCTCCTTGCCCACCTGACTTCTGCTGATACTTTGCAATTAAGATGGGGCAGATTTCCTACTCTCCCTTTGTTCCCGCTTCTTTGGCATAGCACCAGGACCCACTGTAGGACATATCCTCCTAGACTGGAATATCCAGTTAACCTGTCTCAATTCCCCCGCTAGACAGTAAGCTCCTTGAAGGCAGGAGCCATGCCATGCTTTCGCTTGTGCCTACTTCAGCTTTAAGGAAATGGTTGAGGGACATATCCTTATGAATAAGTGCAGACCTAAAAGGGTAGAGGACCCATGATGATGAAAAAAGAGAAGGTGCAGGAGCATGCATAAGCCGATAAAAAGGCACAAATTGCATTGTTGACTGAGTTCCATGTGATTGTATTTCTTCTCCCTTACCCTCATTTTGAAAATTAATGAGTTAAAGTAATTCTTAGGACATGAAACAAAACTAAAGACTTTACTTATTAGATCAACACACACTTTTCCAAACAAGAAACAGCTGTCACAGTTACTCTGTTATACTTGTTACTCTTTAGGCAATTATAGACCAGTTCTTTTAACAATCAGAATATTAAACTCTATGTGTGTTTCTGTGTGTTTAAGATACTATCTATAAAGTGTAAAATGAACCTGCGTTATATATTGCTATTATAATCTGGGTGAAAAGCCAAAAACAGTAATAATGACCAGTGTGATTCTGACCTGTTCATAACACATAATCTTGTATTTGATTTGAGTAGATATAAAAACAGATCTCTGAACGTTTCAATTCATTTACTGATATGTTTCAAGTTCCTAGCAATGGCTTAAAACATATTCTGCCAATAAAAAAAGACTATCTTCCCAACCAGTCTGTATACACAGACAACTTATTTTTCTTCTGTTTTTATTTTTGAATTGAGTACATATCCTCCAGAAGTTTGAAAAATAATCTTAAATGGAAAAATCACATGATGGCTGAGAAGATTTGTTCCTAAATTAGCAGTGGGTTATATTAGCTTTGAACTAATGGGGTATTTAGTATGAATTATTTATGGAGGCATGTTGTTTTGCATCGTGGTTATATAAACTGTGTCTTTCTTAGTTACATTTAAACAAATGTATAAAAATAAGGGCTTAGTCTGCTGTTCTCTAAGAAGTACACTGAGTTAACATTTTGAGATGAACTAGAAAACTCACAAAATCTTTCTTTGGCAGGGCAAATATATGGATATTGAATTTGACTTTAAAGGCGATCCACTAGGAGGAGTAATAAGTAACTGTGAGTATTTTTCTTCAGTCCTTGTAAAGAAGTTCAGAATACTAAAACATATATTTATAGTAGAATAGTTTAGATACTTGTGTCTTTGAGGCATAAGAATATGTTTCCTTGCTTTATATTTAGACTTTAAGCTTTGCATTTCAGATTGTTTTATAATAGAATGTAATTTATAAATCTTTTTAAAGATCACTTAACATCTTTACCTTGGAAAAACTTTTTAGAAGTTTGCTAAATAAATATTTGCGCTACTGTTTTTTATATTCTATAGGTCTTTTTAAAATCCTATAGGTCTTTAAGGCAATCCAGTATGAAAAAAAGATCCTCTAAGGGTTATTTTCTTTAACAAAATGCTTATGATAAAAAAAATATAAATAATTGGTTTTAAATTATAACTTTTGAAGTAATATTTATTCAATAAAAGGAGTAGACCTGTACTTCAGTCTTATTTTGAGAAATGTTGCTTCTCTTCCAGTGTATTTAAGTGATTGGAATGTGATACACTTGTTAGGTAAAACAGATTTTTTAACCTTCTTTAGACATGATTTGTGACTGTGGAAGTGAAATATTTTATGTGAAAAGTTAAAAAAAAAAAACAAAAAAAACACAATCAGATGAGGTCTGCTCATTCTAGCCCAGGTGCAGAGTTTTCTAAAGTGGGTGTATGAGTGCCACACGGGGTTTTCAGTGTCTCTTGTAAAAATGACAGTGCTGTCAGTGCTTTGGAGTTGTGGCACCCACAGCACAACCCTGATGTCCCTGCTCCTCTTGACTCGTGGTTGATTAGTTTGGAAAATGTAAGATGATGACTCAGGGCTTTGTGCACCTCAGCCACAGTCTGGTTATCCTCTGAGTCCTCTGGGTTTTTTGAGGACCATAGAACTGAACCTTCTCCTGCCCTTGCCTGCCTCACCATCCCATGGTGCTATTGGGATTGTTAGAATGAAAAAATTTATGTTTAGACCTAAAAAAAAAAAAAAAGAAAGTTGACTGAAGTATCCAAAGTGTGCTCATTTATTTTTCTTATAACAGTGGCATTTCGTCTTCAAAGGAAATGTTATGCTGAACCCCAAAGAAGGTACCGGGGTAAAATGAGACCTGATCTGGTTGAAGAGGAGATGGGTAGCCCAGAATCCCGGCACTCTCAGATGCCACTGAGATCTTCCTGACTAGCCCTAGCAGAAGAATGCCATTTGAAAATTATTATTTAGTAATTTGGTCAAACTATGCAGCTGATTTAAAAAAAAAATTAAATCATGATTCAGAGAGTAACCATCTAGGGCTAGAGGTTTCTCATCTTTAAAATGATAGGATTGAATTGGATGAATTCCATGGTTCTTCCCATTTCCAGCATTCTGTAGTTCTTAAATAATTTAACTTCTGGCTGGGCGCAATGGCTCATGCCTGTAATCCCAGCACTTTGGGAGACTGAGGCAGGGGGATCACCTGAGCTCATCAGTTTGAGACCAGCCTGGCCAACATGTGAAACCCCCCGTCTCTACCAAAAATACAAAAGTTAGCCGGATGTGATGGCGCATGCCTGTGGTTCCAGCTCAGGAGATTGACTTAGGAAAATCACTTGAGCCTGGGAGCTGGAGGTTACAGTGAGCCAAGATTGAGCCACTGCGCTCCAACCTGGGTGACAGAGTGAGACCCCATCTCAAAAATAAATAAATAAATAAATAAGTTTCCATTTTAGTTTGCCCACCTACACACTTTTGTATGCCATGTGTTCGGATTGTCCATATTTATAAGAATGTTTAATTATTAGAGAAATGCCTTGAAGAGAAAGTTTTAATATGAATTGAAGTTGAATGGGATAGTGCTACCTAAGTTAAATGATTTCATACACAAAATATGGGAGTAAAAGTACTCATGCAAACCACATACGATGTAACCAAAGGCAAGTGATTATAACCCCTGCCAAACTTGTTAGGAAGACTCTTTTTACAATATATGGCAGCTGATCAGAGCTATCCAGCTAGTGGTTTGCCTCAGTTTTAAGATCACCATTTTAAGGAATGATTAATATTTATTCTGAATGATATTCATGAGCCTTTAGTGCTTTCTTTTTACAAGACAAATTAACTCTAGCTATAAAATTAATAAAACACTGTTTTTAAAAATGAGAGTAGGTTTACTATTTCCATTACAGAACTTATAGCTGAACATTTTGGAATGATTTAATCAATATTACTCGAGGATTTTAGGAAAATAATTCAGGATGATTTTATTATTATAAGGATTAGAAAATAACTTCAGTTTTAAATTTTGAAGTTTAAGTTCTAAGCACAAATGTCTTCTTGTCCCCTGATTCTTGCAGTATCCATGGAGAATAAATATTAAACACTCAGTTCTTTTCCAATTAAGATTAATATATCTTCATGAATGGAGTTCATATGGTGTTTGTTACCATTTGTTCCCACAGTGAAATTATATTGAAATTTGTGGTAGTGAGAACACCCTGGTATTTAAGAGTATCCTTTGCTTTGGAGAGAAAAGGAATACATTAGTGGTAAGAGCAGGAAATTTCATCCTGTATAGAGAACTGACTCATCGGTGGTCACTGGGAGTTGCTGCCTTCTGGCAGAAGGGAGTTTAAAGCAATGGATAAACCAACTGGTGTTCTCTCCAAACTAAAGAAGCTAAAAGTTAGCTTCTTGTAGCGTAGAAAAGAAGACAAAATTTGCCATTTTGTAGGAAGTATATTTTGCCTCCTTTTCCAGCAGCTGCTTAGTGAAAGCATAGATTGTCATTGGCTAAAACTCTTAACCTTGAAAAAGGCACAATATCCCTTGAGCCAATTGTGTACCCAGGAAGTGGAAAGGAAAGCCCGGTAACTCCTCTCTCTTTTTCTAAAAGAGACAAATTAAGTCTGGGACTCACTTGAAAACTACATATCCCTGAGGTTAGTGTCATTAAGAGAGGTATTAAAATAGAAGATGGTAAAACATTTGTTTCAATAGAGAAGATAAAATATAGAAGCACATCCAAATGTTTAGGTGATGTTAAATAATATTTCTCCTAGTTTGTTAAGGTTTGTTGGTCTGATAACATTTATGTTTTTGTATTTGGGGATTTTGCATCTAGTGTTATGAACTGGAAGCTTTTGGAAACTAGTTTTTAAAATTAACATCACAGGCATTTGGTGGCAGTTTAGACAGTGGAGAACATATGGTACAAGTCGCAAGGGATTCTGTCTTCTAGAAGAAGAATAGCACAGAGAAATATACGCTATGAAGAAACTATTATTTCAGATGTGCATACACCTGAGCGAACTATGGACTAGACAGGTCGTCTTGTTCACATTACCTTATCAAGAGTCTAGTGTAATACCTGACACAGCAGGTGTGTAAGTGCAAATACGGGCAGGCTCTTTTTTCCTTATCCATTATTTGGGGCATACCCGTGAGCCTACTTTTGCAACTCTTGTTGGTTTATCATGTGGTTTCCAGTGTCTAAACAAAAGACGGCAAATTACTTCATTCTCTGTGCCTCCATTTCTTCACTTTGAAATGAGAATAACAATAGGACTGATTGCATAGGTTGTCCTGAGGTATAAATTATGTATTAGTATCTAAAGCACTTGTAATAGTGCCTGGTACATAGTGAGCACTCAATAAATATTTGCTTTTTTCACTATAGTTATTTGTTTATTGTCTCTAGCCTTTCACCAAATACATGCTCTATAAGGATAGAGCCTTAGTCTGGTTCATTACTGAGTGACCAGCAACTAAAATAGTGTCAAACATAGGCTGGGTGCCATGGCTCATGCCTGTAATCGCAGCACTTTGGGAGGCCGAGGCAGGCGGATCACGAGGTCAGGAGTTCAAGACCAGCCTGATCAACATGGTGAAACCCCGTCTCTCCTAAAAATACAAAAATTAGCTGGGTGTGGTGGCACACACCTGTAATCCCAGCCACTCGGGAGGCTGAGGCAGTAGGATCACTTGAACCTGGGAGGCAGAGTTTGCAGTGAGACGAGATTGCACCACTGCATTCCAGCCTGGGTGATAGAGCAAGACTCCGTCTTAAATAATAATAATAATAATAATAATAATAATAATAATAATAATGTCGAACACCTTATATATATTTGTTGAATGAATGAATGATCACAAAAGTAATTATGTACAGTTAAGAGTTTTGTTGAGAAATAAAGCTTCTGCTTTATTGGAAAATTTTGTCTGAATATTCTGTGCTAATCATTTAAAAATACTTCTAAATGAATGCTTTTCCTAAATCCCAGAAAGTCAAACAAAATTATTGGTAGTCAGAGTTCTCTTGTTCCTGACTTTGTTCAGCTTGAAAAAAAGAAATTCTGCTAATTATGAATGGAGGCAAATGCTGTGATTTGTCTATGTTCCAGTTATTCTTGCTGCACTGCCTGACAACCCCCCGCCCCCTACAACCTCAAACTTAGTAGCAGAGTACAACAAGTTTGGGTGTTTCACAGTATTACAACTAGGTTCTGAGAGGAAAGTAACATCCTGGCAACCAGTGTTCCAAGAGGTTGAGGAGGAAGCCTGAAGTAGCCTAGGAAAGCATATGGCATGTCACTTCTGCTGTACTCTATGTAGTCACAGTGGGCACCAGCTTGCACAGTTTCAGGGGCAGGGACACAGATCATACCTCTCGAAAGAGTGTCAAATAATTGGTAATCATTTTATTTTAGACAGCCACTGTCTGATAGATTGTTTCCAGAAATGGCACAATAATTTCTGACCCTGTGTCGACAGCCTTGATTAATCCCCTCTCTCATTGATTCAAAGCTTGACTGGGAGATTTATTTTGATCAATGGAACAATTAGCAACTACAGCACAACCAGATACTTGAGGATTGTTTATATATTGGAGTTTGTCCTCTCTTGCTGATCTTGGGAATTCACTATCACCATCATGTGAATGAGCTTGGGTTAGCTGCTGGATGAGGAGAGACACATGGAATGAACTGCTAGACATATGAGTGAGGACATCTTAGCCCAGACGGCTGCCAGCCAGTCGCCAGCAGACAACCAACCCATGAGCAAGCCCAGCAGAGATGAGCCAAGCTGGCTCAGGCCAGAAATATCCAGCTGGCGCCCACAATCGTGAGCTAATAAATGGTATTGTTTTAAGCTGCTGAGTTTTGGGGTGATTTGTTATGCAGCAAAAACTAACTGATACAGGGGTGTGATTGATAATATATCCTTTCCCTCACCCAGTTTGGAAGCACTTGTAAAATAGGCACAAGAATCAAGCTGGAGAGGAAGTGGCTTTATTACTGTTAAAGGCAAGGTTGAGGAAAGTGGCTTTTGGTTTATCACCCAAGTAGATGTGTTAGTAGTCCTCTGGCACTTTGGTAGTGAGGCAGTGATTGACAACGCTAAGCAACTGCTGGCCTCTCCTTGTGTGCATTGCCCCATCTGTCTTACAGCACTGAGGAGTAGAGCCAGATGTGTGCACAGTGTGGGGAACCCAGAGAGCTGAGCCCTCTGTGCACGGCCGTTTCCTTCTGCAAATCTCACTGCTCAGCAAAGTATTTTTTCTCGTCCTGGGGAGGAGTGAGTAAGGGGCCAGCACGCTGGGGGAGTTACTCTAAGGAGATGCTTCCACATGGAAATGTAAAGCAAAAGGAAATGGCCACCCTCCTCACAATGGAGATGGAGGATGGAACAGATTACTCTGGATTGCTTTGTTTTTTTCACATTTCTTTTTAATTTACGACACAATTGGCTTATACCTTCATGTGCTATCTCGTGGCACATTGTTTAATCTGTGTGTGTGCTGCATTCATGCCATTTTGTATGGAACGTGGTTTTACTCTTTTAAATTGTTTGAGATTTACAGCTTTGTTCTTCCTTTTATATCATATATTTGATTTTATTGATGGAAAGTCATCAATAAAAGGCATGAAACTGCCTGTTAGAACACTTCCTAAAGGAATCTCTGATCAGTTTTCTGGGAATATATGTATTGAGGTGAAATAGAAGACTTCCTGTCTATGGGTCAGTTCTCAGTAGTGAGTGGATATTCGTTAATAAAGTGTCTGTTTTTAATCTGCCTTTTTAGGGTCACAAATCAAAAACTAAGAGAATACATTGCCTAATTTATAATACATACAAGGCTGGGCTTCTTTTTTTTTTTTTTTTTTTTGAGTTTTGAGTTTTGAGTTTTAAAGCTCCTGAAGAAGACAGAAGTAGTCAATCATTGGTTGTGAAGTATCTGTAGCAATACAACTGAAATTTCAAAAGAGCAATGCTGTGACTTCGTAATGGGTGGCTTTATATGAAAGTAGATGCTTTCTCTTTATCTCAGTTTTACTTTGTTGTTCTTCATACAAACATACGTTTACCATGAAAAAAGACTGTATTTATCATGAAAGGAGACTATATACAAATATTGAAGAAACCAGGTGCTGAAATAGATCTAAATTAACCTCAGATTAATGAATTAATTTATTCATTCGTTAATTGGTGTTTATTAGGGTAGTAAATCAAGATAGGACCAGATATTTCATTAATTTTATTTCAGGATTGGGTCTAGAATTTTAGATTCAGATACATTCATGAACGAACTTTCAATTATCTGCCTTATGCACTGGCATATGCTTGTTGTTTAATGTATCCTTTTGCTTTACTGAAGAGGCATAAATTCATTGAAAGAACCTAAATGCGACTGAGATGCTTTTTTCATAATATTAGTCTTGGAGCAACTGGAGAGGAGGCACAGGGTCTCTGCGAGCAGTCAGTTTGAGTGATAGCCTTTCAGTCAAGCTTTCATTGTCTTTCTCACCTCACAAGACAAAGCTGATTTTTTCGTAATTAGCCTTAATCAAGAATTTGGACCACTTCTTTTTCCAGGAGAGGAGAGTATACATAAAATAATGAAGCTTTTATCATACTATCTAATCCTTTCTCTGTTACATCCTAAAGTATGTGATGTGATTTTTTTTTCTTCCCGACCAATACATGTCTTTTTATTTATTTGTCAAAAAACTTCATCCTCCAGTAGGTGCAGCCTTAGACTATTTCTTTCACACCTTGTGCCTTGGGGAGGCTGTCTCTGACATGCACAGGCACTTATACGTGTTGTGGACTAGCTGTTAATGAGTCGAGCTAGGAAAGCCCCTACATAACGGCCAGGCTCCGTGTCGATAGTCGGGTGGCGGCAGCGCAGTGGGGCGGGGGGCAAGTTCTCATTCATTGTTTCTTTGTCCCTGCCCCCTTAACTTCCCCACTAGAGTGGCTTAATATGTTTATCTCTTACCTTAAAATGGAAATTTATGCTAAATTTAATATAAACTTAAATTTGTATCTTGTGAGGAGGATGTAGCTGCATTAGAATATCTGGAATATCTCTTCTGTACTAAATATCCAGTGTCTAATAATAACTCTTCTTTACTAAGTCTTGTTAGCAGAGGCTCAATTGGCGGTGGTAGAAGTACCTAAGGCAGAAGAGAAGGCCGTGCCAATGTTCTGCTTTGACTTAATTCAGGGGCACATTTAAGTAAATTAAAATGGTCAGGTGGTGAATCCCTATAGTGAATTGAATTTATGTTCTCTACTTTGAGTAATTATTTGGTATGGCTTCAAGCTGTTAGATTATGTTGGTGCATGCACATTTAGGGGAAGAAAACCAATAAGGAATGGTCTTAAGCATGAGTAAATTTGGGGGCAAACATTTTCCCTGATTACTTTTCTACCTGGAAGCTTGTGACTTATGAGAAAAGTCATAAAGAAATTGAAATGGGAGGCTCTAGGGTAATAGAGTAAGCATTTTAAGTGGTAAAACCTTCAACTGCTTTGTAATGAAAGATTCCTTATCTTGTGTGATTGAGTTGCTTAGGCGAATTCATGTATTTATACAAAGTACAGCATTTCCAAGTGTTTAAGGACATTGCTTTTTTTTTGGCTGGAAAATTATAAAGACTGTAAGCATGATACCTAGTCACCCAGAGCTTTGAATTCTGGCTCTATTGCTTACCAAGACTGGGATGCGAGCCTCATTTTCTCATTTGTAAAATAGGGATTATAAAACCAACCTCAGGGAAGGTGTTCAGGGTTGAATATGATAAAAAATGAAAAGCACTGAACGCATAGCAAAAGGTCAGGGAAGGTTCTCTTTCTATTTTCCCTTTGCACCTTTCCTTTTAAACTCACCTAGTATCATGTTTCACATTGGAATATGAGAGTAATCACTGATCATATCAGTGTGTGCAGTTTACGAAGTACACTTTGCCAGCATTCCTTTTCATATCGTGCGCAAGTGAATATTATTCTTGAACTTGGTGGTTGTTATCTGCTGAATCTTACAGTCATTGCCATTTCTACACTCTGCAATGTCTATGAGCGTTTATTCAAAAGGTGCCAAACATTAGACTGGCCAGTGTGTTGCTGTTGCACAGTGTAGTGTTGTCACGGGCTTTTTGATGGTGTTATTTTGTGTCTTGACCTACTACAGTTTGCTTTTGTAATGTGATTGTGGAAGTGCTGCCAAACAATCGCTTGTCATCATTATAAGGTGCCACTGTAAGGTGAGAGGACAGCAGCTCACCTCGTCCTCACTCACAAGGGCCTTGGCATCTCACTGTGAAGAGAGCTGCTGCTGTTTGTTTGGGTGGCAAGAGCAGCCAAGAACATGTGTGACTTTTGTAGACCAAGTGGAAGGTCATCACGTGTCCAGCTGGTGCTAAACTTCTTCCCAAATCGCTGGCACATAGTGCGTTAGCAGTAGATGACCTGTTTGAAGGAATTCGTGCATGAATGGATGAAGTCAAATGTAGCATTTGTTTATATTTTTTATGTAATCAAGCCACTTTCTTCTAAACTTGAGGAATTTCCTATAAAAATTAGCTTTTCAATGAAGAATCTGCCCATGCCCTGTGGGTTTTTTCTTCTAAAACTGTTACAGGATCCCATAGAAGCTCAGTCACATGATAAGTAAAATCGTACTGCATGTTTAACATTACTTATTTAGTCTATCTTGTGCTTTGCATGTCAGTTTTTACTTATTAATTGACTGAAACATTCCATTTTTTAGAGATGGTAACTATTACACAATCCTTTTTTCCCTAAGTTATATCCCACTTGTACTTTTCAACCTTTGGGGTTTTTTTTTTTTTTCATGTTTTCTAAATATGAAGCCTTCATTATTTTCCATCTATGATTTGAGGACATTGGCAGTCTTCCAAGTCATATGAGAGCTGGAGAACATGAAAAATCTGCAGCATCCTGCGCCTAATAATTTTTGTACTTACATATTTTTGTTCTTTTTCAGTTGGCTCAATTTTATGTTTTCTTATGCTGCATCTCTTTATTCTTACAATCTTATGTATTTGGAGCACGCTAGGACTTCTCATTCATCAAATATATATCCTTTCACTCTACCTAAACTCCTCCACAAATGCTGGTGTAGGTTCCAGAAATACAAATTAAAAAGTTTAATGATCGTTCCTAGATTAAATGGCACATCATTCTCTCCCTTACCAAGCATTATCGTGATGTTTTAGATTGCAGCCTGATTAGGGGGACGTGAAATTTGTGTGTTCTCTAGAATTAGTGCTCAATAATGACATTACTAATTTGGAATTTTATAGTTGAAGTTTGCCTTTGCCCACAGCCTTTTGTATCACTATTGAGTGATAAGCAGGGCTCCAGACAAGAATATCCTCGTCATCCCTCCCTTCCTTCCTCCTTTCCCATTTGAAAATTTGGGAAGACCTCAGATTTATGGGTTGAAAAATTATCTGGAGTCAATGAAAATATAATATCAAATAACACCAAATTCCATTCAATGAGAACCATCTTTCTCTAAGACTTCAAGATATCCACAAACTCTACGTTGCTTCTCCCAGGTAGTGGGGCATGTGGGTGCAAGAGTCCTAATTTCAAATCCTAGTTCCACAAGCTGCCAACTGAGTTATGTAAACTCCTGGACTATCAGTGTTTTCAACTGTAGAATGATACCTTATAAAAGGGTTGGGAGGATTCAGTGAGATACCATCTGTAAAACACTAAGCACATAATAAGATCTCAAAGTATTAACTAATTTTTATTAAAATTACTAGGTAGACTCATAATTGAATGGCTGTATTTCATTGCTTACATTTGTAACGTCACATTTTCAGGAATTTAATGTCATCATAAAAAACCAAGAGCATTTATTAGTATAAAAATGATATTTAATCAGTGTTTTGAATGTAACTTATTTATATATTCATTATTTAAAAAGAACGTGACCTGTGTAATTTGGTGATTTTCATTAGAGTTGTGGTTCTTCCTGAAGCTAGAACTGAAAATACAGCTTCCTTTATTATTTCATTTTATTACTGCAGAATAGAAAGAAAAAAGAAAGTGAGAAGGAAAAAAAGCATGGTGGATTTGGAAGTGAAACAAATGCCATACTATGATTTAACTCTTCTCTTTAGATCTTTTAGAGAAATCTCGGGTTGTTAAACAGCCAAGAGGTGAAAGAAACTTCCATGTGTTCTATCAGCTGCTCTCTGGTGCCTCTGAAGAGCTCCTCAGTAAGTCTCTGTTTCTATGTGGTGTTGTTGTTGTTGTTGTTGTTGTTGTTGTTGTTGTTGGAGCTGGGAGTCTCACTGTGTTGCCCAGGCCGGTCTCTAATTCCTGAGCTCAAGCGATTCTCCTGCCTTGGCTTCCCAGAGTGCTAGGATTACAGGCATGAGCACTGTGCCTGAATTGTTTCTATGTTTTAATTTTCAGTGTCACAGCACTTTTTGAAGCATTCTCTTTAAAACATACTCCATATGCTTTGCCCCTTCCTTCTTAAGAATATTTTTTATGATTCTAGTTGAAGTGAAGAACATGGTGTATTTGCTTCTACCACACCCCAGGGTTTGTGTAATATTCTTGTACCTCACCAGATACTGTGCCATACGTCTCCGATGTGTTGAGGACTGTGCAGATGATTCAGTCAACTCAAGTGGAATTTCAGCAGCTAGAACTGCCTCAGTCTGGACTTGGCCAAAGCTGATTATTAGGGGAGGGACTAATCATACATTTAAAAAATAAAATGGAAGAATATGATTTTTCTGTTTGGGGAGAGAAAATTATCAGGGTTCTAATTAAATGAGTACAATTCTATAAAAACAAATTGCTAGGTGAATATTTAAGAATAGTGGGGAAGACATTTTGCAGTTGATACAAGAGATAAAGATCTGATATTTGGGATTTTAGAGAATTAACATAATTCCACAAAGATACTATCTAATAGCTAATAGCTAATGATGAAAAGTAGTGAACAAATAGTTCAAAGAAGAAGAGCTATGAAAAGTCAACACCACTTAGGAAAAGTCATCTTCACTAATAATCAACAAATGCAGATTAAAACAGCCCTGAAGTATCTACTATATTATTATATATGTAGATATATAATATATACATATACTACATATAGTATAATATATGTAGAAGTATCTACATATATTAGCAAAAGTTATTAAGGATCAAGCTAGCAGAGTTGTCACTGATCTGCTTGGAGCTTGTGGTATACCCATCTGTGTAGAGCTGCGGGTGTTACTTCAAAGCGAGGACCTCTTATAATCAGAGCATGCCATCCAGTCACACCACTTTTTGGACTATATTCCAACAAAATAATTCAGATATGAATCCAAAAACCAATTGGTATGAAGACATTTATCACTGCTCTATATTTATTATTATAAACTAGAGAAAACCCAAATATCCAATGGTGAGGGAATCACCAGGCAGAACACATATGTTATAATGAAATAATATATTGAATCACCAGGCAGACCTCATATGTTATAATGAAATAATACATTGAAGGTATTTTTTATTATAAAAACTCTGGAAAGAGACTTACCTAGATAAGTATAAAACAGAGTTTGTGCTATCACAGTGATTAAAGTCATTTTAAGAATAATGCTGTTACTGATATTTGGGTATAATTTGTGTTCTTTTGATTCAATACTTAATATAAAAGCCATGTTACCGATGTGAACAAGATATCAAAGGGAATGAGATATTAAAGATTGGATTTATTGAAGCAACTTAACAACTTGTGTCTTTGATTCAATAGATAAACTTAAGCTTGAGAGGGATTTCAGCAGGTATAACTACCTGAGTCTGGATTCGGCCAAAGTGAATGGAGTGGATGATGCAGCAAATTTTAGAACCGTGCGGGTAAGATGTAGTACTTTCATCAAGCTTTAAATTGCATACCACTGCATTGCTCAGCGGGAGCTGGTAGCAATTCTGAGTTTTCTTTAAAGTGTAGCTCATTCTCCCTAAGGTTTTAGAATTATACAAGAATTCTATTTTTGTTACTTTGATTTTTTTACTAGCTCAAAAATCACACAAGATTGTGAAGGCCATGCTTTTATTAGAGCATGTGATTTTACCATTTATCATAAGGAGCTTTCTTATTCTATTATCCTGGGGTTTGACTCCTTTAAGGTTATTTTTAAATTCCAAGTGTTTTTATGGCAAAAGTTAATTTCCAACTGCCCTTGGATCATGTTAAATCAAAACTATTTTTGAGACAGAAAAAAATCTTTTTATATAGTTTCAGAAACTCATATATAAACCCGAGCGATTAGCATTCCACATTCATTAGAAAAGATGATTTTAAATAACACTATACTCTGTTTTCTGTCTTAATGTGTGATACACTTGACATGATATGGTAACTGGGATTTACTTGCAAGTGAGACAGCTGTGGTGATGGGGAAAGGGGAGAGTAGGATGAATTATAGATAAAACAAAATTGGCATCTGTTAATTGTTGAGGGTGAGTGAAAGGACATGCGGGTTCTTTCCCTGCTCTCTCTACTTTTGTATATGTTTGACAACAATAACAAAAACTTACATTACTCCCATTGCTGTGTAGCCTAGTCATTTTTAAAAAGCCAGCTGTTCTCAAAAAGAAAGTATCTCTTACAGTATGTCGTTTTAAAAAACTGTATAAACATCTTCATATGGAAGCAATAGTCTGTTGATCCCTGGACATGATTTTGTTTAAACCTTGAGTCCAAGACTGGTTTTAGAACCACTTTGCCTGGCACGTAATTGGCACTCCGTAAAAATTTATGAATGAACAGATGCCTCCTGTTACCCAGTATCTTGGGCTGGGCTCTTCACCTTTGCAAACCACAGTTTTTCTGATATGTAAAATGAATGAGGAGCTTTTCTTTGTATGGAGTTGTGCAAGTTGGTTTTGTTTCTAGTAGCAAAACCTCAGTGTAAAAAAAACGACATACATACAAACTGAGCTGCTGTGGTTGAAGTGGAAGTAGGGACCCAAGGCTCTGCTCCCAGCCTCCTGTTTCTTCTGTCTTCCTCTTTATGTGCCCTGCAACCCCCGCCACAGCACCAGAGGTACCCCCAGGGTTCCTCGAATCACAGTTGGAAACCACTGAAGATATAGCTTTGTCTTTTATGGGTTTTTTTCCCCAGAAATAAATCTGTAATATGATTCATTAAAAAAGAAAAGAAAATAACTATAAGAAAAAAATAGTTGCTTTTTTTTTTCTCTCCCCAGAATGCCATGCAGATTGTGGGCTTTATGGATCATGAAGCTGAGTCTGTCTTGGCGGTGGTGGCAGCAGTGTTGAAACTGGGGAACATTGAGTTCAAGCCCGAATCTCGAGTGAATGGTCTAGATGAAAGCAAAATCAAAGATAAAAATGGTACATCCGTGGAGAATCAACTTTGTTTGTTTAGGAAACTTGCTTTGAACTTCTCCCCACTTTTTAATGTAGAAAGTAAAATTTTTGCTTTGCATTGGTTTGAGAAAGCTTTCTAATGAAACTGAGCAGAAATAGAACTGTGGCTAAGCTTTGTTTTTTGATGTATACATTTTATACTGATCTGTTTGATTATGATTTAGAAAGAACATCCTAAGCCTTCAAAATTATTATTAGCAGCACGTGTACAGTCACTTTTTGTGTCCATCCCCTGCCTTCCCACAGAGTTAAAAGAAATTTGTGAATTGACCGGCATTGATCAATCAGTTCTAGAACGAGCATTCAGTTTCCGAACAGTTGAGGCCAAACAGGAGAAAGTTTCAACTACACTGAATGTGGCTCAGGTGGGTGAAACATAATGTACAGACGAAAGTTTCTTAAAAGTCTGTGCTAATTTTCATATAAGTATAAACAAAGATTTTAGTTTACAGGCTGTTACCTGAATCGTACTATGTTCTAGGCATTGGGAACAGAGCAGTAAACTAAACAGATAAGGATCCCTGCCCTCATGGAGCTTAAAATTCTGGTAGAGGGAATTAGATGATAATCAGTAGACATAAGAAACAAGTGCTGTAGCAAACTAGCCCGTGGTGTATGATCAGTGAACTGAGAGCAACAGTAGAGCAGAGTAGGGGAGCTCCCTGGGGCAGGGAAGGAGACTCAAGTGAGGTGGGAAATGACTGAAGGGTTTTGAGCAGAACAGTGGCATGACTGCCTTGTATTTCAAAGGGTCACTCTGGCTGTGATGTGGAGAGCAGAGGGTCAGGGAAAAAGGAGTGAAAGCGAGGGACCTTCGAGGAGATGTGCACTAACCCAGAGATGATGGTGGCTTGAACCAGGTAGTCGCAGTGGAGTCAGTGAGAAGTGGTCACATTGTGGATATTATTAGAGGGTAGAGGCTACAGGACTTGCTGGTGCTAGCTGGTTTAAGAGGAAGAGAACAATCAAGGGTGATTTAATGTTTTTGGCCCAAGCAACTGGAAACATGGAGTTGTCATTTACTGATTTGGAGAAGACAGTGGGAGAAGCCAAATTGGCCTCCCTGCCTTACTTCTTGAACCCCCTCTACCCTTGATATTGGGGCCAGTGAAGTCTTTAGTCTTTGTAAGACACAAATCTGAGCTGCTGCCTTCTCTCCTTTTGCTTCAAGTTAAGTGGGTGGGTGTTTGGATGGTTGCATGCCTGTATACGTGCATGTATACCCAGGCAGCTTCTGCAGCCCCTTTCACTAAAACCCTTTGTGCTATGGCTTACGCATTTTACCACCAGTCAATGACTCAGGCTAGAATTAAATTACTAACTTAGGACTTCCACTCAGGCCCCCACTTTGTCCAACTGTATTCTTGTTGTCTCATCCTCATAACTATCCATAAAGCCTCCATAAATGGTAGGGTGGAGCCAGGCTTGCCCTCTGTTGCTGAACCAGCCTTTCCTACTATAATCCAAGAATGCCTTTATGTCTTTAGCTTTCAACATTGATATCTTATTTTAGGTGAGTTATTTTGGCTGTGGCAAATACCATAACTTTATATATATGGAAATTTGGTTTGTAGCAATCGTTTCCTAGCTATAGCCATTGCCTGTCCTTCCTCCTAAATTACTGCTTTTGCTGTCATATCTGTCCAAGTCATCCTCACTAATTCACAGTCAGATACGAAGTAACTTACTTAATCAAGGAAATGCTGCTGAGAGCCTGTACAGCACAAGCCCACACATAGGCCCTGAGTTGGGAAGTAAGAGGTTAGGGAAGACCCCATGGAAACAATCAAAGGATTTAGATGTGTGAAGTATGGCTGAAAGGGCATATCAAAAAGAAAACATTGAGAAAAGCCAGATTTGGGGCACATATCAGAAGAAGGATTAATCAAGCTTGGCTATAGCTGTAGATATGTAAAGAGGATTCAGAGCAATATGGCTGGAAAGGTGAAGTCTGCAGTCAGAGTGGCAAATCTGCACCAGTAGTTCTTAAACTTGAACGTGCATCAAAATCACCTGGTGGACTGACTGACTAAACATGGTTTGCAGACCTCACCCCCAGTGTTTGATTCAGTGGGTCTGGGGTAGGACCGAGGAATTTGCATTTCTAATAAATTCAAAGGTGACACTGCTGCTGCTGCTGCTGGTCCAGGATCACATTTTGAGAGCCACCGAGTTTGGACATTTTCAATAGCCAGAGTGGGAATTGTTAAGTCTGTAAGGAAGCCATGAAAAAGCCTGTGTTGTTTAAGAAGACCCTTTAGGAATATGTATATTTTGGGTCTTTTTAAAATTGTGTGTTTTACTCTTGCTTTTTTAATCATCCTGTATGGGAACCAGGCCCAGGTGCCTCTGACTTTATAAGCTTATTTTAGTCACCTTACATCACTAAAGAAAACTTTCCACATTTTCTTAACCTTTGGCATAAAAGAATTTGGCTAGAGATCCTCAGCTATTCGGCTCCTTAGTCAACTGTTTTTTTTTTTATTTTTAATGTAGTACTCAGAGTATCTGGTTCTACTGATCTATTGCCTGGGAGGTTTTGATTGCTGTGAGAAGTGATTTGTTTTATTAGCCTTTCCACATAGCTTCAATTCCTGGGCCCCAGCATCATCTTTATTGCCCCATGCCTCCTTTTCCCAAGGCATTTAGACCTTTCTCTAGATAGGAGGACTAATACTGAAATAATAGAAACTCAAGACAAGAGTTTTTCAGCTTCTCCGACATACTCTCTCCTTGGCTTCTGATGTCCTCTGAAATCTGATCCCACACAGCTTACCTCAGTTTATTCCTTGCTAGTTCTCTGTTACCTGCTGCCTCTGCTCCGACCTGCCTATCACCCCCCATGTCATGCTCATTCTTTCTGCCCATCTAAATGCTCTACCTGATTGTGCCCTATCCTAGGAGACTTCTTTGATCAAATAGGCCTCCTGAGACACCCCGCACCCCCATCAGAACCTGTTTTTTTTGCAGTTTGGCACCTGTCCTCTGCTTGTTTCCTCTGTGTTAGTTTGATCTCCTTAGCTCCACTCTAAGCTCCTGGAGGGCAGGCCCCATGTCTGTGCATCTCTGAGTCTCCACCTTGCTTTGTCACTTGCCGTCCTAGACCATGCCTGTTACTGGCCATGTCTGCAGCACATTCCACCTGGGCTTTTCCTCTCTGAGTTTCATGCAGCTGCAGAAGTGCATGGTCTTTTCATAGTGTGCTTTGAAACTGAGATGGTGAATTAGTGCACTTTGAGTCTTCCCTCGTTTCTACACCCCATATTAGTGGTCCTTAAGTGGGAATAGACATTCCTTCCCTTACTGCTTTATAGGATAATGTTGTGGAGATTTGGTGGCATGAATCAGGCTCAGGAAGTCAGGGGTGGCACATTGGCAGCCAGGTGGCAAATTGGCAGCTCCTAGGGCCAGGTAAAGCTCAATATTTTTAGTTGACTAAAGGGTAGTATTTTCTTTGGTTTTGTTTGTTTGCTCTTTAAGTTTTGAATTTGAGTGCCTTTAGCCTGGAATGCATCCTCTAACCCCAATAGAGAGAGCCATCATTTCCTGTTCATTTCTATCACACAGTCCCTGGAAACATTTGAGTTTGAGACCCCTGGAATAAATATTGTTGAAGAAACCAAAGAAGATTAATATTGGCTGTGAATACACTTTAAAAAATATAAAGCAATTTATCAGAATAAATTGTCACTATTAGTTCAGTTGTTTATTGAAATAGTGGCTTGTTGAAAGTAGATAGCATGTAACTAAAAAAGCTGGACGACATTAAGATGAAAAAGGGCTCATTTACAAAAACATGGTGTTTTGAAATTATGTGGTGTTTTGAGATAACTTGAATTTATAAGAAGAAAAAGGAAAGGATTTGGAAATTATATAGCCTCATGAGGTAGTAGTAGACGAAAAGGATACTTCAGAAATCAATATAAGTACATCTATAGACTAACTGTGTGCTAGGCATTATTCTAAGCACTTAAATTACCTATTTTAAGAAAGCAAAAACTAGAAGAAAGGGTATTGGGGAAAGATGCATCTAAATTATATTTTGATTTCTCTGTTTTAGCATTTGACATGCATTTTCTACTATGGAAGCATTCCCTCCCTTGTTTGTTTATTTGTTTGTTGCCAACTCTTAGGTATATTCTCTAACCCTAATTGGAGTAGGGAGGGAGGTTTGGGATTAGCATGGAAATGTCAGATGAAGGGAAAAGGTGTTATCTTCAGCTGTGTTATGTTGCCAGGGAAGTGAATCTGTTATTAAAGTTGTTACATTTTATTTAGGAAGAAATGTAGAGAAAGTATTCCCACATAATCTAACAAGTTGTGCTCTTTGTAAAATAAAAATGTACTGGTTAATTTTAACAGTAATACCCCAATTTTTACTTAGAAGCAGCAAAATACACACATACGGCCAGCATGTTGAAAATAGCAACAAAACCTCAAGCTTTTTCTCTCCCAAGGCCAGTTCCTTGTTAGGCTGCTGACACCCAACCTCCAGGCCTCCCCAGGATGCTGGTATTAAACATCTCATTAGTACTTACTTACTGTATGCTCTGGGCACTCGGTGCATTTAAGGGTGTTTAGATTCTTCTGTCCAAACCTGACTTTCTTCGGCCTTTGGATTCTAAGAGTCATAGAGATGCATATGTCTTCTGCCTCTTTGTCAAGTAGTTCTGAATAACTTTAAAAGTAGATAAGCACGTAAGAAGGGGTTTATGTTCATTCTATAACTTAAAAGAACTCATTGTGGAAGTTTTTTTAAATACTCAAGTGATTAGTGTGGCCAGGCATGGTGGCTCATGCCTCTCTAATCCCAGCACTTTGGGAGGCTGAGGTGGGTGGATCACCTGAGGCCAGGAGTTTGAGACCAGTCTGGCTAACAAGGCAAAACCCTGTCTGTACAAAAAATACAAAAATTAGCCACGCGTGGTGGCACACACGTGTAGTCCCAGTCACTCGGGAGGCTGAGGCACGAAAATCCCTTGAACCCAAGAGGCAGAGGTTGCAGTGAGCTGAGATTGTGCTACTGCACTCCAGCCTGGGCAACAGAGTGAGATTCTGTCTCCAAAAAAATTTAAAAATAAAAAAAGATTGAGTGAAGAAAAAAAATTTGCAGATTCCATCAGTCAAAGCCATTTTCATATATCTCCTTTGAATTTCCATTTCTGTGTATAAGGGTTTTAAAAAATAGTTATCATATTAAGTAGACAGTTGTTTAATTTTCACATTACGCGAGCATTTCCATTTCATTACCTGATTTTCATAACCATCACTCTCTGATGACTATGTAACATTACTCTCAGTGCATGTTTCTCTTACTACCCCCTATTGTTGGATGTCTAAATTGCGTCTGATTTTTCTCTGTTCCATAAAATTGAAATAAATATCTTTGTGGTGAAAGTTTTTGCAGTATTTAAAATTAGTTTCCTGGTTTGTGAAAAAGTGTAACTGTGTATAAACAATTTGCCTAATTCTCTTAAAGGTTTGATTGTTTATGATACAAGAAAACTGGTTCTGCAAAGATGTGAAATAAAAGAGCTTCAAATATTTTTTAAAAGTATCTTTATGATTTTATTAAAAGTAAGCATTGTGGAATTGTGGGTGTTAAGTTTTGTTTGTTTGTTTTTTAATAGGCTTATTATGCCCGTGATGCTCTGGCTAAAAACCTCTACAGCAGGTTGTTTTCATGGTTGGTAAATCGAATCAATGAAAGCATTAAGGTACTGAATTTCTATGAGCAAAATCAGTTGTAATAAATGGTATTCACAGTATAAACATTAAGTTGAAGAAAGTTTAAATTTATAATCAAATAATTGATTGCCACTTACAAAGATTATTCCTTAAAAAGAGTGTACCATGTATAAGATTGAAATTTGTCAGGGATTTTGTTTATTTTGTTTTGCCATGTGTGTTGCTTCTGACTGGTGAATAGTCTGATGGTCTTTGTGGAGTTACTCTGGGAGTCGGCGTCCCAGGTTTTGGCCTGGCTCACCTGGTAACTAGTGGTACACACTTTGCTGAAAAGGTCACTTTACTTCACTAGGTCATGATCTAATCATTACTAAAATGAGAGTGTTGGACTAGGTGATTTTGAAAGGCACCACTAATGCCTTCTTTAAATATATCACCTATTATTAAAATTTCTAAAAGAGTTCTATACCAATGCCTCATCTCATACATTTTTTAAAAAACAACTAAATTAGTTATTTTCTTACTTAAGAAACATAATTAATTTGTAATATATATCTATGTTCCTTGGATGCTTGTAGTGTTATATTTCATGCCTTAATTAACCCTTTAATTTGAAACTTTTTAAAGGCACAAACAAAAGTGAGAAAGAAGGTCATGGGTGTTCTGGACATTTATGGCTTTGAGATTTTCGAGGTAAGATTTAAAATTTTTTTTGTATTGTCTTTAGTAGAGTGGAATGGTTGGAAATTAAATCCTGTATTATGTAGACATTATAAGTAACTGTAACTTTGAATCTACAAATAATCCTTGTGTAGATGTAACACACTATCACTTTGAATCTGCCAACAAATCTTTGTGTAGATGTAACAAAATTTGGTTGTGTATTCCTGCATGTGTGCCTGAGTGTGTGTGTGTGTGTGTGTGTGTGGTGTGCGTATGCTGAGAGCCAGCATTTTGGAGACAGTACTGCTTAAAAAGAACTCGTATTAGTACCTGACTTTTGAAATTGCGTATTTAAATTTCTAACCGTGAGGCTTCCAACAAGCTACAATGAGTATGTCTGTGGCCATTTGTGTGTTGTTAGAAAGTGTGGCAGGTTGGTGCCATAAAGAAAGCCACAGGAGGGCTGGACATAGGTTCTGGCCTTGCCAGGGCTGGTCATTTCATCTGTGAGACTCAGAGAAAGAGGATTTGGATTAGGTGATGTGTTGAGTCTCATTACTGTGATCTTATGATAATGAATTCTGCTGCAGAGGTTGAAATAATTTCTGCTGAAGCTCATGGTGAATTTTTTAAAATGATTCTATGCTTGTTACAGATTAAATATTTAAACCATTTGTGCTTGGTTAAGCAACACATATACCTAAAATTAGAATGATATAGAGAAGATGAGCATGGCCCCTGAAAAAAGTGATTTGGAAAATAAACATTATCTACTTATGTTAGAATTTCCTTTTTGCCCCCTTGCTAACTTTGACATTTAGAAGGAGTTTTAAGGATCTATTAAAACATTTATTCTCACTTTTAGGAGTGGTATTTTAGTTTGGTTCACGGAAATAAGAAGTAGATCGGGCTCCTCCTTTCTTAATTCTCCTCCACAAGTAAGATTTGTGAATTTCTTTAAGGAACCAGGCTCTGCCCAGAATGTTCCCAAAGAATTTACATGTTCTAAAAAATTAGGGTCACAGAATCTCAGAAAAAAAACATCAGATCATTCCTTTCACCTAAACCAGACCTTGCTAGCACATGCCTTTTTCTTAGTATGTTTTCCCTCAATCATATTCTATATTTAATAGCTAATGGTAAGTACTAATTGAGGGCCGACTGTATGTAAGCACTGTGGTAAGTGGTGTGTGTATGGTCTGATTTACTTTTCAAAACAGCCTCATGAAGTAGCTGTTATTATTATGAATTCCATTTTACAGATGAGAAAGTAAAGCTCCTCAGGTCAACTAACTCCCCAGGGTTATACAGCTACTTAGCGGCAGACTCAGGACCTAAACTCCAGGCCCTTTTAATATTTTCATTTATTGCTTTTCTTTCTTACTAAGATTGAGACCAGGGGCACTTCCTCACCTTTCTTCCCAAAGTAACAGGTTCCCCAGTATCTGGAAGTAAGAAAAAAATAAATGTGGTAAGTCTCTGACTCCCCTGTTTCTCCACCCTTGTCATTACTCCAAGCTCCTGGCCAGCATTGGGTGCTTCGTAGATGGAAGTGTGTGTGCTGGTGGCTTCCCCATGGGGTCCCCAGAACAGAGGTCTTCAACACAGCATCTGCTTGTATTGCTGCCCATTTAGCAGAATCTACAAAGGAAAGCTACCAATTTCTTGGTAGAAAGGGAAGAATTTGAGGTTTCTGAGTTAGGAGAAATGCTTGAGTACACACAGAAATCACTGCCGAAATTAATTTCTTTCTAGCAAGACCTCAAGTTACTATCACTAAATGGGCAGAATGCCAAAGTCATTCTTTACAGTTGGCAGGGAAAAAGACTTACTACCTAGCACATTGCTGTGCTAATCTAGATTTAAATGGTTTCATGAGCAGGGGAGATGGGTAAGCAGAGATTTCACTAGAAAGTTAGATTAAGAAGATACATTCAATGACATTTCCAAAGTCAAAGAAACTGATTTTGTTTTAATTTTGCTAGAAAAGGATTATTGATCTTAAGCCAGTGGGCAATGGCTTAATATCATATCACAACACATGGAAAGTTTAAAAAATAGGATAATGAGGTTATGATGGGATATCTAGTTAACTTTGACTTCCAGTAGGTCCTAAGATCTAATTAGCCATGGGAAAAGAAACACTTATAACACTCAAAGGAAACTGAGTTATAACTCATAAACAATTCGAGTCATTTCTCAAGTGTTTATTGAGTTACCAGATACCAGTAGTAAACATAACTGAGATATTCCTTGTCTGCATGGAGCTTAGAGTCTTAGCCCTAAGATTGAGAGTCTGTGGCTGCCAGAGGATGTATCCTATCAGGTAGGAAAGTCTAATCAGGAAACTATATTACGTTTTAAAAGTTTGTTTGCTACAGACCTAATCAGAACAGAAGTCAGATGTTCCTGTGTAAACATCCTTTAACTTGATGCTGGGTGAAATACCCTATACCCTTCAGCAATCCAAGAATATTTTTCACTTCTGGTTAATTCAAGTTTCTCTCCATACCTGTCTTGCTGAATGTGCCCTCCTTCTGCAAGTTATACCATCATTTTTCTCAACACTGTTTCAACTAGAGACTTCAGTTTATGAAAATGCCTGCGTTATATTTCCTTTTTTTTTTTTTTTTTTTTTTTTTTGTGACGGAGTCTCACTGTGTCTCCAGGCTGGAGTGCAGTGGTGCGATCTCGGCTCACTACAACCTCTGCCTCCAGGGTTCAAGTGATTTTCCTGCAGCACCACGCCCAGCTAATTTTTGTATTTTTAGTAGAGACAGGGTTTCACCATGTTGGCCAGGATGGTCTCGATCTTTTGACTTCATGATCCACCCACCTCAGCCTCCCAAAGTGCAGGGATTACAGGCATGAGCCACCGCGCCGGCCTGGCTGCCTGTGTTACATTTCTAAATATTCTTCCTTTCTTCAGAGGATTACTCTATTTCAGTGGTTCTCAAATGGCTGTGCATTGGCATCACCTGGGGAGCTTTTGCAAATTCAGATGTCTAGGCTGTACCCAGAGCAATTATGTCAGAATCTCTGGAGATGGGGCTGCAGCAGCAACCTTTTTAAAGCTCTGAGGTGATTCCAGTGTGCACTCAAGGTTGAGACCAAATGCTCTGTTAGACAGTAGTCTCTGGAGTAAACTGCAGATTCCAAACATGTGGTGTTCATGCTGCTTGGCCACTGTATGAAACACCCTTGTAAAACATTGGGCCTCACCTACTGTTCATCTGGGCATGGTGGCTCACACTTGTTATCCCAGCACTTTGGGAGGCCAACGTGCGTGGATCACGAGGTCAGGAGATCGAGATCATCCTGGCAAACATGGTGAAACCCTGTCTCTACTAAAAAATACAAAAATTAGCTGGGCGTGGTAGCTTGCGCCTGTAGTCCCAGCTACTTGGGAGGCTGAGGCAGGAAAATCGCTTGAACCTGGGAGGCGGTTTTTACTCCGTTTAAACAGAACTTTCAGCCAAGGCCAAATCCAATCAGTTATATGTCTATAGCAAATCTTATAATGGCCATCAAATTATAAAAATTTAACTTTCCTTCTACATGCAGTAAATAATTTTTCTTTTTTTCCCCCCAGTTCCTTGAGAGAATCAAGATTTGTTTTTTCATTATATTTAATTGTTACCTCCATTTTCCTTTTTAAGCCTTCTCAGATTAATCTTCAGTTTTGATTTTTAATAACTTTTTTAAATAAATTTATTTGTGGGGAGGTTAGATTAGCGATTTGGTTGGGGATTTTTAGGTACTTTTACCTGCTTTTTAATACAGAGTTACAGACGTGTTTTTCTTCTTTTAATAAATTATTCACATACATTCCCAGATGCCAGCCTATATTTTCCTGGATTCTCAGCAATGTTAGAACACATGGAGACATCAGGAAGCTCAGAGTGTTAGGAAACCAAGAAAATTAAGAACTTTAAAGTACTGCAAGTTGAAGTACAAGGGGTCAGAGTATGGAAGAAGTATTCAGATCCACATCAAGGCAAAAATGAAAATTTCTGTGATATTTTCCACCCAAGTGAAAAGAAACTGCTGGAGTATAGATAACATGTATTTTTTTATTTGTTCTGTTGTTCTTCAATTGACTGTAGGAATTAAGAGTTCTGCCTTTTAGAATACCCTGGGCATCTCTTTAAAAACTGGACACTAAAGGGCGAGACTTTTTTAAAAAAATGCGTCTAGTTGTCCCATGGCCCTGCAGTTCCCATGAAAATGCCTTTTTTAGCTGAGCTGGTGGAAACCTTTCATTCCCTGTGGTCTGTCTCTGAACGGAAGAGGGAAACTGATGCATTAAACCATGGGTTGATGACACATGGATTTGACTGCAAAACATCCCAGTACCAGCTGGAAGTGCTGCCTGGCTGGCCACATGTGATCCGATGTCAGTTTGGAAAATAGATCAGTAGAACATTGATACCAAAAATAAGGTGAAGTGAATTAAAATGCATAGAGGAAAAAAAATCTAGCTGTACATCCTGGTAGAACAGAAGACCAACTTCCCAAAGGAAGAAAATTGTAATGCAAATACTCTGATTCCACACATTTATGTTTGGACATTCTTATAACTGAAAAGATGGTCTGTGATTTCTGAGAAATATTTATAGCATATCCATAAAAGAACTGCTATTCTTTTTTTGAAAAAAGATATTAAGTTAAAAAGTAAGTTGAACAATCTACATTGATTTCAGCTCGTTTTCTACATACTTATCTGACAGGCATTAAAACTGGCAGATATTTTACTGGGAAAATCTGATTGGTCATTAGTGTTCTGTAGACCAAAGCAGGCAGTAGTAGCTGATTATTTCACCTTTCATACAGTGGAGCTAGTTTAACACAGGCAAAGTGCTAATTACTTTCAGTTATGGACTCCTTATTTATCTTGCCCTCATAAACCTCACTGAAAGTGACCCATATATGGTAAGAGTATGATAGGCTGGATGCAATGATTATTTCAAATAAAAAAATCTAATACTTGGGCAAGAGTCATTGTAGTCTGGTAGGTACACCTCATGATCATAGGATTTGTTTTCTAAATTGTTTTTAAAAGAAATTCTGGCTATAGTCAGCACCTTCTACTCTAGTTTCTTGCCTTCATTTGGTCCTTCTTATGCTAGAAAGCTTATAATTGAAGAGGAAGGAAACAATTTAAAGTAGATTTAAAAACAAAAGATGACAACTGCTATGATTTGTAAAAGATAGATAGATAGATAGATAGATAGATAGATAGATAGATAGATGGATCCAACTGTGTGAATAGCCAGCAATTCCTGAATCCCAGAGCCGGGCACTCCTCCCCATGTGTCAGTCTCATGAATCAAAGTCTTATAGTGTATATTTTATGGATATGCTGTAAATATTTCTCAGAAATCACAGACCATCTTTTCAGTTATAAGAATGTCCAAACTTGGCACGGTGGCTCACTCCTATAATCCCAGCACTTTGGGAGGCCAAGGCGGGCAGATCACAAGGTCAGGAGTTCAAGACCAGCCTGACCAACATGGTGAAACCCCGTCTCTACTAAAAATACAAAAATTATCCAGGCATAGTGGCATGCTCCTGTAGTCCCAGCTACTTGGGAGGCTGAGGCAGGAGAATCACTTGAACCCGGGAGACGGAGGTTGCAGTGAGCCGAGATTACACCACTGCACTCCAGCCTGGGCAACAGAGCGAGACTCCGTATCAAAAAAAAAAAAAAAATTCAAACTTAAATGTGTGGAATAATTGGAATATTTGGATTATAATTTTCTTCCTTTGTGAAGTTGGGCTTCTGTTCTGTGTAATAATATGTGTGTATTTCTTCCAGGTATAAAAAGTTTTTAGATGAAAGCCTATTTTAAAATGTTTAAGAAGAGCACGATAACATTGTTTTTCTTAAAATTTGCTGTATTTTAGTATATACCTGGAAGAAAAAATGTTAAGGGAAATTTTCTAAACCTTTAGCTAGTCATTCAATTTTGTAAATGTCTAAAAAGGAGACTATTTCATATTAAATGGTTTTCTCATATATTTTGAGGATTTTTTAAGTTTACATTCTAAAAAAAGCAATTCTTGTTTTGGAGCCTGTTTCTTGATGCTGTGATATTTAAAAATGGACCGTGGTTAAGTGCATTATATTTTTCTATAGGAACAGCATTATAATCAGAAGCTGTCAAAGGCTTTAACACCAAATAAATCTTTGCAAGGACCAACAGCATATTTTACAGCAATAATATAGCCCAACTTCCCTAAAATAGTGATATACACTCAAAATCCTGTAACTTTTATATAAATGCATTGACTCATTTATTATGCAGGAGACTTTACTGTATGTAAAAATGTAGAAACCCCCAAGCCAGCATGTTATATTCAAAATTTGACCTCAAATCAAAGTGCTGAACTATAAGAAACACTAATATGTAATTAACATAAGCCATGGTCTTTGTGTTTGGACTGCTCGCTGTTTCAAATACATTATATTCACCTACAGACTCCTTCCCATTTCTCTGTCCCAAATACAGAGGGACAGAGCTGCCACTTCTATTTACTGTCTTCCTTTCAATATTTATTGTTTTTAAAGAGCCTAAGAGTTTTTAAAATACCTGTCTTCCTTAAAGAGTATAAAATATCATCAGTCTCCTTTGTTGCTAAGGAGAATATACAAAGGGGCCAGTATTTTTGATACATCTTAATTTATATTGGAGAGTTTATGATTGATACTTGTGAGTATAAAGTAGTTATGAATCGACTGGGAATAAGATTTTCTGGGCTTTGTTTTTTTGTTGTTGTTTGTTTGTTTTGATGTTGAAAGGATGGACTCAAAGTCTAGAATTCTTAAAAGAAGCCCTAGCGTTTAAAATTTGATTATATTATATACTTCTAAACATAGTAAGTGCTCCCTATCCCAATCTATAGTTGGTAACTATAGTGTGAAATAGCAGAGAACAGACACCTTGCTGTTTGCCTTTGTTCTCTAAAGCAGCCTCAGCTTCATTTAGGGAGGTTATGTAATAGAAAGCCCAGAAGGTACTTGTTTGAAGATGTTTCTAAGTTTTAGTTTTATTCCTTAGTCTTCAGGGATAAATGTGGGTAAGACAGTAGAGAAAAATTGCATACTTGGAGCATGGGTGGAAAACTGGAGAGAGGAGATGAGTCATTCCTGGGGCAAGTTCCTGCCCACTTCCTCTTCTGGAGACTTTGATTCATGAGCCTGACACGTGGGAGAGGGCCTGGCTCAGGGATTGCTGGCTATTCACACAGTTCTTGACAAACCAAAAAAGTCTCCACATATAAAGTTGCTTTGGGGCCTTCCTATTCATCTGGTGGTTTCTAGTCTCAGTTTAGCTATTTTATGAAGGAGAGGGGGCCCAAGTTGAAAACCAGGTATTAATTTAATATTTGTATTAATGGAAAAATGTGTTAGACCTATACAAGTTAGAGTTCTGTGAACTGCTGCCAGGCTATTCCTTAATTTTCTGCAGATTATTGATTATTCCTTAAATTTTTGAAAGTTTTTAATCATATGTGCAGTCCCATTTTCCTCCAAATTTGAACAATGCCATCAACTTCAGCTTAGATCACAAGAGAGGTGTGTGTCTTTAGCCTTCACTTTGAGCAGTAAGGATCATCTAGGTGACCCATGACATGTTTTGGAGACTTTGGAGGTGAGTTTGCAATAGATGCTGATTTCTGTGGGGAAGTAAGTTAATTTCTACATCGGTGATTGTGCTATTCTATTTTTGTTTTGGTTTTTTTTTGGCGGGGAGGGGGCGGTGTTTTTTTAGCAGTAGAGTAAGTTCAGACAGTCAAGTTTTTGTTATTAGGGCATCTCCAGGAGAATACTCTCTCCTTATTGGTTTTTGAAAAGGAGCCTTAGCACGGTACTACACAGGGATGTGTCCCTGGGGTGGGAAAGGGGAGTTACTTTTGGATTATGATGGATCTCTTCACTTTTTGGTGATCTGCCAACCACCACTGCCCTGACTGTTTGGGTGGATGTGGACCTTGGATACATGTCATGCATGTTTTCTTTTTTTCTTTTTTCTTTTTCTTTGAGCAACATGGCTGTTTATTTCACCTGGGTACAGGCAGGCTGAGTCTGAAAAGAGAGTCAGCAAAGGGTGGTGGGATTATCATTAGTTCTTATAGGTTTTGGGATAGGTGGTGGAGTTAAGAGCAATGTTTTGGGGGCAGGGGGCAGATCTCACAAAGAACCTTCTTAAGGGTGGGGGAGATAACAAAGTACATTGATCAGTTAGGTTGGGGCAGAAATAAATCACAATGGTGGAATGTCATCAGTTAAGGCTATTTTCACTTTTTTTGTGGATCTTCAGTTGCTTCAGGCCATCTGGATATATACGTGCTGGTCACTGGGGATACGATGGCTTAGCTTGGGCTCAGAGGCTTGACATTCCTGTCTTCTTATATTGATAAGAAAAATAAAATAGTGGTAAAGCGTTGGGACGGCGAAAATTTTGGGGGGTGGTATGGAGAGAGAATGAGCAATGTTTTTCAGGGCTGCTTCAAGCGGGATTGGGGCAGTGTGGGAACCTACAGTGGGAGAGATTCAACTGAAGAAAGATTTTGGGATAAGGGGTGATATTGTGGGGTTGTTAGAAGGAGCATTTGTCATATAGAATTACTGGTGATAGCCTGGATGGCATGTTTTCTTTTTCCTGATAATTTATAATTAGAAGCATTGGATTTTGAAGCTTTAAAGCTTCAGGCAAGTTATATGATGTATCATTATTTCAGTCAAACTGTTTTTATCCTGAAGAACCCTCCCCTAGCAAACCACAGTTCAGACACCACAGGAAGGTATTGTGGTCCTGTCTTTTGAATTGACTGGATATGGGTCTTGATCCAAAGTTTTACACTGATCAAAAATACAGCCTGAATGGTAAAAGCCATCATTTGTAACCATGAATAACTATCAATACATGCTCACTTTTAGAAGTTTATTGCTAATTAAGAACTGACTGCATTTTGTGTAATTTGTCCCTTTTTGCACCAGAATGCAGTAAGTATGACCTGTTTGCAGTGCTGGTCTGTTGCATGCTCTTGTGTTAATAGCTTCTCTAGCTGTGTGAGTTTTGCAGTAAGTGGTTGTTGAATAACCATGTGGATATAAAATACAGAATCCATACAGGAATTTTTAAAGGTTATGGGCAAATTTAATTTAGTTGTAACTTAATCCTTAAATTGTTTTGTAATTGTGAAGCTTTGCCTCTGGTTTCTAATCTGCTTGTGTGTATTTCATGGTCCTGTTTTAGAAGTGTACTTTGAGCTGTTCATAGCTACACAATGTGTCTGAGGACACTAGTGCTTTCCTTTCCTTCTCATTATTTGCTGTTTGATGATTTAGCATAATAGGGTTGAAATAGCTCCATGGGCACAGACTTGCCAGATAACACATTTGTTCCATGAGACTGTTGTCTAAAAAAAAAGTCAAAGATCTGCTCTTATAAGTTATTAATGTTTTACTTTTACTTATAGGTTTTATTTATAGTTGCATCATATAGGGACATACTTTAGCAAAGCAATTGAGACTTTCTGATATATGGAATGCCTTTATGCTGAGTATAATAATAATAAGGCATCTATACTAGACCAACTTCAGTTTCTAATTGAAATTGTTAGCTCTGCGAATTTGAGCACAGGGTTTTAAAAAATTTGTGTGAAAATGAGGACTGAGGAGTGCCCTTTGTATCTGACTATATTTGTCAAAATTATTGAAAATAAATGTTTGCCTTTTAGTAAGACTCTTCAAGACATAAAACAAACAAACTTTTATCCTTAACTAAGTTTAGCATTAACAAGATAAGTCACTGACAATATATTCACATGTGTTATTTATGAGTTTGAGTTTAAAATTTCCTCTGATCACTGCATCACTGGTGATTAGAAATTCCTAGCTGACTTCCAGGAAAGAATGTAGTTAGATGCTGCAGCATAAGTATCATTTTTAAGTTTTCCTAAGTAAGACCAAAGTTGATTTTTAAAGATCAACTTTCAGAAGACTCTGTGACTTTTTCACTTCTATCATGTATGGAGGGATTTGAAGGCCAGTGGCTCTGCCTGTTCACAAGGAGCAGTGAGCTTTGGCTGCACCATTACATGTGGGCTCTCCTTCCTCATTAGACCAGGACTGGCCACCATTGTGGGAGAAGAGTCCAGTTTACCAGTGGTGGAGTCATACTATCCCTCGCTCCCACTGCCACCATCTTTGGGCGATAAAGAAAAATAGAGGTGAAAACAAGTTTTAGTGTCAGATCTACTTCTTCCTGGACGATGTGGTTCTTGATAAATTTATTCATTTGGTGCTCTCAGGATGTACAGCAATACATTAAGCCCTGCAGATTGTTCAGAAATGATTTAGGCATAAAGCTTCTGTCAACAAATTCATAAGAGATTAATATGAAGGAGAGGCTGCTGAGACTTCTAAGAGTGATCAAGGGTATGGGCCTTCTACAGAGAGAGAGATTGTTTCTTGTCAGGGAGATGCTTTAATCTTTGGGTCTCCATTTGGTAGGAACTTCATTTGTTCATACAGTCAGCCAATACATATTGAGAACTTGCTAGGTGTGAGGTGCTGTGTAAGGGGTAGGAATACAGTGAACAAGAGAGCATGGTCAGCCCTCACCCATAAGAATGTACAGTCTAGTGAGGCAGATGTATATGAAACTAATCTGTACATGTGTATACTTACACATACACACATGTTCGTATAACATGATTTACAAAAAGGGTTAGGATGCAAGAGTCAGAGTGAGGGATCTGTCCCTGGATGGGGACAATAAGGGGTCAGTTCAGGGGGACTTCCTTGAGCTCTGAAGTTTCACCTGAGAATGGGAGATTCAGAACTTGGTGACAGAGATTGTGGAGCTCACTGTGTCTTTGCTGATCCTTCAGCAAAGGAAGTGAGATTGTTTCTAGCTTTTCTGTTTGGGGTGCTTCTCTGTCAACTAAAAGTCTTCATCCTTCAAATATTGCATCATTTGTGTATACTTCATTCATTCACTTACTCATGACCCACTCCTCGAGTGCCTGCAATGGGCAAGCGTCTGTCCTAGGAGCCGTGTGCTGGGCCACAGTTAAATCTGAGAGATCATGTGTGGCATTTCTCATGGATTGAGATGTCTGAGTGTCATTGTTTTGAGAGAGCTAGTGGCATGGTTTATAAAGCTGTTTTTCATTTTCTCCATACAGGACAACAGCTTTGAGCAGTTCATTATTAATTATTGTAACGAAAAGCTGCAACAAATCTTCATTGAACTTACTCTTAAAGAAGAGCAGGAGGAGTATATACGGGAGGTAATGTTGAAATGCTATTTTTAAAAGTGTTGGTCCTTTTTTACTCGTAATATAAATTCTAATTCAGAAGATAGCCTAAACAAGAAGCCATATTCAAAAGGCTACATACTGTATGATTCCATCTGTCATTCTAGAAGAGGCAAAGCTATAGAGACTGATTACCTATAAGAAGCTATAGAGTCAGGGATTGCCAGGAGATAGGAGTTGTGAGAGGGTTGTGGCTGCAAAGAGAATTTTGGGGACTGATAATGGTGGTGGTTGCTTGACATTATACATTTGCCAAAACTTAGAGAACTGTATACCAAAAAAGTCAGCATCACTGTAAGTAGATTTGAAAATATTTTGAGACTTTGTTCAATATCAAAAAGTATTGAGTATTCAAATTTATAGTAAAAATAGGTAACAGTTACTGAGTCCTTACTACATAGCAGGTATTATATTAAGTGCTATGTATAGATTATCTCATTTAATATAATCTTAAAATAACCAGAAGTAGTGTTTGCAGAGTCTTTTCATCATTAATTTAAAAATATATATTTGCTTTTCACCCTTTTATTTTTTAAAATAGCCAGTCTTTTTTCAAGTGTAAAATTAGTTATTTCAAAAAATAAAAAGGAATTGTTATGTTTATATTTTTATTTCCTTTTTTGTTTATTTGCCTTAATATTTTAGTAATGATATTACCTGTTTTCCTTTATTTTCTTAGTATCATTTTAAGCCATTAAGGACACTGAATTCTCTTTTATCTTTCTTTCCATATAGATTTTTCTAATGTGATTGTTATCCCCAGTGGCTTAGTAAAACAACCCATTTACTCAAAAGCTAAATCATAAATATTTCATCTTTATTTTAGAGTACTCATTATGCTTCAGAAATGTTTTATACTTGTCTGGCACCTTTTAGTAACATAAATATTCTAAAAGCACGATTCATTCTTTTCCTGTCTTCTCATCATGAAGAGAATGCCCAAACTTTGATGGGTAACTTAAAACAGTTTATACAGATTGTTTAAAACACTTCTAAGAATATATAGGAAGATTGCTAGCTTGCTGTAATGAATAGAAGACAAATAAATGTTTACATTTATGGACAGAATGTTAAGTAGACACAGAAAGATTACATTTGGCTTTATGGATTTGGCTTTGTAGCCAGTGTTAGAACCAGTGGATAGATTTTCATGTCTTTCCTTATGTTGAAAATACTTTGTGGTAGCGCTGGCCTGTTTTTTTTAACACTTGAAAGAGTTAACTTCCCTACAACACAAGATTGACTCTAAAATTAATTTTTTTCCTTATGATTACAGATTCAGAACAGAAGAATCTAGGCTTTAAATTCTTGGGATCAAGTTCTAACTTATTTCCTTATAAACATTGTAAACATACACAACGTAATATTGACCCAAGGGCCTGTTGAGTAAATATTTGGCCCAGGGCCAGTGAAGTGCATGGGAAATTGCTGCAGATGGGAGAGTGGAATGGAAGGCAGTCTCAGAACAGGTCAAGGGTGTTTGCTTCAATCAGATTATGTCAGTGGTAGGCAGCTGCATTGAGAAAGTTTTGGGAACTGCCTGTGACATTTGCAGTACCCATTCTATAAAGAAAATAAATTCAGAGAGGAAGGGAAATATGATAAGATGGTCAAAGTCTGTTTTATGGATGGTAGTGTCGTGGCTTCATCTTGTGTCATTGGATTTTGTTCTGTTTTGTCTTTTAGGATATAGAATGGACTCACATTGACTACTTCAATAATGCTATCATTTGTGACCTAATAGAAAATGTGAGTACTTAGGTACAGTTTTCTAAAGAATGTTTTAGTCCTATAATTCACCCTTATAAATGTTCTCAGTGCCTCAATGTTAAGCATTAGTATTTTCACTGTTTTTTATATATATATATATATATATATATACACACACACATATATATGTGTATATATATATATATACACGTACACACACACACACACACACACACACACACACATATATATATATGTTAAGGAACTGCAGAGTTCTAGAGATTTTATTGTAGCCCTAAGAGATCATACACAGTTCTTGAACACATACATAGACAGCTGGATGTTTTGATACTTAGCCAGGATCCCCAGTGGCCATATCACAACACCCTTTTATGACCTTCAGACACCAGGCCTTAAAGGTACCAGCCTTTCTTGTATGGTTGGAGCCCAGGTCTATTCCATGACTCCTGGGCATGTGAGTACTGATCAGAGTAGGCTCTGAGCAGCCATCCAGTTTTTTGCCAAATCAAAATATCCATTTCATTCCCAAAACTCTAATGACCTCTTAACATACTATTCACCGGGTATTATATTAAGTTTAAGTGACATAAAGGGACAACCTCTGGAGCTGAATTAAGTGGGACCCCAGAAGTGGCTTAAGTGCAGCTGTAGCATTGATTCAGATCATACATGCAGAGGGCATTGCATGTGTGACTGCAGGTGGCCAGGGACCTGGAATTTTTCGGATGACCCAAGTATGTGCATATGCAAAAAGGCTTAAAGTGTGAAAAATTATTGGATAATTTCGAGTAAGCTTTCTGAGTCCAAGATTTTTGTTTTTAGATCATATTCCGTAGTTTATTGTAAATGAATTAAATGTAGGAAGACTGATTTTGTGTGTGGAAAACAGGAAACTAATTTATGCTTAGGATTACTAATACCTGACTTTGAATAAGTAATTTGAAACAGTGTATAAGCCTTATTATCCTGCAGTCTTTTTAGCAAGACCAGTTTAGTGAGATGAGTGCTGTGTTTCAGGAATACAGTCACATGCTCTGAATGAATATTAAATCATTTTCTACTCATCTTTTACAAAGCTTTTTGGGAAATATGTAATTAGCCAGTATTTTTTTTCCTCAGTATTCAAGATATTCCTAAAAGTTGTTTCTCTGATTAAATTAAACAATATTCTAAGGCATCACTATTTTTCAATAAGAAATAAACTGTGTTTCAAAAAATCTGAACAATATTGAATGGGAACACTAATATTCCACATAAGCAATTCAGATCTCTGATTTTGGCTCTGAAAAGTGAATTTCCTGAAAATTTTCCTGGTACATTTTGTGAAGGAGGTAATTTGCTATGGGAATCTTAATTTTCAGAATTTCTGATTAGTATGTTTTCTTTGATAAATATAACCTTGCATTTAATTATTCTCTTTTAAGAAGAGGAGAAAAAGAACAGTGGTAATACACTTAATTTAACTAGATTATCTCAGCCAAAAATCCCCTTGCTATATGATTGAAGAAGCTCATGTTCACATAGGAACCTGGGTATATAAAGGAAATGTTTCCTTCCAGCATCATTAAACAATAATGTTTGTTCTGGGGATGTTATGAACACACTTGATTCCTGAGAGTCCACGCTTCCCCAGGGTTTTGTGTGGAATGAATAAATGCTGGTCAGAGGATGTCGTGGCCTTGTTAGCAGAAGGGGAGAGGAACAGAGGACTTTGCCTGGGTGGAAGTAGGTGGGGTTGATGGTCAGTGGAGTGGATTGTTTTTGGAATTAAGACTTATGACCCCATAGGGGCAGTCCATGGAGTAGCAGTCTTTATTTAGCAAAGTAGAAGCTTCCTGACTTCTGATTCAGTTTAGGGCTGACTACTCTTGGAATAAAAATGACCACAGGGTCTAGATATGCAACAAATAAATTTTCACTTATGTTTAACATCCATTTAGAAATTCCACATGAATTTCTAAAATCTAAATCTATATGAAACAGATATTCTTGAAATCAGTTTGATTGCAGTGATTGTTAAAAGCAGCATCTCAAATCACAGCATTTTTTTCTAGGAAATAAACTTTATTTTGAACACATGAACAATTTGGAAACATAGAAAACGAGTTTCCTTCTTAGGAGTGAATCAAATAATGGCCTTAGAAGACTGCTTTGTGATTTGAGACATGTTATAGAGGCTGTATTGTCACATTCATTTCTGCTTTTAGATTTCTTTTTGAATCTTTGAGGTCCAACTTGTCTTTTTGTAAGAGTATAAATTTCAGTCATCATCAGGCTAAGGTGTCTGAGGCAACTCCCAGGTACTGTTGTTCTGTGCGAGGAGAGAGGAACCAAGAAGACACACTCTTCCCAACCACACCACCATACACACACCTGGGATCCTTCAGGAAAGAGCTGATTCCTGTGGCTTTTGTTATTGTTTTGAGTCTCTGCTTTTTGTTATAACTGAACAGACTTTTCTTGTGACTAAGTTGATTGTGTTTGATGGTGTAATTAGGAATAATTATTAAAACAATATAGTGAGGAAGGAAGGAAACTTTTTTATTTCCGTTTTCCCAGAACACAAATGGAATCCTGGCCATGCTGGATGAAGAGTGCCTCAGACCTGGCACAGTCACTGATGAGACCTTCTTAGAAAAGCTGAACCAAGTATGTGCCACCCACCAGCATTTTGAGAGCAGGATGAGCAAGTGCTCTCGGTTCCTCAATGACACGTCTCTGCCTCACAGCTGCTTCAGGATCCAGCATTATGCTGGAAAGGTATGGGGGAGCTGTGAGCACCCAGTCAGGCCTGCCAAGTTACCCCTGCAAGGAGGCTGTACCTCAGAGATGGGCGTTCGAAACCCCATTAACTTGTGAGGACAAATTGAGCTGCTAAAGTGGTTGAATCGATAAATGTTCAATAGAAATAGAATCTGGACCATGTTGACTAAAATCTTATTAATACAGAAAATCAAAAGCAAAGCTAATGGACTTAATGAAGAGTCTAAATATATTTTTGAATCATCTTTATTATTTTCAAACTCTAAGCTATCCTATAAAAAATATCTATTAACACTATTGAAGGAGATTTGCCAGTACAAATTAAGAGTCAATAAAGACTTAAGGCTTTAAAAACACAAGCCATTTAGCAAAAATAATGAATTATTTGAGATTTTGAAATGACATTAGGGAAAATATTTACTTTTTTAAAACACTTATTTATTTGGTTAATATTTGGGGGAATTAATTTTATGTCTAATATATAAAGACAATGCTAAAAACAATCTTAATTGATTAATCTTTAGAATCCTGAAAGAATATTGATTAGAGCTAATACTTCCTTTTTCATAAAATTGCAAACTTCAAAGGGAAAAAAACTTCTTGATTATACATTTGTAAAAAGTATATAGTACCTGAATTACCTTTAATTTCAAAATGTTAGAACTTGGTACTTTATTTTTTTTATTAGCGTATATTATTAAAAGATAATTTCTGATCAGCTTTTCTGCTGCTCAGGATATTTATGAAAGTGTTAGTATTGTTTCTATTTTGCCCCATCTACTTTTAAACAGACTAGAATTGGTATGTGAGAACTAAAAAATAAAAGTAAAACCCCAGAATATGTTCAGACTCCTAAAAAATGCAAAATCCTTTGAAAATGTTATGATAACATTTTTGGAGTTTATTCTTGCAAATCCTGAATGGTAATAGAATTTATTTTGATCTTGTCTGTGATTTAGACAGATGGAATTTAAACTTGGAGGCGAACTCATTATGAGAGTGTGACTAACATGTCAGGGATTTTTTGATGGTGAAGGAAGTGGCTGCAATGTAGATAGTCTTGGAGTATTTTTAATAGTTGTTTGACATTATAGCATGCAATGTGCCTGTCATTGAGTTACATGTGCTGCTTATAGGTGCTGTACCAGGTGGAAGGATTCGTTGACAAAAACAATGACCTTCTCTATCGAGACCTGTCCCAAGCCATGTGGAAGGCCAGCCATGCCCTCATCAAGTCTTTGTTCCCCGAAGGGAATCCCGCCAAGATCAACCTGAAAAGGCCTCCTACAGCAGGCTCACAGTTCAAGGCATCCGTGGCCACTCTGATGAAAAACCTACAGACCAAGAACCCAAACTATATTAGGTATTTTTGGCACATGAAACTTTCACAGTTCAAATGTGAGAGCACCCCGAAGGAATATCATTTTTCCCTTTGCTTCAATCTGAGTGTAGCCCAAGCAGAGGGTAACTAAAATACTTACAGATTAAATAATACCTTATCTGGGATTGGCTTAAAAAATGCTCCACTATCCTTTCCCCTAAAATAAGAAAGTAAAAAAGTAAAGTGTGGTGGAGAAGATAGTAGATATTTAATGAAACTCAGTGGTTGAGACCTAGGGGTTTTCAACTTTCTGTATGTTTATTATTATTTTTTTAATGGCAAGTTAAAAAACAAAATGCAAGTGTTTTTTCTGGTCAGTGTTTTGCAGAAAACTCTTGTTGGCTTCATTTGGGATTCTTGTTCTATTAGCTTAGAGCACAGCATTGAAGCAAGTGCTTTAGTTAACTGCTCTGGCACTTCTTAGGAGACATGCACTTTTTTCTTCCCTGTGAGAGGTGTAGGCCTGGAGAAAGTAATGATTCCTAAAGCAATCTGAATTTTTTTCAAGGCAGTAGAAAGACCTTCTTAAAAAGGGCTGGGCGTGGTGGCTCACACCTATAATCCCAACACTTAGGGAGGCGGAGGCAGGTGGATCACCTCAGGTCAGGAATTCGAGACTAGCCTGGCCAACATGGCAAAACCCTGTCTCTACTAAAAATATAAAAATTAGCTGGGCGTGGTGGCAGGAACCTATAATCCCAACTACTTGGGAGGCTGAGGCAGGAGAATCGCTTGGAGGCAGAGGTTGCAGTGAGCCGAGGTCACGCCACTGCACTCCAGCCCGGGTGACAATACAAGACTCCATCTCAAAAAAAAAAAAAAAAGGAAAAAGCCTTCTGGGCTCTTCTCTTTTTCTGCTTCTAGGGCATCTTAGACAGAACTCTCTCTAGATTTAGTAAAGACCAACTAGGATTAGAGTTTGCTATGTGTGTATTTGGTGAGCTAGATAGTAGAAGGTATGTGTCTGGTGGGTCAGATTTCATAGAGCACACCCATACCCACAAGTACCTTCTATAGTTGTCTTTGAAAATGCAGTTATGAGGAAACTAGAGTGAAGAATATTTTTGTGTTTAGTTTGTGTGCCTGATATTTATATTTACAGAAATGTAAGTAGACAAAACCCTCTGGTTTGATTGCAGTCAGATTAGAACATATGTTGGAGAGGATCCTAGTTTAAAAAAAAACCCAAGAAACTTTCTGTGATGAGTTGCTTTTGTTATTCTCAATTGAATGAATTTTTTTTTTGCATCTTAACTCTATTTTATTGAGGTATCATTTATGTGAAGTGATATGCACAGATCTGAAGTGAACAGTTCAATTTTTTTTTAACCATTATATATGCTTTAGTAACCACCACCCAGGTTAAGACGTAAAACATTTCCATTACCCCAGAAAGCTTCTTCATTCCCCTCCTTTTTTTATTTTTACAGCTTTTCTAAGAAATCTTAATTAATAAACCCCAAGGTTGTGAATATATTATCGTATATTTTCTTCTAGAAGCTTTATAGTTTCAGATTTCATATTTAGGTCTGTTTCCCCCCCATGTAGATATCCTGTTGCACTAATACCATATTGAAAACAGTCTTCTTTTCCCATTGATTTGCTTTGTGGCCTTTATTGATAATCTGTTGAATGTATATGTAGGGATCTGAACTTACTAGGCCATTCCATTTATCTATTTGTCCATCTTTATTTAAGCCAAAGAGTAGACATTATTTTTATAAATGGTAAAAGAGAAAGCATAGTAACACTGATGCCAAACTAGCTAAGATGTAGTTGTCCACGTAAGTGTGTAATTTCACAGTTGTAGTTAGGCAGCCATAATCATGAATGTTTAAGTATTAGTTAGGACACAGGGATTGCTGCAGTATGATCCAAAGCTAGCAATGATTTAAGCAAGATTGATGTTTATTTCTTAAGTAACTTCTAAGTATGAGGACTCCAGAGCTGACAGGGCAGCTCCTTCTGTTTTGTGGCTCTGCCGTTTCCTGGGCGTGTTCCTCGTCTGCATGGAGGAAGATGGCTGTCCACCGTGTCAACATTTGCAGCCAGCAGTAAGCTGGAGGAGACGAAGGGGAGTGCCTGTCCCTTCTTCTAAGAACACTGACTAGAGGCTGCAGACATTACTTCCCCTCTGATCCTAGTGGCCAGAAGTTGCTCACCTGGCCACATCTACTTGCAAAGGAGGTTGGGAAATAAAGTTTTTCCCTGGGCAGCAAAGTGCCCTGTTAAGAAAGGAGAACAGATATAGGGAGGAAACAGTGTTTTTTATCTTTTTATTGAGGTATAATACACATACATTAAAGTGCATGGATCTTAACTGTACAGCTTCTTGAAGTTTTACAGATGTATGTACTTGTGTTACCCCATCCAGACCAAGTGGTAAAACATTCCCGTCAGTCCAGAAGATTCCCTTGTGTCCCTTGCATGTTGATCCCCCACTACTACCTCTCCCCAGAGGTAACAGCAATACTGATTTTTAACCATGGGTTAGTTTTGCTTGAACTTGATATAAATGGAATCATAACTACAGCATGTACTCTTGTGTTGGGCTTCTTTTCACTCAATGAAATGTCAGTGATACTTATCCACATTATTGCATTTATTAGTGTGTTCTTTTTAAAATTACTGTGCCTGCAGTATTGTATTTATTTTTAGGTGGTTATAAAATGATTTGAAATAATTTCAAAAGTAATGACTAGGTTTCTTAAGAATAACATAATTGTTTTGCTATGAAACAGTTATATATAATACTTTGTGAAAACATAGACAATTATATCCATAGGAGGCAGTTTATAACCTAAAATCTTTGTGATCTTTAAGGTGTATCAAACCGAATGATAAAAAAGCAGCACACATCTTCAACGAGGCTCTAGTGTGTCATCAGATCAGGTACCTGGGGCTTTTGGAGAACGTCCGAGTGCGGAGGGCAGGCTACGCCTTCAGGCAGGCCTATGAACCTTGCCTAGAAAGATACAAAATGCTTTGTAAACAAACATGGCCTCATTGGAAAGGACCAGCCAGGTAAGAAATTCAGTGACCATATTTAATAATGAATGTTTTAAGTGGTCAAATAATACGGTGTTTTTTCACATGCTGTTAGATAAAACAGAATTTTATGAAAAACTGGATGTAACCTCTGTTTTGGACCTTCTTCCATTAGGATACCATTTTGTGCTAAGGTCAAAATAAGACTTACCAAATCCACATTTGGGACTTGTATGGCAATAATATTAATTTTTAGAATATGCCCAAGGTAGGTTCGTAGGAGGTGGTTTGTAATTTGATACACTTATATTTGTGTAGAATCATAGAAGGGTAGAATTAGAGACAGGTTGGATTACCACTTGTCACTTTTCCCATGAAGAATTTGGCTGCAGAGAGAATCAGTGGATGGGTGAAGGTCCCTCTCTTTGCCTATATCTATACCAGTTAATCAATAGACGATACGAGCAGGTAGGATTCACAGTGTCAGCATTACTGCTAGGAGAGCTGGATTAGAGAACGTAGCTTGGACCCAGGGCCATACAGCTTTCAGCTGGTCTGTCCTGAATTGCATTTACTCATCCAGTCCCAGACAGAGTGCTGGACACCGCAGGCCCAGTGGTGCATCCCCATGTCCTGTGAGCTCTCCACAGGCAGAGAGAACTGTGTACTGACGGGCGGCTGTTGCAGGAGAGAAATCAAGCCTTATTCCTTCTGCCCTCACCAGAGAGGCTGCTCCTCTGCAGGCTGAAGAAGGCTTGCCCCTGAATACTGCTGGAGGGCTGACATGCCTGTTTCATGGGCCTAGGCAGGAAATGGGCGATTTTCATTTAACTGTACTGGTATTGCCTACACATTATTCTCACTGCACCTGGCCTTTCACAGGAACATCAACACACCTAGGACACTTACCTTGTATTATAAGAAGATCTAGAAACTCCAGATGTATGGTGCGGTCTCTGATGCCTAATTTAGTACCCTAATTTAATGTAGGATTTGGGTACTGTTTCAGTTCCCATTGCTAATTTCCGGGGTATTATGGTAAACAGGTACCATAATACAGAATGTGTATTCACTCCCTGCCTGGCATCTAGTCTGCAGGTGGGTGGAGTGAGGTTTAGTTCTAAAGACTGATGTTGAAACCGGGGTCCAGGATGGAGAGGTCAGGGCCAAGTCCAGTTCTTGCTCCCGCTGGGTAAGGCCCACGTTCCTTAGCGTCCCGTTGGTCTGGGACTGTTTCTTGGTCTCTGCTTTTATTCTCAGGGGCAGAAACAATGTTTAAAATATTTTCAGGAATTAACTGAGTGAGTTTAAAATAGATCTGAATTTCTTGCACACCCTCCTGGCCCAGGTTGGTACATCATTATAGGTATTTTTGATACAAGTATTGCCTCTACTAATGAAATCAAGAAATTGGCTTTAATACCACATTTTCTTAGAATACATAGTTATGAACCCAAATTTACTTTTTCAGTGTTTACTGGATTAAGTTTAATTTGTGGAAAATTCTTTGATAAATGGATGATTGCTGAAAGAGCAATTACACTTGGAAATGAAGCTATGTTTTATACCACTGAGAACCTGATACCATGATAGAAGATAAAACTATTTTTGTAACTCAGAAAACTCACTGTTTTTATTTTTATTTTTTTAGGTCTGGTGTGGAGGTCCTATTTAATGAATTAGAAATTCCCGTGGAAGAATACTCCTTTGGTAGATCAAAGATATTCATCCGAAACCCAAGAACAGTATGTAACGAAAACCTTTACACTCTGAACTTAAGTTGGAATCGTATAGGAAAGTTCTTAAAATATGTTTAACTTTATAACATTATATGAGGGGCCACCATGAATGCCACAAAACACTTGTGTGTTTATCTACAAATAATCAAGAGGCAGGGACAGATAAGGGTAAGGGGCGGTAGAAGAATGCGTATTTTTTATGAACCATCAAAGTCTTTGCTCTGACAGATTGTACAACACTTAAGAAATCACAAAGAAACTGTTAGGACAACGGTGCAACATTCATAGCAACTGCAGGTAAACAGTCTGTATTTGTAATACCTGAATTATACATTAATTTTAAGAACTACAGCCCCATTATTTAGAGGTACAGGAAAGCACTAAAATGAAAATTTTTTTTAAGTTAAAAAAAATACTTTTAGCATTCTACCTCATAGAACCCCAAGGAAATTTTTTTGTCAATGAATAGATGAGTGTGAAGTGTAATGAGTATAGCAGGTGACTGGTAATTTGGAAACGTTAAGATTTTGGAAAGTATTTAATTCATTTAAGAGAATTTTCCAGCATCTACCTTCCATTAGTAATTTGCATCCTCATAGACAGTGTGAAGGTAAACTTAAGGTCAATTCAGCCCCTCTCTGATTTGTCATAAATTCTGAATCACTGGAATAAAAATTGTAAGTCTTTCATGAATCCATCAAAATAATTTTCTCATGGACCATTATCCATATCATATATAATGCATATGGTTTTTCAGTTCTTTTTTTCAATGTAATTGACTCCAACATGATGGCATTTTGTCTCCTGAAAATTCCTTTCCTGTATGCTGTGAGGTTTCAGAGGATTTTTGATAAGTCCATCTATCATTTCTTATTAGTTATTCAAATTAGAAGACCTGAGGAAGCAACGCCTGGAGGACTTGGCCACTCTCATTCAGAAGATATATCGGGGGTGGAAATGCCGCACACACTTCCTGCTAATGAAAAAAAGCCAAATTGTGATTGCCGCCTGGTACAGGAGATATGCGGTAAGAGTCTCAGTCATTTTAAATCAGTAATAACAATGCTAATTTGCCAACATTTATTATGTACTTACCATGTATGTGATTTTTACATACTTAATTCTCCCAACAACCTCATGAGATAATGGATGTTCTTAATGGTTCTTTTTTTTAAAGATGAGAAAACTAAGACACAAAGCTGTTAAGTAATTTGCCCACAGCCACATAGCTATAAGTGGTAGAGCTGGGATTTGAATCCAAGACAGTATTAGAGCTCAAGTTCAGTGTGCCATACCGCCTTTCACTGATCTAGCTGTATTTGGTTGGAAATACATTTTTAATTTGGTCATCAGATTGGAAGAGACAATATCCTTTAAGCTTTTGATTTGGTTGGGCTAGTTTTTCAAAGTAATTGGCTATTCTTTGGCTATTCTTTATTGTAGCAGCTTTGAAAGTGGCTTTAATTCCAGAAAGCTAATGCCATGTTTTTGTAGATTTCTGGTTTTGGTTAAAGGATTGCATTCTCTTTAGTCCTTAGGTATCTGGCTCTATTAACTATAGGGAAAGATTCAATAATAAATAATGTTTACCTAGTTAATATGAAATTTCTTTTTGGCATTTCCTTCCTCATTTGATTGTAGAGATTTTGTTGAAGGCATACCACAGGTATGAGAGAAGCCTGAAGGTTTGCCTCAGGGTTAATTGAAACTTGGGCTGTGTTCTCACAAAATGAATTAAGTTTGCACTCACATCTCCTTTCTTATATTCTTCCTCTTTTTCAGCCATAAAGAGACTTTGCTATAGGGCTGTATATAATCAAGACATAATTTACGCTGACCTATTCTCACATAATACATTTTAGTTTATTATTTCCAAGTTTTACAAATTAATGAGGTATTTAATTGATTAAGCTAAAGAAAATCAGCTTGAGAGTATCTTTACAATGGCTCATGCTAGTTAAGATTATAACCAGCAGTATAAGTCTTAAAATATGAGTCTGCCCAGCCATGTGAATGATAGAGTCATTCATATGCATTCTGCAGAGGCACTTTGGACTGTTGTCACCCAGCCTGGTGGCCGTGGAGTCTCCTCTGTACACATAGTACCACTCCTTAACTCTGCTGCAGATTCATAATGCTCCGTTTTCTGTTAGCCTGAGAAAGGGAGGACCAACAAGAGGACCAAAAAGTCCTCAAGGAGCCCTTTTTATAATTTCTTATTTTGAGGTCATTAAGAAAAGTTTACAAGTGTGCTGGATTCATCTGTCTTGAATTCTACAAATATTTTTGAAACACATTAGCAAGGTGGACAAAACAACCTAATTCCTGACTTCCTAAAGTTTATATCTAGTGAAAGACAATACGCATTTAAGCAAACAAATAATCAGAAAAATTATAGACTGTTGTAAGTGCTAGGAAGGAAATAGAGAACTGCCATAAAGAATAATGGGGAGGCGGGATGTGACCTAAGCTAGAGTGGTCAAGGAGAAACTTCGGGGAGGGGCCATTTGATCGGAAGGATGAGAAAGAACAGGCAATGCAAAGGAAGCTCAAGTACTATTTGTACCTTTTCTCCCAATATAAAGCTTTTATATCATCAGATTTTAAAAAGTCACGATTTATCATTAGTTCATGATGTCAGGAGTTATGAGCAATATTAGTTGGTAGAATGAAAACTAATAATAGCCCCAGTTTTAGAGAATGCATTAACTTTGTTCTAATGTTACATCTCTTTCAAAATTTGAACTACATACCTCAACCAGTTCACTACATGTTACTCAAGCCAGTGGTTAAACTCATTATTTTCCCTCAACCAGATAACTCAAAAGATTTCTTGAATGCTCCTTTTTAGTTGCTGATTACTTTTAAGTTATTCCGTATTTTGTAATATTTCATGTTTCCTAGAGATGAATTTTCAAGTGAGATATACTTATTTTCAAGACATTTATTAATTAAAAAGGAAAACACAGAGGTACCAAATGCGTGTCAGAATGATGGTCAGATACTGTAGCTGTTCTACAGCTACATCTGTGGAATATTACTCTGGGGAGAATCCTAGAGATTTTCCACCTCTTCATTTAACAGCTGGGGAAACTGAGGCCCAGAGAAGGTGAGTGGCTTGTCTGAGGTCCCAGGGTCCTCTTGGATTTTCTCCCTGGCATCCTTTTTTGTTCCTCTGCCCATCTATTGATACCATCACCCATTACCTCTGATCTTCCAAGACATAGCCTGGTAGCCTGGGAAGGCATCTCTCCCGCCTCAGAGAAGGGGGGCTGAGCCAGCTGGCACTTCTAACATGAGGGATTCACAATGTGACTTTAGTACTTCGAAATGCTGTGAATTTTCATTAGGGATGCCCCCATGTTTCAGTGTATATTCCAAAGTGAATACTGTAAAAGCTCACTTTTCTAGGGAGTATTCCAGCAGCCTCCACTCCAGGGCGTCAGCCCTAGAAGTAAGAAAGGCCTCTGGGCATTGAGCTTGTTGAGCCAGAGCTGGGAGCCTCACTAGGTCTTCTTTGACCTTCCCCACCTGGAAGTAACCTCTGCTGCCTCTGAGCCTGACTGTTGTGCTTTCTGTGCTGCATCTCTCCCAGGGTACTGTTTATCCTTTATACTGTTGACCTGTGTTCACTTCAACTCCTTGAGGGCAGGGATGCAGTCAGATGCACATTTATATCCTCATGGTCCTATTAAAAGGCTTTATGCATAGTAGAGGCTCAATATATAAATATTTAATTGATTGATAGCAGTTTACTTAAATTTTTAGCTGATTTTCCAGCTTGAGGCAGAGTAAAAGTAGCAAACCTAAAAGAAACTAGGGAGGTTTAGAGGTGGGTCCAGTAAGTAGCATGGTGAGAAATGACACCAAGAAGAGAGAACACTCAAAAGCAGATGCAGAACTCAGTGGGTTTTCATTCAATATGCATTTACTGAGTATCTGCCTTGTGTGGAACCCTGTATTATAACAGCATGAGATGAAGAAAATAATGATAATAATGCTGTGTCCTGAGTCATTTAGGAATTATTTTATTTAGCATCCTTAAAGCATACTTTGGATTAACTGTAATAATATTGGATTGTTTGATATTTTGGTTTCTTTATGTATTGGTTTCCAGAAGGAGTATGGATAATTGAGTCAGTTAGACGAAGTGAGCAAATACCCTTTCTCAATCCTTGTATGCGTTACAGATATTAACTACAACTGCCAATATCTTCCCCTTTTATCCTACAGCAACAAAAGAGGTACCAGCAGACAAAGAGTTCCGCCTTAGTAATTCAGTCTTATATCCGGGGTTGGAAGGTGAGTTTAAAAGAAGTATGCTTTATTTATTTTGGGTTTTCTGGTTTTTCACAAAGGATAATGTCTTTAGGGTCACCCTGCAGAGGAGGGGCTCCTCTGTCTCCTGCCTCGCCTGTAAACAGTCAGATGGAAAGAATAAATATTATGGGCCAAACGGGGACCCTGGTGACCATGTCTTGGCCACTTCCTTCTAACCAGCTTTCTTTTTAAGCGCTTTGTTCTCTAAGCAGGAAGTCCTTGAAATAATACCCGTACATGATTTCAGTATCCCTTTGCCCCGTGTTTTCGAGAAAAGCTGTGGTACAGAAGGCTATCTCACAGCCATTGCTTTCATACTCAGAATCCCTACCCCAGTGACTTCCGTAACTGTCCAGTAACCATCTTGCAGGCTACCCATCACGATTGAAAGATCCTGAGATCTGGCCAGGTCTAGTGGTGGGGACATGGAGGAGCCGTCACAGTGGACAGCCTGGTTCTAGGTCCTTGCTGCCAAGGCTTGGTTCAAGGGTCACTGAACTACAGGCCACAGGCTACAGCTAGCCTGCTTGCGTGTTCTCATACAACCTGCAAGCTAAGAATGGTTTTTATATTTTTAACCGTTGTTTTTAAAAAAGCAAAAGAAGATGATTTCTTTTTTTTTTTTTTTTTTTTTTTTTTTTTGTAGGTGGGATGTATTTTTTTTATTTTTTATTTTATTTTATTTATTTTTTTTTAATTGACCATTCTTGGGTGTTTCTCGCAGAGGGGGATTTGGCAGGGTCATAGGACAATAGTGGAGGGAAGGTCAGCAGATAAACAAGTGAACAAAGGTCTCTGGTTTTCCTAGGCAGAGGACCCTGCGGCCTTCCGCAGTGTTTGTGTCCCTGGGTACTTAAGATTAGGGAGTGGTGATGACTCTTAACGAGCATGCTGACTTCAAGCATCTGTTTAACAAAGCACATCTTGCACCGCCCTTAATCCATTTAACCCTGAGTGGACACAGCACACGTTTCAGAGAGCACAGGGTTAGGGATAAGGTCACAGATCAACAGGATCCCAAGGCAGAAGAATTTTTCTTAGTACAGAACAAAATGAAAAGTCTCCCATGTCTACTTCTATCCACACAGACCCGGCAACCATCCGATTTCTCAATTTTTTCCCCACCCTTCCCGCCTTTCTATTCCACAAAACCGCCATTGTCATCATGGCCCATCCCCAATGAGCCGCTGGGCACACCTCCCAGACGGGGTCGTGGCCGGGCAGAGGGGCTCCTCACTTCCCAGTAGGGGCGGCCGGGCAGAAGCGCCCCTCACCTCCCGGATGGGGCGTCTGGCCGGGCGGGGGGCTGACCACCCCACCACCCTCCCAGACGGGGCGGCTGGCCAGGCAGAGGGGCTCCTCACTTCCCAGTAGGGGCGGCCGGGCAGAGGCGCCCCTCACCTCCCGGACAGGGCGGCTGGCCGGGCGGGCCGACCCCCCCACCTCCCTCCCGGACGGGGCGGCTGGCCGGGCAGAGGGGTCCTCACTTCCCAGTAGGGGCGGCCGGGCAGAGGCGCCCCTCACCTCCCGGACGGGGCGGCCGGCTGGAGACGGCTAACCCCCCCATCTCCCTCACGGACGGGGCGGATGGCCGGGCAGAGGGGCTCCTCACTTCCCAGTAGGGGCGGCCGGGCAGAGGCGCCCCTCACCTCCGGACGGGGCGGCTGGCCAGGCGGGGGGCTGATCCCCCCACCATCCTCCCGGATGGGGCGGCTGGCCGGGCAGGGGGCTGACCCCCCCTCCCCCCTCCCGGACGGGGCGGCTGGCCGGGCGGGGGGCTGACCCCCCACCTCCCTCCTGGGCTGGGCGGCTGGCCGGGCAGGGGGGCTCCTCACTTCCCAGTAGGGGCGGCTGGGCAGAGGAGCCCCTCACCTCCCGGACGGGGCGGCTGGCCGGGCGGGGGGCTGACCCCCCCCCACCTCCCTCCCGGACGGAGACGCTCCTCACTTCCCAGACGGGGTGGCTGCCGGACGGAGGGGCTCCTCACTTCTCAGACGGGGCGGTTGCCAGGCAGAGGGTTTCCTCACTTCTCAGACGGGGCGGCCGGGCAGAGACGCTCCTCACCTCCCAGACAGGGTTGCGGCCCAGCAGAGGCGCTCCTCACATCCCAGACAGGGCGGCGGGGCAGAGGCGCTCCCCACTCAGATGATGGGCGGGTCAGGCAGAGATGCTCCTCACTTCCTAGATGGGATGGCGGCGGGGAAGAGGCGCTCCTCGCTTCCTAGATGGGATGGCGGCCGGGCAGAGACGCTCCTCACTTTCCAGACTGGGCAGCCAGGCAGAGGGGCTCCTCACCTCCCAGACGATGGGCGGCCAGGCAGAGACGCTCCTCACTTCCCAGACGGGGTGGCGGCCGGGCAGAGGCTGTAATCTCGGCTCTTTGGGAGGCCAAGGCAGGCGGCTGGGAGGTGTAGGTTGTAGTGAGCTGAGATCACGCCACTGCACTCCAGCCTGGGCACCATTGAGCACTGAGTGAACGAGACTCCGTCTGCAATCCCGGCACCTCGGGAGGCCGAGGCTGGCGGATCACTCGCGGTTAGGAGCTGGAGACCAGCCCGGCCAACACAGCAAAACCCCGTCTCCACCAAAAAAAAACGAAAACCAGTCAGGCGTGGCGGCACGCACCTGCAATCGCAGGCACTCGGCAGGCTGAGGCAGGAGAATCAGGCAGGGAGGTTGCAGTGAGCTGAGATGGCAGCAGTACCATCCAGCTTTGGCTCGGCATCAGAGGGAGACCGTGGAAGGAGACCGTGGGGAGAGGGAGAGGGAGAGGGAGAGGGAGAGGGAGAGGGAGAGGGAGGAAGATGATTTCATGACATATGAAAAGTATATGGAATAGAGATTTCAGTGTACATAAATAAAGTTTTATTGGAACACAGCCACATTCATTTATTTCACAGATTGTCTGGCTGCTGTAGCACTACAGTGGTAGAGTCAAGTAGTAGCGATAGACTGTGTGACCTTCAGAGCCAAAAGCAGTTACCATCTGGCATTTTACAGAAAAAGTTTACTGATCCCTGATCTAGGTCAACGATACTTCAGAGCCTGTTCTGACCACTTTCCTGTGAGGAGACTTTGTGGTATGGTCTGGATCCAGAGGGGTAGTGCCCAGGCCTGGAGCCCTTTCAGAGGGTAGACGCTGGGTCCCGAGTCCAGCAACACTGACTGACCTTGCCCAGGCCCTCGACAACTTAAGGGCTTAGCAGTTGTCTCACAGCAAATGGCAAAACACAAATCTGAACATGTAGAGTAAGTGAAACTGCTGCCTGCAGGCTCTTCCTTGGCCTCATGGCTGGACCTTGGGGCCCCGTTTATAGGCGAGAGACCTTAGAGGAAGGACCCAAAGTCCACCTTGAAACCAGGTGTCCTCCTGGCCCCCATAAAATCAGTTTCCAGCAACTAATGGAAAGAAGTCACTGGTTTGGGATCAATGAGATCATTTTGGTTTTGGAGTTTTAAAAATATCTTGAATAAAAAGGACAGCTACAGTTACATTCCAGGCAATAATAATGAAAGAGATACAGTGGCCTTTAGAGGATCATTGGAATCCTCTGGCCCCTTTCTGAGAACTGTTTCATCCCACAGATGTGTGCCAGCTTGTGGTGCTGTAGTCAGATTTTTCCCATTGTGTATCAGGGTACGGGAGGCTGCTGTTCCAATCAAGTGGAAACCCATGCTTAATGATGTCTTCATTGTCCACCTTCTCATAGTCAGTTTGGGGCTAGTCACCTTCGCCTTCTTTAACCTGTTGATTTATCACAATAGCATGGGTGTTAGGACGATCATCTCTTCAGGTTTTTTTTTCAAGTCACTGTCAATTCCTTTATTTTTAAACATTCTCTCTTTTGGGTGATTCTGCCCTTTAGGCTCGAAAAATTCTGCGGGAACTGAAGCATCAAAAGCGCTGTAAGGAAGCAGTCACGACCATTGCTGCATATTGGCATGGGACCCAGGTAGGCCCGAGACCCCAAGGAAGGCGGTGGGTCAGCAGTAACGTCATGTGGAACCATGAACCCTCGGCTTCAGGGGCAGAAAATGTTTCACTGGCTTGAGCTACTGAGCACGTGTTTGCTTCTTGCTCTTTCCAACATTTTGTTGTGGGGTGGTGGCACATGCTTTTGCGTTTACCATTTGGTGGTGACTAGTGTCTCTCTTTTTCTTTCTTCATTGAAAACCAGCAGTAACCTTTCCTGCCTTAAACTTTTCTGTAACTCCTTTTCAAATGCATCACAGGCACGAAGGGAACTGAGACGGCTGAAGGAGGAGGCTAGGAATAAACATGCTATTGCAGTTATTTGGGCTTACTGGCTTGGATCTAAGGTACTTGATGCACATATCCCAACACTCCATCCTGGAATTCTGCAATAATCAGTCCTTACCTCTAGCCTATTAGGGGATGAATGACTACAATTAATAGTGGCTCACACTGGTGCATGTCCTAGCCGCCAGATTTAACACACCTGGAAACATTAGTTCAGTAGTATGCATAGGAAGCTTAGGCATGCATAGGTCAATAAAACTAATTGCTTACTAAAAAGGCACTAGTATCATTGCTCTTTAAAACAAAACAAAACAAAACAACTCTTAAATAACATGCATGTTTAGGTTCCCCCCCGCCCCCATTGATGAATGCTAGCAGTTTTTTAGAGGTTTTCTGGAGGGGTTGCGCATGTTGGGAATGTTCAAGTTTGGGCTTCAGTCGGTCTTCTGCAACATGTTGACAATGGAAATGCCTCTAACATATGTCTTAAAAATATTAATTTATGAATGAAATTTTTTTTTAGGCTCAGTGTGGCAGCTATTGATTATTATAAGCAAAATATTACATGTGCAAAGAATTATCATCTGTGATTTAACAGAAAACTATGTTCATGCACAGCTAGCTATGATTGCCACTGAAGAATCCCAGGAATTTCAGCATCAGCTGTTTGTTTTCAGAAACAAAGGCCTCCTGAAATACTCTCACTAATCCCCAGGCATAGTCGTGGGCTCTGTGAACATTTCACATACCCCAAGGGACAAGATTTTTAGATGTTTTTGTTACTTAGAAAATCAAAGTCATCTTTGCTAAAAATGTGTATTCCAGTTAGAAACACAAACATCAACAGAGTCCTGTGTTTTGAAGTCCACCTTGTCAATGTTGTAAGCCTATCTTATGAGAAAATGAGAAAAGTCAACATCTGCCTGCATAAAGAGCTAATTTGCCAAAAACTAACCAGAGTTGTTCATCTGTGCTTTTCCTGAAAATCTGTGAAGAACAAACTTGTTCCTCTAGTCAACTGAGGGAAATGTCATAGCAGAAGCAAAAGGACTCTTAGGTGGGTCTTGCTAAGATTTCTCCATCCAGTGAGTTCATTTCCCAGTCTCAGTACTATAATATCTTGAACAATCAGTGCCTATTTGTATCCTTTAGAATAGCTTGCCTAAGATTATTTTTTCCCTAAGAGTAATTTTTAAACCTATAAGTTTAACCTATAATTGCTTCAGTCTTCCTGTATATTTTACTTTTGCGACCTTAGCTAAAATTGAATTTTTACACGTGCCAGTTTTCATTTTTTGACTGGAAGGAATTTTTGAGTTTTGTTAGTTTTGGTTTTTGTTTGCACTTCAGAGAAATAAACTTTTTTCCTCCCAGTTTTCTAAGTGATTGTTCACAAGAGTTGTCTTTTTATCCATCCAAAGGGATGAACTCAGGAGTGCATAGCTTCTTCAGCCCAATGTGCTGTCAGCAAAGGGGAGTCTAATGACATCATTAGGGCTGTTACTCAGAGTTTGAAGGCTTTGATATGGGAGTGAAAGAGTGTGGAGAAGGCAGCGAACAGAGAGAGAGAACAGGAGAAAAAAGGAAAGGAATGGAAGTGAGGGGTGGGAAATGATTACCTTGGGAACCACACAGATTGTCCTTCTCTGGAACAGAATCTCAGTGCACTGAAAATATAAGCGCTGCACCAGCCTGACACCAATTCTTTGGGTTTAAATTGTTATGCACTGTTCCTCTGTCATTCTGAAATCCTTATTCATAAATTGGCTCTTCTGTTTGGTGGGATATCTTTTTCTGGTCATTTGTGCTGTCTGCATTGGGCTGTCTCTTTTATTTACTATCTAAAACATTCTAGGCTCGAAGGGAATTGAAACGCTTGAAGGAGGAGGCTAGGCGTAAGCATGCAGTTGCTGTCATTTGGGCTTACTGGCTTGGACTGAAGGTACTTCCTCAACCACTTGTTTCTGTCCAGGGTGAACTTCATAAAGCCTAGCACCTACTAACCCTGAGAAAATGATTGATTATGCTTGCTGATGGTCTGCACAGTCTTGTAGAATGTCATCTTGCTTAATTTTGTACCTTTTTCAGAAGAAACCTATACACTAATTTTTTTCTGATTTTGTGATTTCTATTTCTTTAAATAATAGGTTTAATGTAATAGCAATATGGCATGTTTTATTCAAGATACTATGTTATCAAAGTTCTAGTTTGTTATCTTTATGAGTGTAAAGTTGTTTTTTTAAAATCTGTGAGACACAGTTACAATAGTTGAGCTAAAAGCTGCCCTACATCCACAGTGACCAGCCTAGGGATGCCAGGCTTTTGTTTCCCTTTTTGTACCAATTCTGCTCCAATAATGGCTGCCTGCAGTAGAGCTTTCTTCAGAGCGACCATTGTTCTAATTGTTCAGCGTTGGAACCAAAGGGTCTTGCATCATTAAGCTTACAGATTTTGATGAATGAGTTCAGAGATTCAGAGATCAGTGGATCATTCATGTTAAAGAGAACCTCGAATTCAAATACCTTGTGATTATGGCAGGGTTTATTTTGAAGTGGTGCTTACTACAGTAGGGTACACTTATGTGTACAGAACTACACATAAGTAAATAACTCTGAGCTCTGAGAAGCCCTTAGAATATTCTTTACACCATGTAAGGATCTGATCTTCCAAATTCAATAATTAGTCACCATAGGAAGCCATCCATATTGCCTTTTTGGGATAATTAGGCCCCTTTCTGACAGTATTCCTTATCATTGTTTTTACTTTAATCCTATGACATTTAATCTTACTCCAAATATTTGAATTATTATCTGAGTAATCATTGACTCTAAGTCTGAACAACCATTAGAAATATCCCTGAATCCTGCTTTGAACAATCTGCATTTTTTTTCTGCAATTTCAGCCTATAAACTTTAGTAAATTATCCTTTTTGATTATACTGAATATTCACCAAGTAATATTTGAAGTAATTAAGAAGTAACTTAAATATGAATTTTAACAGATGTTCTATTTGAAGAACTCCAAACAAGCTCTATAACCGGTTTTTTTAAGTCAAACAAAAGTAAACATTTTCCCATTTAACTCACATCTTTAGTTTTCTGGGTTTAACTGCATATGATTTCAAAACATTTTTGCATTAGGGGTGTACACTAGCAACCTACAAAGCAAATTCAGTTTGTAGGGGAATATTATTTTAGCAGAAGTTAACTGGGCTTACTCTAGACATAACTTTTTTCCTCTCAGTCTCCAACAAAACAGAGGTACTTTACTATATAACCAGTATTATTGTATGAAATAAGATCAAACTTACTTGAAGTCCAAGAATATAATAATTTTGTACTTTTTTTTTCTAAAAGAGAATCATGTTAATATGAATGATAATTTTGCCCTCTCAAATGATTGACTTTTCCTGTGGAAATAATTACAAAGTGCAGTGGGCCTTTTTAAGACTCCCAGTTCCCCAGGGGGCACCATCGTATATGCCAGCATGTTGTCACCAGGCTTTTAGTGTCTGTAGTGGTATTTTGGGAGAAATAACCTGCCCTGTCGAATATCAAAATGCATATAGCAATGAGCTCAGTTATGAGGCTCAACTAAATATCGTATGACTTCAGGTATATTTTTAATGATATATTCTTATGTAACTTCATTTGTCTGCTTTCCTATACTATTATAATTTCAGGAGCCAATTATTAGGTAACATTTTTCTTCTCCTTGTCCCTTCTCACCTTAGTTTGAGATTAGAAATGTTTGTGGATCTGACAGCTCTGTGGCTAAAAGACAGATGATAATCAGTAACTAGAATATGAATACAGGCATACCTCAGAGATATTGCAGGCTCAGTTCCAGATCTCTGCAATAAAGTGAATATCACAATAAAGTGAATCACACAAATGTTTTGTTTGCCAGTGCAAATAAAAGTTATGTTTACACTGTCTCTACTGTAGTCTATTAAGTATCTAATAGCCTTATGTCTAAAAAGCCAAAGTACATACTTTACAAATACTTCATTGCTAAAAAATGCTAACCATCATCTGAGCCTTCAGCAAGTTGTAATCTTTTTGCTGGTGGAGAGTCTTGGCTTATCTTGATGTCGATGGCTGCTGACTGATGAGGGTGGTGGCTGCTGAAGGTTGTGGTGGCTGTGGCAATTTCTTAAAATAAGATAACAATGAAATTTGCCACATAGATTGACTTCCTTTCCTGAAAGATTTCTGTATAGCATATGTTGGCATTTGATAGCATTTTACCCAGTGTAGAACTTCTTTCAAAATTGAAATGAATCCTCTCAAACCTTGCCACTGGTTTTGTCAACTAAGCTTATGGAATATTCCAAATCCTTTGTTGTCATTTCAGCAGTGTTCACAGCATCTTCATCAGGAGTAGATTCCATCTCAGGAAACTACTTTATTTGGTCATCCATAAGAAGCAACTCCTTGTTCATTTCCATCTTATCTTGAGATTGCAGCAATTCAGTCCCATCTTCAGGTTTCACTTCTAATTCTAGTTGTTACTATATCTGCCACATCTGCAGTTACTTCCTCCACTAAAGTTGTGAGCCCCCTCCAAGTCATCCATGAGAGTTGGAATCAACTTCTTCCAAACTTCTATTAATGTGGCTGTTTTGACCTCCTCCCATGAATCTGGAATATTCTTAATGGCATCCAGACTGATGACTCTTTTCTGGAAAGTTTTTAATTTACTTTGCCCAGATCCACCAGAGGAATCACTGTCTATGGCAGGTATAGCCTTATAAAATGTATTTCTTAAATCATAAGACTGGGAATTACTCCTTGATCCATGAGCTGCAGAATGGATGTTGTGTTAGCAGGCATGAAAACATTAATCTCCTCGTATATCTCCATCAGAGCTCTTGGGTGACCAGGTGCCTTGTCAGTGTGCATGAATATTTTGAAAGTTCTCTCTTTTCTGAGCAGTAGGTCTCAATATGGGGCTTAAGATAGTCAGTAAACCATGCTGTAAGCAGATGTGCTGTCATCCAGGCTTTGTTGTTCCATTTATGGAGCACACAGGCGGAGTAGATTTAGCATAATTCCTAAGCTGTAGGATTTTTATAATGGTAAATGAGCATTAGCTCCAACTTAAAGTTAGCAGCTGTATTATTCTTTAACAAGAGAATCAACCTGTCCTTTGAAGCCAGACATTAGCTTTTCCTCTCTAGCTATGAAAGTCTAGATGGCATCTTCTTCCAATAGCAGGCTGTTTTGTCTACATTGGAAATCTGTTGTCGAGTGTAGCCACATTCATGAGTGATCTAGTTAGATCTTCTGGATAACTTTCTGCAGCTTCTCTATCAGCACTTGCTGCTTCTTTCCTTAACCTTCATGAAAAGTTAATAAACTTTTCTTCTGCAGCTTCCTCACCTCTCTCAGCCTTCTTGGAACTGAAGAGAGTTAGGACATTGCTCTGGATTAGGCATTGCTTAGAGGATATTGTGGCTGGTTTGATCTTATATCTAGACCACTAAAATTTTCTCCTTATCAGCAATGAAGCTGTTTCACTTCCTTATCATTTGTATGTTCACTGGAATAACACTTTTAATTTCCTTCAAGAATGTTTCCTTTGCATTTATAACTTGGCTGTTTGGCACAAGGGTCCTAGCTTTTGGCCTGCCTCAGCTGTTGACATGCCTTCCTCACTAAGCTTAATCATTTCTAGCTTTCAATTTAAAGTAAGAAGTGTGTGACCCTTCCTTTCAGTTGAACACTGAGAAGCCATTGTAGGATTATTAATTCAATATTAATTAATTTCTATATTGCTCTGTCTTAGGGAATAAGGGAGGCCCGAGGAGAGGGAGAGAGATGGGAGAATGGCCAATGGGTGGAGCAGTCAGAATACACACACTGTCTCTTGATTAAGTTCACCATCTTACAGATAGAAAAATAATGAAAAAGTTTGAAATATTGTGAGAATTATCAAAATGTGACAGACACAGAATGAGCACATGCTGTTGGAAAAATGGTGCCAATAGGCTTGTTTGATGCAGGGTTGCCACAAACCTTCAATTTGTAAAAACTCAATGTCTGCAAAGTGCATTAAAATGAGGTATGCCTGTAAAAAGAAAAACTGCCTATAAGGTATATGTTACAGTTTTTAAACCTTAACAGTCTTTAGAGGTAGAGAATGGGTCTGGTGCAAAAATGCTCAGAGGGACCAGGTTGGTCGTACAGATGAGGAAAGCATCAGATGGGAGGTGGATCAGAAGCAAAGGGACTCGTGTAGTTTGGAGCGTGCATGCCTCATCTAAAGGCAACAGCAGCTACTTTGGTCTCCCTGGCACTTATTTTATAGGACTAGGCCTCAGTGTTGCTAGATCTTAGACAACTTTAAGAGAAATCTGCAGTCTGAATTGTTATATTGAGTTCTTAACTTAAAAATATGCATACAGAACATTTATCTGTAAACTGAATTTGGATAGAAGATTACTAGCTTACATCCCGTAATGTAGAAATATTTTGAACATGTGCAGTTAAACCTAGAAAACTAGAAAGAAAAGAAAAAAGATATGTAATATCTGAATTATTCAGATAGGCTAATATTTTGCTAAATTCTAACTCTCCCATTTGTATCTGGATGGTAATAAATACTTAAGATATTTTTCCTTCAATTTCAAAATTTAACTATATAATTTATTCATTTGTTATACAAACACTCCACTTTGTTACTGTTATTTGTTAGACATTAGTATATGAAGTAAATATAACAATGTAGCAAGGAAAAAATGTGTGAACTAAAACTATAATATGATGTTTTAAGTGCTCTGATAGCATTAAGTATAAAGTTTGGTGGGAGTAGAGATGATAGAGAAGAATTAATGCAATGAAATGGAAGATAATGGTAGTTTCAAAGCTTCTATTTAAATTCTTAGCCATATTCAGTTCTCAGTGTGTAGGCCTTATCTTCTATGCAAGGCTTTTGGAAACTGATACAGTTCTTCAGACTTTTTTTTTCTTTTTGCCTTTTACAAAACAATCTGAAGAGAACATTATTTTATATAATTTTTAATGTATTTTAATTGGGGATGAGTTTGCAGCTGTGCCTGTAAAATGTTTCTTGTCAAATCATCAGATTCTTCAAAAACTACTAAGAGGATTTAAAACATCAATTCATGCTGGTTTCATCATTTTACATTTCTTAATTTCTTTCTCTCTGACTTAAGATCCACTATATGAATGTGTTTCAATTATTTTACTAAATCTAGAAAGGACACTTATAAACTGACTTGTTTGACATTTTTTCATTTTTAATAGAGGTGTATCATTATGGACCTGTACCAGCCACACATTAACCACTGTAACCTACATCTTCTTTTTAAAGGTACGTAGAGAATACAGGAAATTCTTCAGAGCCAATGCTGGAAAGAAAATCTATGAGTTTACGCTTCAGAGAATTGTAAGTTGACACTTTATATCTGTGGATAATCAGCATTGTGGAATTACCCACCTAATATCACCAACTCCATAAAATGTGCCTTTTCCTAAATGACAAAAGTGACTTTTTAAATAATAATTAAATCATAGCTGTGACACTGAGAGTTAGTTATCTTTTAAAATCATCTTCTTCCAAATTCTGGTAGAATTGTGTCAGAAAGAGTTGTTAATGGCCCGTATATTATTAATACAGTGTTTGCCTTATTTGACAAGAGAGAACTTTTGGGGGAAAGTGGATCCAAGAAAGCCATGACTTTACCCTGTGAAACTGCCATGAGCTGTGGCAGGGCAAGGCTGGCAAGCAAATTAGTGGGGAGAGGGGTGACAGGGAGCCAGGCTGTGCAGCTCCACCCACATGGACTCTGGAGTTCTCCATCTTTCAGAGAGGTGTATGTAGTGCTGAACAGACTGCAAACTCTGGAGCCAGCCCCCACTGCCACTTAGTGTGACTAAGGAACTGGATTTTAAAATTTAATTTAATTTTAGTTACTTAAAATGTAAATATAAATAGCCTGTGTGACTAGTGGCTGCATTTTAGACAATACAGCTCTATAGAGCTAGCTGGTATTAGCATTAGTGTTAATATGAGTGTTAGCATTACTATTCTTCTTTTCTCTTAACCATTTGGTAGAACTCATATTTCCCCAACCAGTATGAAAGAGTGGAGTAGAGACTTCCCAGATGAGTTACAGTTCTATAAATTCCAAAGTTAAATAAATTCTACTATTGTCTCGTTTATTTGATCATGATGTATGTAAAACAGTGTCTTTTGTGGTATATTTTCCTCATGTAGTATTTTCTGTCAACCCAACACAGGTGCAAAAATACTTCTTGGAAATGAAAAATAAGATGCCTTCCTTATCTCCAATAGACAAGAATTGGCCCTCAAGACCTTACTTATTCTTGGATTCTACTCACAAGGAGCTAAAAAGGATTTTCCACTTGTGGAGGGTAAAAAATGTCATATTACATCTTTTCGGAGACTTTCTTATTTATTTTGAGTGTTTAAAAACACATAAAATCAAAACTGTTAACACATTCTTCCTTTGCCTCAAAGAGGATTACTTGAGGACTTTGGTGATTTTCCCCCATGCACCATATTGAGTTTCTACGAGAGCCCCTGCAGCGGCCCAGGCGTTCCCTGTGCGGTCGCCTCTCGGCCCTGGCTGGAACGGGGAGCACAGGGCTGCATTTTCTTTCCATTCCAGGTTCCAGCTGCTCTCAAGTAGTTCAGTTTTTTGTTCATTTGTTTCTCTCTTTGTCTAAAGGAATACTGTAGGACAGAGAAATCATAAAATTTGGACACCTTCAGGCAACATAGTTAAATCCTGCAAATTGAAGAGTTTACTTTATCAGATGTACAGAACAGATAATCAGATAATACATGTGAACACACACACTTTGATGGGTGGGAAAAAAGGCTTTTTCCTGTCCCTAAAGATAGTAACACATTCTCTATCTAAATTACAGGGAAGCTGGAAATCTGTTTTATACTGCCTTTTATTTTAGCTCTCTTATTTTGTATAAGAGGACATGGCATGTAATTTAGATGTTGCCCAGCATGGAACACGTGGGGCACTTGTATAGATGTTGACCTTACTTCGATAACCTAGTCAGTTGATATGTGGAATGTTAAATATATGCAGTTATCAGATGTAATAAAATCATGAGATGGAAGGGCATGTATTTAGTAAATGAATGCTCAGTACACACATCCTCCAGGAAACTTTCCTGCCCAGCACGGTGGGCTTGTTTTTTTGTTAGAATCATCTATGTATAGAGTGACATTATTGCTGATTAGCTTGATAAGTGGTACCATACAACATAAGGAACTAGATTCTGAGTTCTGTTCTCTAACAGCAAATTTGGCGAGGTTCATGAACCTCTTAATGGCTTGTCTCCTTTCTTGAGTCTAACCCAGAAACTGTTTTCAGAAATAATGACAGGGAGCTCCCATTGCTGGGGATCTGCACCACCTCTGCCCTCCCCTGGCTTTGCAATCTCACCCATCCCTCCATTGGATTGGAGGTGGGAGATGAGGGCTGTTTATTCCTGAAGGGAGCCTTTCCATGGAAAGGGTCAGCAGCAATGCTCACACTTCTTCATGCAATTATTTCAGTAGCACTTGACCACACCTGTAACTGAATTTCTAGGAATGCTCATCTAAAAAACCTGGCCCTGCTCCTCTGGCCACTGTCTCCTCTCATTGCAGCTTCAGGGATGGAGTGAAAGGGGATATCTCAGGTCCCTCATCCCTATTGTAAAATGGTAGTGGGGGGATTTGGAGCAGTGGTTTTCAAACTGTCATAGCATATTTGTGGTCATGAAATCAATTTAGTGGATTACTACCAGCGTTTTTCAATAAAATGCAATAGAATAGAAAATAGCAGAGTGTACAATATATAGAAAGGATTGAGTATTGTTTTGTGACGCTTTTGTGTCAGTTTTCTCTGTATGTGTGTGGAAATGTGCTTAGTGGATTGTGATGCACAATATTTTTACTGTGAGTCTCTCTAGAAGAGTGACAGCCTCAGGACTAGAGGATTTCCAAGGATTGACATAGTGGGAGGAAATAGTACTTGCAAGGCCCGTGCCCACTAGGCCCTGGTGTGTTTTGAAGAAGCATTCCAGGTTCTGCAATACAAATAATACTCTGACGTTTTCCAAGACAAACTTTTTAAAACCCACAAGGGAAAAATGTTTTTGGCCTTTTTTAGTGAATGTTTTGTACTTTCTCCCTTATTCTTGTTGCTGATAAATTGTCTTAGCATATTTAAGAATGAGTAATAATTTATTTATATAAATGATGTTTTGTTTCTTTCTTCTCATATCTCACAGTGTAAAAAATACAGGGACCAATTCACAGACCAGCAGAAACTTATTTATGAAGAGAAACTAGAAGCCAGTGAACTCTTCAAAGACAAGAAGGCTTTATACCCATCTAGGTATTATGGCTTTGCTTTACCCATAAAATTCAGGATTATAAAAGTTTCTCAAGTATATTTGTACGCCGTTTTGCCTGGTGTTTGATTTCAGTCTTAGATGAGTGATTTTTAGTTCTGTGAATCATTTTATAATCAGCTTGATGTAAACACATTTATTTGAGCTATGGCTTCTATAGTGCAGTTTAATGAAATGAGGTTACGATTGTTGGTTTCACTCCATTAGCATTAGCTCAAACACTTTACTAAATAATTAGAAGTCATTTAACATAAAAATTATATAGGCTGTTAAGATACGTTTGCATTGTAAATTCCTGTTCCTTTTCCGTAGTTTTCAAAGACTAGCCAAATTTCTGTTGGCAATATACTTTAATCACCATTCCAGTCTTCCTGCCATAGCAAGCAAGGTCAGAAACTTATTTGTAAGGTAAATGAAAGAGCGAGCCAGGACAGTACTTTTTGAGTGTTGCTTGAGCACTGGTCTGTGGTGCCCTTTGGTCTGCTAACTCAACGGATATGACTTCTGTGGCCTGTACAGCACGTTCAGTTCCTTTATTTTAGACACCGTGGACTCAGAAAAAGAAGGAACACCAATCCCAAGTTCAGCAAGTGAAGTCCTTGGTAAAGACTGTTTATCCCAATAGTCTTACATCTCCTGCATTCATCACTTCCTCCCAGCAATCTAATCCCATTTTCATCTGGTGTTTATAAAAAAGTAGATTGTACAATTTCAAGCCAAATCTGTAACAACTTTAAGCTTCTTCCAATGAATGGCCAAAGAAAGAATGTATTATATGCTGAGTATATTCACATTTATTACGTAAATTATGTTTATATTCTCTGTGACTTTATACACATTTAAAATATCTTCCTTTTAAAGGATTAAAGGAATATACATTGCCAGACTCACTGGGTTTAAATATTTTAAATTGTACAACTTCATTGGTTAGCTGATGTGGCTACTTGAGGTGATACATACTCCCTTAAGTCAAACACAGTGTCTAAATCCAAAGTTGTCCAAAGTGCCTGTTATATAAAGCATATTCAAACAGGAGAATTTGTCTGTATGCTTGCTTCAGCAACTAATTTTATTCAGCTTTTTTTTTATACATTTTTAAATTAGGGAATAACCTTCTTAATGAACATTTCCTGTGGATGACTCTTCAGAAACTACAGGCTGGAAAATACATCTTTGAGGAAACAATTTAAAAGCCTGTTAGCATTTTTATAATTTAAAACACAGTTGAATAGGAACCAAAAAAAGTTAACTTCAAGCCAAGTCCTTTTTGGGTAGTCTTATCAGTTTTCAGGGATAGTGGCACACTCACCCCACAGCAGTGAGAGAGGTGGAATAATTTAGCCTCCCACCACCCTGCAAAGTGGCAGCTCTTATGGGAGTTGGCCTTTTATATCCTGAGAGCTGTGAAACGCTGACCACCTACGTGGATTTTTCTTCCCTTATCCTCCACCCACAACATAAGCATTTAAATTTGTATTTGCAAATTGCCAGAACTTTGTAGCTCAAAATGAAGCTTATAGATTCCTTGAAGCAGCAGTTTTTCCTTGGTGCCTTTGATGAACCTGTCCTGAAAGAGTCCCCCGACAAGTCTTTAGGGAAATTGATATCTTAGTGATAAGTGTACAGTTAACCTTTTACAAAAATTAGTTTGTTTGGGAAAAAAAAAATTGCCCTGATTCTGAATGTTTGCTTTGGTTACTTCTGTCCATTTAGAGGCATATTCTAGGAGAAGAGGCTTGATTCTCCTTTCATATACAGATGCTGCTTAACTTATGATGCAGTTACACACAGATAATCCATCATATGGGTTATGAGTGATTTCTATCTTGATTGTTCCATGTGATGAGATTATTATCAAAGTCCTGCCCACCAAATGCCATGATCACCTCAAAAATATATTTGAAATAGGTTTAAGGTTTCATTTCCAACTTATATTTAGGACAGATGCAAGCGTAATGTATAAAATAAATTGAAGTCAATTTTTATGAAGTTGTCATATGTCATATGAAGTTGAAAATATCATAAGTTGAAAATGCATTTAATACACCTAACCTACTGAACACAATCACTTAGCCTAGCCTACCTTAAACATGCTCAGCACACTTACATTAGCCTACAGTTGGGCAAAATCATCTAACACAAAGCCTGTTTTATAATAAAGTGTTGGATATCTCATGTGGTTTATTGACCACTGTACTGAAAGTGAAAAACAGAATGGTTTATGAGCACCACTGTAAAGCTGAAAAACCCTAAGTCAAACCAAGTCAGAGACCATCTGTATTGCCTACTTAGAACCACAGTTACATGTTAATATTAAGTGTTCTATAGTTTTCTTCTAAAGTGATTGCCCTGGATCTGTTCTTTCCCAGAAGGCCTATTGATTTTCTTATTCTCTGCAAGAAATGAAATTTTTCTTTAGAGCAGGTGATGGTAATGATTTCAGCTCTTTTCACTGCCACATATTGTTTGAAGGCGTTAGTAAATCCTTTGTGAGCAGCTGTTAACTTTATATTAACAGATTAGAAGAAATTGCCTTTTCCTTCACATGAGGCCATGTACTTGAGTCTTAGCTGTTGTTCTTATGAGTGATTTCTGTCTTGATTGTTCCGTGTGATAAGATTATTATCAAAGTCCTGCCCACCAAATGCCATGATCACCCCAAAAGTGTATTTGAAATAGGTTTAAGGTTTCATTTCCAACTTATATTTAGGACAGATGTAAGTGTAATATATAAAATAAATTGAAATCAATTTTTATGAAGTTGTCAGCTACTCCTTAGAATCAACTGACCTGTTTCCTTTTTTTAGTGGTACTTTCATTTGAAACTATTTCTAATGTGCAGGAATTTTTTTCCTTTAGTGTTGGGCAACCATTCCAAGGGGCTTACCTGGAAATCAACAAGAACCCCAAGTATAAGAAACTCAAAGATGCCATTGAAGAAAAGATCATCATTGCTGAAGTCGTGAACAAAATTAACCGTGCTAATGGGAAGGTAAAAATGCTAACCTTGAAGACTGATAAGAAGTACCTATTAGTTGGGATAGTCACCCTGTTTTCTGAATGTAAAAATTTGCATTTCATGTTCTCAGTAGAGTTAACTATGAAGGCGGCTATTTCCCCTTACCTTTAAGCTTAGGTGGAATTTTGCTTGTTCTCTGACATTTTTATGAAATAAAACATATTATTTATGTTCTTTACTGCGTTCTTGGTTTACATAGGTATGTTTGTTGAAGGATATTGGAATTTTTGCAAATAATGCCTTAAACTCATGGACCATTTTTGAGTATTTGTGATCATTGGTTTTATACTATTTTTTATTTTGATTTAGAGTACATCTCGGATTTTCCTCTTAACAAACAATAATCTCCTTCTTGCTGACCAAAAGTCTGGACAAATCAAGTCAGAGGTTCCATTGGTGGATGTGACCAAGGTATCAATGAGCTCACAAAATGATGGCTTCTTCGCCGTCCACCTCAAAGAGGTAAAGGTTCAACAGAAGATTTCTGTGCTTAATCTCTCAGCCATTGATTTAAAAAATTTCCATATCTGATAATCCTATCGCAGTTTATATATCTGCCTTGCTAATTTGCAAATTTTGGATATTCACCCCTATGTAAAATCTCCGACTCAGTTTTTCAGTAATTGAATAAAGTTAATCACTTTTATTGGCCAGTTTACTTTACTTTTTGAGACTAATACATAGAAATATCAAGATGTTTTAAATTTTGTTTTCTCCTGTTTTTTCTTCTATGTATCAACTTAGTAAATGTCTTAATGTTCATCTCTAATCTGGGGGTTTACATTAAAGGATACAACTAAAATAAAATAACCGCCAGTTAATTTTAACCTAAATAATTTTTAGTGTTCTGTGCCTTTAGCTTAACCAGGACTCCTGGCTTGGATGCAGTGGTTACATGTAGGTTCTGGAGTTGGTCTCACTCACTTTATGATAATTTTGGCCAAGGCATTTAATTTGTGTGTGCCTACCTACTTTTTCTCATCTTTAAAATGGGGATAGTAAGAGTGCCTACTTCATAGCATTGTTGTAAGGATTAAGGATTAAATGAGACACTGGAGGAACAGGGCCTGTCACATAACACATAGTCACTGAATAAACAAAAGTTAACAAATATTGATCATATGTAGGGACATGTGTCTAGCTAATAATGTTACTCTCTGGCCAACCCTAAACTTAGAAAAATCCCCAAAGCTTCCCTTAGCCTGTTTACCCTACTTTGGATCTTAACTTAAAGGGGGCATATCAAATACTAGGACAGTGATTCTCAACCTCAGTGACACATGTAAACAGCTTGGGAACTTTAAAAATTCTGATGCCCAGGCCATACCCCTATGAAATCAAATTAGAATTTCTCAGAGGGGGCACAAGCATCATGTTTTTTTTTTTGTTTTGTTTTGTTTTTTTTTTGAATAAACCCAGATGATTCCCTTGCACAGCTAAGGCTGAGAGCCACTGCCCTAGGATATTTGTTGGAAGTGTTGTCATTAGGGTTTTAACCAAATCACTGAAAAGTTTTTTAATCAAGTCCTTCAGAAGAGTTGCGGGATAGGTCCATGCTCCTCAAACCTGAATGTGTAAACCCATACCTGGAGGTTGCGTTGTGGTTTCATATTCACTGGGGCTGTGGTAGGGCCTGAGATTCTGCTTTTCTAGCAAGCTCCAAGTGATGCACATGGTGCTTCTGCTGCATCCACCGACTTTAGGTAGAAGGGGATTAGGTAACCTTACTAAAGTGCTCTGAGCAAGTTGGAAGAAACACTGCTTTTGTCATTATTGTTTACCTTGGGAGAATGGATTCCAGGATCTGATGTTTTAAAGAGACTGTAAGTATGTTTTTAGCCAAGCCTGTAAATATTGACCTTCTAAGGTATCTTTAATTATGACCGACTCTTGGTTTGTCCTTGCAGGGCTCAGAAGCAGCTAGTAAAGGAGACTTTCTCTTCAGCAGTGATCACCTGATTGAAATGGCCACCAAGCTCTATCGCACAACTCTCAGCCAAACCAAACAGAAGCTCAATATTGAGATTTCCGATGAGTACGTTCATGTATTGTTTGAAAACCCTTTTTCTCTTTCAGCTTTTTTGTTTTAGTTCAGCTCTCGATCTCATTCATTAATACAACTACTTATTAAGTACCAGGTATGTGTCTAGTAGTTGTTCCACATGATAAATGGGCAGTGAATGACACTGACCAAGTCTCCAACCTCATGTACCTGACATCCTAGTGGAAGAGACCAGTATGTACAAATAAAATGATGAAATAGTTGATAAGATTTTGGCTAACAAGTGTTTATGGAGGAAAAAAAGGGTTAAGAGTCAGAGAGTAGGCCAGGCGCAGTGGCTCACGCCTGTAATCCCAGCACTTTGGGAGGCCGAGGCAGGCGAATCACGAGGTCAGGAGTTCGAGACCAGCCTGGCCAACATGGTGAAACCGTCTCTACTTAAAATACAAAAAAAATTAGCTGGGCGTGGTGGCGGGCGCATGTAATCCCAGCTACTCAAGAGGCTGAGGCAGGAGAATCTCTTGAACCCGGGAGGCGGAGATTGCAATGAGCCGAGATCGTGCCACCGCAATCCAGCCTGGGTGACAGTGTGAGACTCCGTCTCAGAAAAAAAAAAAGAGTCAGGGAGGCCTCTTTGATGTGGTGACATCTGAGACTGGTATAAATTTGAAATTTGCTTCTTCAATTTCTCATTAGGGTTCTGAATATAGAAGTTAGTTATTTGCATACAGGTTGGGGCATCCCCAGATTTATTGTATCTATCTATGTAAGTGTTTTGGAGAAATCTGAGTTACTGTGTTGATTATACTTAATTGGTTACCTTTCAATAGATTGTTTACCTGCTTATATACTTCTTTGCATGTCTAGATTGCTCAGGAAATTATATTCTTTTCTAATTAAGAATTTTCTAGTCTATTCTGTTTCAACTCTTCCTAAAAGTCTTTCTAAAATAAATTTACACCCATTTCTGCCCCTTTGTAAGTCAGACTCTCTTTGATATGTTAGGATTTTGCAGTGCTGTGGGCTTTTCTTAAGTTCTCATTGAAGTGTTTAGATTTGGGTGGGAGGTTGGGCTTCATGTATACTCTATATTGGAAATTGCTGTTCGGACTAAATAACTTTTCTTGTTAATGAGATCTTTCTCATAAAGAAATTAGGAAAAAAATAATGGTTGGTGTGTTTCAGTTAAGGATTTAACACGTTAGGGCCTATTAGAGCTTTAAAATCCCTTTATAATAGTTGAAGTTTTTCATAATCTGGGAGAATGGGCTTTGGTGGGGCTGCTAATTCTCACTCACCATGGGAAGATCGTATGTATCCCAGACAGCAGAAGCTCCTCAGTGTACAGACGAAGCAGTCTCATAGTTGTCCCACTATGTGAATAAACTCATCTTTACACAGAAAGGAAATCACACCAACATCCAGACCACAAAGTACTGCTATTTTTAAGCATTTCCCAAACCGGGATTCTAGGAACATTGCTTGTACAGGATGCTAATAACGATGTACTGTGAAAAAATTGTTCTCTGATGGAAATTTAAAATCTTTCTTCACTACATTACATCTCAGAGTCCCTGAAATCTTGTTGTGATTCTCCTGAGGAGCTTTGCGGGGATAGCGTGTGGCGTGAATCCTAAACATAGTCAACCACAGAGCTCCTTCAGCAGCTCTCACAGCTTGTGTTCGAAGGTGTGCCATCTGGGAAAGGGGGACAGTTCGCTTCTGGGCAGCAAGGGCCCTGCCCTGTCACAGAGGGCGTGTGATGTTCTGGATGCCATAAGCTTTCAGTAAACAGTTGTCTGAGCGAAGATTTATAATGTGGCCACATGAAGAAAACAAACATTGGGTAGCATTATAATGCCTTTCATTCTCCAGTGCCTAATTATTGATTGGTCTCATAAAAATAAAACAGTTCATAGGACTCTACATAGCACCCGTGGGTCCCTTCCCCAGGTGGCACAGGAAGCCTGCAGAGGAAGTTTGTAGGTAAGGATCGTAAATCTCCTTAGGGAGCATTTTGAATTTAAACGAAAATGTCCAAAGTCATAGGCAGGGGCGCCTGTTCCTTTATGTGTCAGCCCTAAGTGGCTTCGCTAGCTCTATAGAACCAGTGTTGAAAACCACATGCAGTTTAGTGACTAAGCCCTTCCTTGCTTTTTCCTTCCCAGAAGTAGAAGTAGTTACTCTAACAAACCTAGATTCTGTAATCATTATGGATAAGTGGATGTCAGTTTATGGAAAGAGAGTCAAAGTCCTGTTTACTCTTTAGTGGATTTTTTTTTTTTTTTTTTTTTTTTGAGGCAGAGTTTCGCTCTTGTTGCCAAGGCTGGAGTGCAGTGGCACGATCTTGGCTCACCGCAACCTCCGCCTCCCGGGTTCAAGGGATTATTCTGCCTCAGCCTCTTGAGTAGCTGGGATTACAGGCATGCACCACCACGCCTGGCTAATTTTGTATTTTTAGTAGAGATGGGGTTTCTCCATGTTGGTCAGGCTGGTCTCGAACTCCTGACCTCAGGTGATCCGCCCCCCTGGGCCTCTGAAAGTGCTGGGATTACAGGCGTGAGCCACCGCGCCCAGCCTGTTCAGTGGAATTTAAACTTGTACATATAGAAGTGAGAATTGAATTCATTCAGAGATTCAGCTGCCTTATAGTTTCTAGTCCTTAAACTTCTAAGCTGTTCAATGTGTAACTAGATTGCATTTTAAGGATAACCTGCAAGATGTGTAATGCAGTTATGCACCACATAATGACATTTTGGTCAGCAATGGATTGCACAGATGACGGTGGTCCCCTAAGATTGTAATGGAGCTGAAAAATTCTTCTGTCTATTGATGTCACAGGTGTTGTAATGTTATAGTGCAAGGCACTACTCACATGTTTGTGCTGCTGCTGGTGTAAACAAACCTACTTCACTGCCAGTTGTCTACAAGTAAAAGCACATACAATTATGTACAATATGTAACTCTTGATAATAAATGATGTTGTTACTGGTTTATGTATTTATTATACTATACTTTTTTTTTTTTGAGACTCAGTCTTGCACTGTTGCCCAGGCTGGAGTGCAGTGGCGTGATCTCGGCTCACTGCAAGCTCCGCCTCCTGGGTTCATGCCATTCTCCTGCCTCAGCCTCCCGAGTAGCTGGGACTACAGCTGCCCGCCACCACGCCCGGCTAATTTTTTGTACTTTTAGTAGAGGTGGGGTTTCATCGTGTTAGCCAGGATGGTCTCGATCTCCTGACCTTGTGATCTGCCCGCCTCAGCCTCCCAAAGTGCTGGGATTATAGGCGTGAGCCACCACGCCCGGCCTATACTGTACTTTTTATCTTTATTTTAGCGTGTATGCCTACATGTTAAAAAAGTTAATAGTAAAACAGCCTCGGGCAGGTCCTTAAGGGGGTATTTCAGAAGGCATTGTTATCTTAGGAGAAGACAGCCCCATGTGTATTATTACCCCTGAAGACTTTCCAGTGGGACAAGACATGGAGATAGAAGACAGTGAAATTGATGCTCCTGACCCTGTGTAGGCCTAGGCTAATATGTTTGTATCTTAGTTTTTAACAAAAAGTTTAAAAAGTAAAAATAAAAAAAATTAAAATTTTAAAAATAGAGAAAAGCTTATAGAATAAGGTTATAAAGAAAATATTTTTGTACAGCTATACAAAGTATTGTGTTTTAAGCTAAGTGTTATTACAAAAGAGCCAAAAAACAGCCGGGCCCAGTGGCTCACGCCTGTAATCTTGGCACTTTGGGAGGCCAAGGCTGGTGGATTGCTTGAGCTTAGGAGTTCAATACCAGCCTGGGCGACATGACGAAACCCCTTCTCAACAAAAAAATTAAAAAATTAGCCAGCCATGGTGACACACACCTGTAGTCCCAGCTTCTCAGGAGGCTGAGGTGGGAGAATCATCTGAGCCCGGGAAGGTCAAGGCTGCCCTGAGCCATGATTGCTCCAGTGAACTCCAGCCTGGGAGACAGACCAAGACCCTGCCTCAAAAACAAAACAAAAGTGTCAAAAATGTTTTTAAAATTGTAAAGTTTATAAAGCAAAAAGTTACAGTAAGCAAAGGTTAATTTATTATTGAAGAAAGAAAAAATTACCTATAAAGTATACCGTAATGTAATGTCCTAGGCCTTCACATTCACTAACAACTCACTCACTGACTCACCCAGAGCTACTTCCAGGCCTGCAAGCCCCATTCATGGTAAGGGCGCTAGACAAGTACACTATTTTTTATCTTTTATGCTATTCTTACTGTACCTTTTCTATTCTTACTAAGTTTACACATACAAATACCATTGTGTTACAGTTACCTACAGTACAATAACACGCTGTAGCATCTAGGTTTGGGTAAATGCACTCACTCTATGATGTTTGCACAATGACAAAATCACCTAGTGATGCATTTCTCAGAATGTATCCCTTTTATTAGATGATGCATGACTATATTTCTAAAATCAAGTTCCCAAATAGAGTAAAAACTAAAGTGAATTTGTTTCATTAAACATTTTAAATATATGTGTGTGTATATACATATAGGTATACACGTGTGTACAATAGATACACATATATCATTTAAGTTATACAATTGGTTTTCTGAATATTTGAAATCCAAACAACTAATCCATGTTCCTTTTACCTTGAAATTCTAACTGGTATGAATGCCATGAAATAATACATTCCATGTTATTGTTTGTTGGAGGAGGATTTTCTCTTTTCTATGAGGTGAAGATAAATAATAGTGCTTACCTCCTAGGATTGTCTTAAAGCCTGATCTAATAACATAGTAAATGGCCAAGCACAGTGTGGTATGTAGCAAATCCTCAATATATCTTGCCTATTGTTATTTCTAGTGTGAATCTTTTTTTTTTTTTTTTTGAGACAGAGTCTTGCTCTGTCGCCTAGGCTCGAGTGCAGTGGCGAGATCTCGGCTCACTGCAACCTCTGCCTCCTGGGTTCAAGGGATTCTCCTGCCTCAGTTCCCCGAGTAGCTGAGGTTACAGGCATGCACCACCACGCCCTGCTAATTTTTGTATTTTTAGTAAAGACGAGGTTTCACCGTCTTGGCCAGGCTGGTTCCAAACTCCTGACCTCAGGTGATCCGACCACCTCAGCTTCCCAAAGTGCTGGGATTACTGTCATGATCCACCGTGCCTGGCCTCTAGTGTGAATATTAATCAGGAATTATAGACATGGAAACAGTTAATGTAGGCCAAGGTTATTGGGGAAAGAAGTTCCTATACATTTATTACACTTACAAGTGGTCTTTTTTATTTATTTTGAGGCAGAGTCTCCCTCTGTCACCCAGGTCAGAGTCCGGTGGTGTGATCCCGGCTCAATGCAGCCTCCTCTGCCTCCTAGCTGCAAACGATTCCCCTGCCTCAGCTTCCCGAGTAGCTGGAATTACAGGCATGCACCACCGTCCCTGGCTAATTTGTGTATTTTTAGTAGAGACGTGGGTTTGCCATGTTGGCCAGGCTGGTCTCGAACTCCTGGCCTCAAGTTACCTGCCTGCCTTGGCCTCCCAAAGTGCTGGGATTACAGGCATGAGCCACTGTGCCCAGCCACAAGTGGTCTTTGAAAATAAAAATGTGAAAGTGTTTGATTTTTAAAATGTGTGAATTTTCAATAAACCTGAAAGATTTTTTTTGAGACACATACATACAAGTATATATGCCAGAGATATATCTCAGGTAGTTGAATCTGGAACTATAGCTGTCCTTTCCTCATTGCTTTCAAGTTGAAAATGAAGAACCCATTTAAAAGATCAGAAGCACTATCCTTATAAAACAACTGATGAATTAGAAACACATTTGCCTTGTTTCATTCTAGCAGATAATGTTTGCAAAATGTGGCCTCTTTAGACCTTGAAACTGAAACTAATGGATACAGAGCAGAGCTGTGGATCCTCACATCGCTGGGGGATGTCAGTAAGTGGTCAGTGGTTGTTAGGTTGACTCACTTTAGTAATGTGCCATTGACTGAGAAAACCATCCCTGAGAATATGGAAAATGTCATAATGCTATGCTAATTATGAGGGTAGAGAGAAGAGATCACTGGTTTTGGAACTGGAAGACCTGGTTTCTGGCCCAGCGATGCAGCTCTCATGTCCCCCAGTGATGCTATCCTCAGTTCAGGGATCTCATCATATACAGTTGGGGGTTCCTCGCAGCACCAGCACAGGGATGGTGTGAAGAACCCTCTGTGGATGCTCAATTGTACACCTAAAGTCATCTCTTATCCCAGCAGTGGTCCACATGATACACTGAGGGAAAAATACACTAATGGATTTTTTAATCCATGAATTAATTTCTATACACTAATGGATTTTTTAAATTTTTATAATTTTTATATAAATATTTTAATGGGTATTAAAGATATATGTGGTAGATCAAACACATGATTTTATGCATATTCTGTAGGTCACTATTATTTTGAAATACATTTAAGCTAGCAATAGCTATTAGCATACTATGCAGATAACGACAAAAACTATGTAGGACATATGTGAGTAACCAGTGTTTAGAAGCCATAGACTAGAGGGTTGCCAGGCCCCTTCCTTTTGTGAAATTCTTTACCTCATTTTCTCAATTTGTTGATAATTTAATAGGAGCCCCCTCCCATATTTTTTTTTTGCCGTGGAAAAATGGAAATATAACCTGTTGGTCTTTCCATTTGAAACACAGAAATAATTCTTAGCCTTTCTACCTTACTAGAATATGATGAGTTAATGAACTTTAGTTTTCTTAGGGCTAAATGAGGACTACTGGAGGTAAATTGCATTGATACAATTCTGTGTAAGAAGTGCTCATGGGAAGAAGTGATACAGGTTGAGTCTCCCTTATTCGAAATGCTTGGGACAAGAAGTGTTCCCAGTTTCTTGTTTTGGAATACAGTCATGTGTCATTTAACTTGGGGATGTGTACTAAGAAGTGTGTCACTAGGTGATTTTGTGCAAACATCATAGAGTGTGTACTTACACAAACGTAGATGGTATAGCCTACTACACACATAGGCTGTATATTATAGTATAGCCAACTGTTTATAGCATGTTACTGTACTGCATACTGTAGGCAATTGTAACACAATGGTAAATAGTTGTCTATCTAAACAGAAAAAGTACAGTAAAAATACAGTATAAAAGACAAAAAAATGGTACGACTGTATAGGCCAGCTCCATCATAATCTTATAGGACCCCCATCGTATATGACTGACAGTGAATTAGGTATGTTTACATCAGTCACCACAAACATGAGTAGTGTATTGCCCTACATTAGGAGAGCTATGACGTCACTAAGCCATAGGAATTTTTCCGCGCTTATGGGACCACCATCATATATGTGGTTCATTGTTCACTGAAACGTTGTTAGGTAGCCCATAGACTGTACTTGCATTATACTTAATGTTTCAGTCTTAATCTGAAATGTTCCAGCAAGCATTTCCTTTAAGCATCATGTCAGTGCTTTAAACATTTCAGAGTTTGGAGGTTTCAGATTTTCGGATTAGGTTAGGGATGCGCAGCCTGTACTCGTCAAGATCAGTATCCATTAAAATACAAAAGCAAGTGTTATTGTAATCATGAGCTGTTTTGTGTATACTTTAATTTGTTTTATTCTTTTCTCCTAGGTTCCTGGTACAGTTCAGACAGGACAAAGTATGTGTGAAGTTTATTCAGGGAAACCAGAAAAATGGGAGTGTCCCAACATGTAAACGAAAAAACAACCGTCTCCTTGAAGTTGCTGTCCCTTAACTGGCGCCTCCTCTCTACTTTCATGGACTTGTTCCTTTGTAATAGTGCAATTTGGTTTTGTTTTATTTGGGGTTCATTGTATGTTTGGGAATCACCAAAGGCTTTTAGAGTTCTTTGGCAAAATAAAAATATTTGACTAATCAATTTTTATTATTGGAATAGTTTTAACCTTTCAAATACATGTTCTGTCCTGGAGCAGGATTGTAGAAACTAACAGTGTCTATTTTCATGTCTGATGTGTTCTTCCTTTAGTCATCATGTTAGGTCTGTGTACCCTAAATCAGCATATTACTCATAAATCATTAATTAATATAAGCATAGGAAATGGTCTTAAAAGATACTGCATTCATTCATCAGATATTTATTCCATGCCTACTCTATGCTAGGCACTGTGCTAGATGGTATGAAAACTTATTAGGAACCTTTTTGTTTTTGAGACCATTGCATTCTGGCTGGTTTGTGCTGGTTTAACGACATCTAAGAAGGTTTAGAAATGGTGAGACCAAAACAATAACTGTTAATGATGGACAGCATTATTAGGAACCCTGTAGTATGATATTTAACAATATAGGCTTCAAGAAGGGCTGGTCCTAAGAGGGGGCAGAAATGAATGACCAGGTTAAATCCCTCTACATGTGGTTTCTGTTTGAAAAAAAGAAAACTGACATTTGAACAGGACTTTTAATTTGTTTAAAACTCTGGTAATTACTTGTAACAGTAGAAAATAGAAGTCATTCTTATTTTAGAAAAAGTGACAGAAGCAGTCCAGTAAGATTATATGTTTCTGTTTCTGGTAAATACCATATATGATCCTCGAAATGATAATATCTCCAGAATATTGTTTTCACCCAAATTTGAGTAGATATTTTAAACACCTAACAAAGTAAAGGGCTAAAAGCCATTCAGATAGCAGTAAAACATTCTGTATGATGTGCAATAAAACATCCAAGATCTTTTTTGAAAGTTTTATTTATAATATACATTTTTGTATGAGAAAGGTGATTGGTACAGGGTGCCTATTTTAGTCATGGATCAAAATTTGTGTAACTTGCAGGGCTTTCTTTCTTTTTCTTCAAATTTACAAGGGTTCATTTTGGAAACTACATTTTAAACTTTGGAATCAAATTGTTTCTTATTTGGGAGGATAATGTATATACATTGGTATTATGTTAAATAATAAAATTGTTCTAATTTGGTGCCATTTCCTGAATCACAACTGTATTTTTGTATCTCAAGCTATTTTCATATGTTGTGTGTCAATGTATCATCTCTCAGAAAGGTTTTACAATCCAAACATTATATGTTCTCTGTGTAACTGAATTTCACTTATCTTTTATAAACCAGAAACATTAATTGAAAATATTTTCTGGGGATTTTCTCTTGACTTGTATTTTTAAAAATTGCTCACATAAAGAAGTTCTCAGAAGTCTTTGTGTTTATTGGTGCAGGTAGAGGATGTAATTACTTAGATTCTTCTTGCCTTGTGCCTAAAGTGGTAGATTAATAGTTCCTGATACTGGTGAGTAGAAATTTGGGAATGAGAGGGTGTGGTGTTTTAAATAACATGCAGTATGTTCACATTGTTCAGCATGTAAGTAAGTGTTAAAATATATACATTACAAATTCTCCATCCTATCAACCAGCTATCTGCTTAGTTCCCACCCTCCCCGAAACATTAACCATTGTTGTTAGTTGCTTTTGTATTACTTTGTCCATATGTTTGCAAAAGGAAATCAAAATAGATTCTTACGTTCTTCTGCTTTAGTAGACAAAAGCTAGTATATTATATTGTAGCCATTGTTCTTTATCTTGCCTTTTTCACCTAGCAGAATATCATGAAGAGCTGCTCATTCTTCCGTTGTATGGATGTGCTGTGGTGGATTTACCTGGTCTCCTACTCATTATCATTGGGTTGCTTCCTAAATGGAACTTGAGGATGGAAGACTAGGATGGAAAGGAGAAATATCCCATAGGTCTACTTGTTAGATTTTTCCAAATACCTTATTTGCAGATTGTTCAATCAGTCTTGTCACTGAAGTATTCAATAATTTTTGGTCATGGAACCCATTCTTCATGGGTTGTGACTTGACGTGTTGGGAAAGATTTGCTGAACTGCAGCCAGAAAGCTTCCTTATGTACCAAGGTGAAAGCCCTTCACATTCCCCATTGGGAAGAGCAGTAATAACCTGACCACACTACAAAGGAGAGTGCCACTATGGCCCAGGTGACCCACTATAGAGCAGTGTTTCCCAAAATGTCACTGCGCATCAATCTGGTTCAAAACCACAAGGAAAGCTTGTTTTTTGTGTGTGTGTTTTTTTTAATTTTTGGTTTTGTTTTGTTTTGTTTGGAGGCAGAGTCTTGCTGCAACACCCAGGCTGGAGTGCAGTGGCACATTCTCAGCTCACTGCTACCTCCGTTTCCTGGGTTCAAGCGATTTTCCTACCTCAGCCTCCTGAGTAGCTGGGACCACAGGCATGCACCACTACGCCCAGCTAATTTGTTTATTTTTAGTAGAGACGAGGTTTGACCATATTGGCCAGGCTGGTCTCAAACTCCTGACCTCAAGTCATCTGCCTGCCTCAGCCTCCCAAAGTGCTGGGATTACAGGCGTGAGCCACCGCACCCAGCTAGAAAGCTCGTTTTTAAAAGATTACAAAAAAACAAAAACCCATGCCAGTTCCTGGGCCATACCCTATACTAACCAAATCAGAATCTCTGGAATAGAGTTTGAAAACAGACATTTTAAAGAAAATCTCCAGATGCATTCCAGCCTGGGCGACAGAGTGAGACCCTGTCTCAAAAAAGAAAAATCTCCAGATGACTCACACACATTGAAGTTTGAGAACCACCAAGGGAAATTACTAGAGCTTCTCTATAGCTACACACAGCCGTCTATGCCTTAAAAAGTCCTCCTTTGGTGACCCTCACCCAAATATGAGAACCATTAGTCTAAAGCTTCCCTCTGGCTGCACATGGCCCAGTGAGCCATACCTGCCAAATCTGCCAACCCCAGTGCCGAACTAGAGGTTACCAATAACTGTGGCATCACTCTATTACAGTGAGCAAGAAACTGATACTCCTTTATCTCGGTTTCTGTCGCTGTCCTGCAAAGGAAAGTTAAAGCATTCATGACACTCCAGAATTCCTGTGTATTCTGGCCTGGCCTCACAGCCCTAACTTGTTCCCACCCATAACTTAGAAGGTTGCTCGGCCCCTGCAGTGACTTCTAGGAGTGAGTGGAGTGACTAGACCTAGTCACCTAGGACCTAGACTCCTAGATCTAGTCCAGTAGTGACTAGGAGTACCCAGACCCTGGAGTGACTAACTGATGGGCTTGAAAAAAGTAAACGGGTAATGGGTACCAGATAGAACATGGTAGTTGCCAAGGTATGCAGTGTAGTTGATGCAGCTACTCTTGACTTTGATTTCCATCTGCCACAGGACAAGAAGGGAGTATGGGAATAGTTATTCTCTAATGGCTTGATTACAGTTTTGTACTGCACACTCTTGAATAATAACTTGGACCCAGAATTCAAATGGAAGGCCTTCAGCTCAAATTTGAAAAGCTTTGCTCATACCCAGGGGTGATGGGGGTATGTCTGTAATGGCAAAGAAGCAGGCCAAGAGTTCTGAGAATCATAGGGATATCGTCAATATTACGGATTTGGCAGAAATCTAAGAGAATGAACTGTTTATTATGCCATGTCAATTAATATGCTGAGAACTCTCAAGTTCATGTAATTGAGTATAATTGTGATAATTAGAGCATGGTTCAAAATGCTTTTAGGCCAAATATAAAAGGCAAAACTTCTTATCTGTTACTTTTCATATATAATAGGTAAGGTATTTCTTAGGCTCATTGAAATCTTGAAATAGCAAGTACCTTTGAAATGGTGTAAGTTGCTGGGGAAGGATTTAGTAAATTCATTAATGTGTCTGTTCTCACAATGAGTTTTAACCAGAATGTATCATATTAAGAGCCTTTGTTTTTAAGCTGGACATTGTTTTTCCATGAATATTGTGGTACTCAAATTCACTAAAACAATTAGATGCATAGGGGTAGAATGGAAGAGAAAGAAGGGCAGTAGTTTTGCTTTTCTTTCCTCCTGTTGAGAAAAACAGCTGTAAGTTTTCATCATACATTCGAAGATTTTCTGTTGTGTTATTATTGGAGGAGCACTTTCTTTGAGTCTTACTTTAATAATTCTGTCGTGTGCTCTTTGATTCTTAGGTTTTTGTTAGCTAAACCCTAGGAAGCCGTAACCTTGATGAGGTGGCACATGCTTTCTGGTCTCATCAGCTTTTATTTCATTTGCCACACAGGAGAAAATTAATTGTTTTGAGTTGGTTTCCTCCAGATCATGGAATGTTTGCCTCATTTTCTTTGGTTTGAAGATCATTTTCAAAATCTGGAGTTAATCACAGTACAGCAAAAGCCACAATCTCTTTCTCATTAACTTTTTTTCTGGCATGGTTGCTAGATCACCTCTGGTCAGTTCCATGAAATTCGACAAAAATCTAACTTTATAACCAAGGAAAATAGTCTCAGCTTCTCAGTATTTCAGAAAGGAATAGGGAACAGAATTTAATTCCATATTCATCCAAAGGCCTGGCAGTACTAAGGGAAAGATTAACTAGCTACCTTATTTCAGTTATTTTATATTCACCCCAACTTTGTTTTTTTCTGGTGGGAGAGGGGGCTCACAGAGTAACAGAATTGTCATATTCCCTTTAAAAATATACATTTTTATAATATATACATCAGAAATGCGAACAAGGAAGTGAACACATCCATGTGACTAGCACCCAAAACAAGCACCCCAAAGATAGCACCCAGAGGCCCCCTTCTGCATCCTAGTCATAATCCTTCCACAAAAGTAACGCATCTTGTTTTATAGTACATTTATTCATTGTGCCCATTTTAAAGCTTTATATAAATTGAATCATACAATATATAGTCTTCTGCCTGGCTTCTTTCATTCGTATTTTTTATGCGTAACTAAGTTTGTTCATACTCCTGGCTATGTAATTCATGTTGGTAGACTGCA